>NC_000002.12:189610830-189913860 GCF_000001405.40 Homo sapiens
GGAGGGTGTATGCAACCACTCCAAATCCAGAGTGTATATCTGTCATCTCTGAGAAGCTACACAGCTTGGAGCTAGAGGGAAATATTTGTGGTTTTGATACCTTCCTGACCTACCTGAAGTGTGAGGTGAGACATAGTGGCTCCCTGAACTCTACTTCATAACTTAAACATGAAAAGGTCTTGACTGCTTAGGAAATGCAATAAATACATAAAAATAATTTTTACAAATATGAAAACGTCCATCAGGTAAGTGTACAGGATGATTTATGGTTACAATCCAGGTCCTCTATTTCAGATTCTTTCTTAAAATGTCCAACCTTCACGTATTATCAGTTCCAGGGAAATTATTATCCACCATGCCCGAACAAAAAGAAAAGTCAATCCAGCCTTTTGTTTGTTTGGTTGTTTTTTTGTTTTTCTTTTTGTTTTTGTTTTGATAGAGGGATACCATGCTCTAACAGAAATCTAATTTAAAAACAGCTCATCACAAATGTATTAGAAATCAAATTTGTTATTTTTATATCAGATAGGTTTCTCAGCTATAGAAATATATATATTTATTAAAATAACATATGTATTTCCTTTTCTTCACCAAAAAAAATCTCGTTCAGAAGACTAAAAATTTCACAAAGAGAAAATATTTTCTACTGTGGAAACTCAGTAAAATTAATGTTACTGCTATGTGCCAAACTTCCCATATAAAGTTAGATACCAAATGATACTGGCAATATTTACATTTTTATAAATTCATTTAAAAATTTACATAACAACACAGAGACAATTGTAATGCATGTTTTTAAAATATGAAATAGATGCTTTTAGAATAGAATAGAATCTGAATTTGAAGGAACTATTGAGGTCATTTTGTATTTCTCTGTGTGTGTGTATACATATGTTTATATATAGGTGTTTTTATTCTGCCAGGGAAATGGAGCTTGCAAAGTACAATTGTCACAAACACACAAAATTCTCTCAAACACAGATTGTATGGGATATGTTTGCACAGACTCATTGCCATTGCTGGGCCTGGATCTCAACCTAGTGATAGCAGTCAGTCTTGAGAGTAGTACAGGAAATTCTTTGCTGGCATCCCCATCACAATTCCAAACCTGTACAACAAAGCTTGAAGATGTTTTAACAAAGCAAAAACCTTTCATTCCATGATTAAAGATAAGACTCAAAACATATTTCATGAGGGTAACAGGTTTACTCAGACTGACCCAATAGTCACATTGACTGAAGCCTTCTTCCTCAGTCCCCATTTGACAGCAGCTTTGGAAAGGGCTGACTGGTGAGCAGGAAACTGGTGGAGCCCTCCCAGCAGCTGGGGGCCAGGGAGCCGGTATTATCAAGTGGCTTGCATAATGCAGATCAGAAATGCTGGAGAAATATGCTCACAAAATATGCATATTTTGTTTTATTTTATTTTCAGATGGTGTCTCCCTCTATTGCCCAGAATAGAGTGCAGTCATGCGATCCTGGCTCACTGCAACCTCTGCCTCCCGGGTTCAAGTGATTCTCCTGCCTCAGCCTCCCAAGTAGCTGGGACTACAGGCGCCCACCACCACACTCGGCTAATTTTTGTAGTTTTAGTAGAGACAGGGTTTCACCATGTTGGCCAGGCTGGTTGCAAACTCCTGACCTCAAGTGATCTGGCCGCTTCGGCTTTTCAAAGTGCTGGGATTAAAGTTGTGAGCCACCACACCCGGCAAAATCTGCATACTTTGAAATCTTGTCTAGGGCTAGCTCTTGGATCGATACTTTATTTCAACATGAGCAGCAGCCTTATCTTTCTCAAATCAAATTTGTCTGCCTTTTCTGGTGGAAAGTTAAACTATCATTGAGATTTGCTTGAGGAAACAAGCATTTGTGTTTTTTATTTTACAATTGGCTCATATTTGAGGGAAGGAGGTAGAAATCTCACTTTCTACACATATAGACTGAAAAATAAAGCATAGCATCATAGGGTTGCTTTGAGGATTAAATGGGTTAATCTAGGAGGTAGAGCAGGGAAATCTCATTTTTAACTTAATCTAGAAGTTGTAGACTTGATATTTGTCAATTGGTTAACTGAGTCTTATTCAAATTATAATTATCAATCTCCTAATAAAGCATAACTTTTTTAAAGTTGTTCTTTCAAGATATCTATTATTCCCTAGGGAAATAAAAAAAGACTATAAAAATGCTTGCCATCAGTTCTGCTGTTTTCCTTTCAGAAGTCATGTATGTGCTGTTCAAGGTCATGGATATTTTGGGATTTGAGATAGCAAACAATCCTGACATTTTTGATCAACACTTGCAAAATGGCAAAGAAGCACATTATGAAAGAATTGCAGGAAGTGGAGCTCTGAGTAGTAGAAAGCAAAGAGAAGACACGACCTTGCATGCTTCAGCCTTCCACAAGCTTGGATCTCTCACTATCTCACATTCCCAGTGACGTGTGTCAGATATCAGCTTCAGCCTCTTAAAGGACTGCAGACTCATACTGGTCAAAAACAAACACTCCGCAAACCGAAAACAACTCAGTCATTGCCTGGAGTTTAGTATTAAGGGAAAAAGTGTTTTGTTAGTTTCCTCTTTCTAAACTTAATAGTCCGTGTATGGATATTTGGAAAAGAAATGTCATTGTTTAGGCTTCTTTTTGCTAGGAAAAAAGGAAGGAAGGAAAGAAGGAAAAAGGAAAGAACGAAGGAAGGAAGAAACAGGAAGAAACCTATTAGCTATACATTCTTTTTTTTTTGGCAAATTCCTCTTCCAAGGTTTACAACAAGGGAAAAAAATATCATATATGGACTAATTTAATATGCATTATCTTCCCTAGATAGAGGTGAAAGAGTCATATATAACCAAACTATTTTTTTTCAGTTGAAATCAGTTGGTGAAGTTCCATTATAATAATAACATGTGAATCACCACAATTCAAAAGCCAGCTATGGCATCTGCAGGCATGTGTGAGCCTTGATACCACTCCTTCCCTCTCACATACTTGCTTTCAGCTTCCCTGCCGGAGTGGGCATGTGAGAACAGCTAGCTCAGCTCTCACTAGTGAGAGGAAAAAAATATACAGTTTGGTTTTCATTTTTTGCTGACACCATATATTTAAACTGGCATGTTTAGACATTTTAGATGGCAAAGGACCCTTAGGTCAGAAAGTCAACCTTTAATAATGCAGAGAAAGCAATTGAAAACATACTTTTGGGGGCTGTAAACTACAATTCCCATTTTGCTATTAAAAAAAACTCATGTCTTTATGGTTTCATGACTAGCTCTTTCCTATTGGAAATGCAATTAGGCTCTGCTACCTCCATTTATTTTAGTTATCACATGCATTTTTATCATACATATTTATTCTGTCTCTAGCAGTGCAAAGAGGGATCATATTGAAGTTCTGGGAGACTGCCAAATCACATCTTTGGTAAAGTGGGCTGCACAGTCTCTGGGATAAAGGAAATTCCTGTTTAAAGGGGCCCATTTGTTCTTAGACTTAAGTTTGTATCATGTGAGTTTTATCCTGGGATTTGTACAGTTGGCCCTCCATATCCATGGATTCTGCATGCAAGGATTCAACTAACAACGGGTGGAAAATATTCCCCCCAAATTTAAAAATAACAATATAACAATGCAAGTAATACAAATTTTAAAAATACAGTTTAATAACTATTTACATAGGATTTACATTGTATTAGGTATTTTAAGTAATCAAGAGATGCTTTAAAGCATATAGAAGGGTATGTGTAGGTTAAATG
The DNA here is from genome assembly GCF_000001405.40 of Homo sapiens. Taxonomy (NCBI): domain Eukaryota; kingdom Metazoa; phylum Chordata; class Mammalia; order Primates; family Hominidae; genus Homo; species Homo sapiens. The sequence goes on from NC_000002.12 coordinate 189,614,576, forward strand.
CAAATACCATTTTATATAAAGAACTTGAGCATCTGTAGATTTAGGTATCGGGGTGTTGAGGAGCGTCCTGGAACCAATCCCCATTGGACATGGAGGGACGACTTTATATGAAATTGCTCCTAAAGCGTAGGATATATGGAGAGCCAGTTTTAACTAGTTTGTTTACACTGAGCCTAGTGCAAGACAGATCTGTGAGGGGGAGGAAAAGAAGGGAGAGATCAACCTGCCAGCAAGGGTCTATGACTGTTCAAACCAGTTGAACATGCTTATGGAAGCAGGAAGCACCCTGGATGAAACTAGGTCCAAAAATAATGGCCTTACACTGTGTAAGGGTGTCATAACATTAATGTTCTGAGGCTGACCCATTTTGGCAAAGCTTTGCAACAACTTGGCTATACAATGTGGAAGTTTGTGTGCTAACTAGAAATCAGGAATATGGATTTTCATGTCTGGTTGCAGATTATAAGCTTAAAACTGAGTTCTAACGATCTTACAGTCTACTTATTATTGTACAGCATAGCTCAATCCTCTTATTGATGCCTGAATAATGGGAGCATGGTAAAAATATAATGTTTCCCAAGGGTTTCTTCACATCTAAGGGTCTGAAGACATTCTCAGATCCTTGTATTTTGAATTTTGGGGTGTGTGTGTGTGTGTGCATGTGGCTGTTTTCAATTCAATGATGGTATTTAAAATTATTGTTTACGGCTGGGCGCGGTGGCTCATGCCTGTAATCCAAACACTTTGGGAGGCTGAAGCTGGCTGGTCACTTAAGTCCAGGAGTCCAAGACTAGCCAGGGGCAACATGAAGAAACCCCATCTCTTAACAAAGAAAAAAAAGGAAAGTAGCCAGGTGTGGTGGTGCGAGCCTGTAGTCCCAGCTACTCAGGAAGCTGTGGTGAGAGGATCACTTGAGCCTGGGACGTGGAGGTTGCAAGATCACTACACTCCAGCCTGAGTGACAGAGAGAGACCTCATCTCAAAAATAATAATAATAATAAATAAAATAAAATTATTGTTTACTCTTACATAAATGAAAATTTTCTTTTATAGTGATAATTCATAACTGAAAGATGCTTTCATGAATTATGCCATAAATCAGTGTGTTTTAAACCAAGGACTTGACATATTCTTGGTGATAGTCATAAAAGGAGTCTGTTCTTTACTCAAGCATGAGAAACACTATGTAACTTTGGGCGAGTTGACCTTGAGCCCCAATTTCTTGCCCCATAAAACGGGATTTATAGTAACTCTTTCTGAGGGTTGCTCTGGATTAAGTGAAGACAATGTCTATAAAGCATCTTGGGAATTAGGAGGTGCTCAATAAATATTAGTTCTCTTCCCCCTCTGAGCTCCTTTTCCTCATTCTCCAGGGGATATGTAGAAGCACAAAGGAGATACAAGGACTCCAATTATAGAGAGAGTAGTTAGTTTTCTTTCTTCAAGTAAAGAAGTTAGAATGGTTTTAACAAGTTGTTGCCATATGTCAGGCTTCTATAAAGCTGTATGTAGTCACAATGTAACTTCCGTTTCATTGAGAATACATCTCATAATTACATATAGAATGTTTTAGCTAATACAAATGTAACCAGAGTGCTTTATATTTTCCAGCCTTCTGGGCAGTCCTTTTCATTAACAACCAAATAAACATCGTTCAAACCCTCATTTGCTTGCCCACAAGAAAATGAGTCTCCTTCTGGGTATTTTTGAGAGCTCCTTCGAGTCCTGCCTGTTTTATTGTCACTTGCCACTTTTTATTAAACTATCCTCCCAGTTCTTGGTTGTCACTGGCCATTCGATCCCCATACTCCGTGTCAATCTTTCTCCCTCTTTTTCGCAGCTCCCAAATGAGGCCAGAGCCCCTTCTTCATGTCCCAGGGCAGTGTGAAGACAGGTGGACACTAGATTGTCTTAAATTCTCTTCCCAGGCTCCAGCAGGAGGTGTTTCCAGACTCTTTCCTTGGGTCCTAGCCTGCTGTTGGGTTCAGCCGCCCTGTATATTTGATACATTTTTCCTGACCTCTTTCTCTCCAAGTTCCTAGGCCTCAATCCCCTATTACTCTACCTGGATGCTCACAGTACTCAAATCAGGTAGATCTACATAAAGACTCTCTCAATGTTTTTCCTCACAGCTTTAAAGCTGAAATATCTCCAAAGTTAGTAACTAAAATCTGGGTTCTCATTCTGTTAATATTATTAGCTAACAGATTTTATTAACTATTTCTATACAATAATTTCATTGAATTTGGGCTTGATTGGCAAGGGGAAAGATGGGAGTTCTAGAAGATGCAGATATGTATATATACATATGCATATATATATTTGTATTTCTGTGTGTGTATATAAACATATATACACACACACAGAGGGAAATAAACAAGACTGTATAAAAATGCTTGCCATCAGCTCTGCTGTTTTCCTTGTAGCAGCGCTTTCCAAAGCTACTGTCAAATGGGGACTGAGGAAGAAGGCTTCAGTCAATGTGACTATTGGGTCAGTCTGAGTAAACCTGTTACCCTCATGAAATGTGTTTTGAGTCTTATCTTTAATCATGGAATGAAAGGTTTTTGCTTTGTTAAAATATCTTCAAGCTTTGTTGTACAGGTTTGGAATTGTGATGGGGATGCCAGCAAAGAATTTCCTGTACTACTCTCAAGACTGACTGCTATCACTAGGTTGAGATCCAGGCCCAGCAATGGCAATGAGTCTGTGCAAACATATCCCATACAATCTGTATTTGAGAGAATTTTGTGTGTTTGTGACAATTGTACTTTGCAAGCTCCATTTGCCTGGCAGAATAAAAATACCTATTCTAAATTTCCTTTCCTTGAAAATGATAATAGTAAAGCATTTTGCCAAAATGTTTTCACAGGCATCAGCCTCACAACACCTGTGAGGTGGGCAAAGTTGGCCTTGTTTCTTCATTCTACAGATTGGGAAGACAATGCTCAGAGAAATTGATGATCATGGTAAGGCTCAAAGAACCCAAGTAATCTCAGAATTCTTTCATTTGCTGCAGTGCGTCCCAAACACAACACCAGGGTCAGATTCCTGAATCCTGTCCCTAAAAGATCTGGAGTAGGTCTGGGGATCTGCATGTTTGTAAAAATCTCCCTAATAATTCTGGCGCTCAGACAGTTCACCCTAATGAGGTCATAATCAGCAGATAACTGAAGGAAATGCTGACATATCTCGGTGTCTACTGTGATCATCCCCCCATCAGCTCTATGTTCAATTAGATTGAATACTCAATGGAACTGACTGAGAGAGGTCAGAACAGAAATAAAGAAAGCAGAGAAGGAAGTAATTTGGCTCCAGACTGCCTGGGTTCAAATCCCTGCACCTTGACTTAATAGTGTGTAAGCTGGATCAAGTTACTTTACCTCTTTGATCCTCAGTTTCTTCAGGTTTCTGTGAGGATTAAATGGGTTAATCCAGGTAAATCACCTAGAACAGTGGCAGGCACTTAGTAAATGTTATTTATTAGCTATTATTATTATTATTCTAATTTTTAAATCTAATAAAAAATAGAATATTTGACGTTTCATTTTAATGAAACACATATAATCACCAAATATATCAATTGGTGTTCTTTGTATACCAACATAAATCAGCTCTGGCTCACAAAAGCCAAAAGAGGAATTAATAGGAAGTCATGAGACAGCTCACAGAGAAAAGGAAAAGCTGAAGAATTAGATCCCTATTAGGACAGGATCAAGACAGCTATGAATATTTAGATGTCAGGAACCAGTTGACAGTCCCTTAGGGTCCTGTCCTTGGCCTAACATATGGTCTATCCTTGAGAAACATCCATGTGCTGAGGAGAAGAATGTGTATTCTGCAGCTGTTAGATGAAATGTTCTGTACATACCCATTAGATTCATTTGGTCTATAGTGCCAGTTAAGTCTGGTATTTCTCTGTTGATTTGTCTAGATGATCTCTTCAATGCCGAAAGTGGGCTGTTGAAGTCTCCAGCTATTATTGTATTGGGGTGTATCTCTCTTTAGTTCTAACAATATTTTCTTTATATATCTATACATCTGGGTGCTCCAGTGTTGAATGCATATATATTTACAATTCTTATATGCTCTTGCTGAATTGACTCCCTTATCATTATTTAATGACCTTCTTTGTCTCTTTTTGTAGATTTTGTCTTAAAATCTATTTTGTCTGATATAGGCATAGCTATTCCTGCTCTTTTTTGGTTTCCATTGTCATGGAATATCTTTTTCTATCCCTTTATTTTTCAGTCTGTGTGTGTCTTTATAGGTGAAGTGTGTTTCTTGTAGGTAACAGATTGTTGGGTCTTGTTTTTTTTAATCCATTCAGCCACTCTACGTCTTTTGATTGGAGAATTTATTTACATTCAGTGTTGTTATTGATAAGTAAGAACTTACTCCTGCCATTTTGTTATTTGTTTTCTAGTTGTTTTGTGGTCTTCTCTTCCCTTTTCCCTTCCTTTCTGTTTTCCTTTAAGTGAAGGTGATTCTCTGTGGTAGTATGTTTTAATTTCTTGCTCCTTATTTTTTGTGTATTTGTAGTATGTTTTTTGAATTGAGGTTACCACGAGGCTTACAAATAATATCTCATAACCCGTTACTTTAAACTGATGACAACTTAACCCTGATTGAGGGTCCTGTCCTTGGGATGAAAGAACCACACTCATTATTTCAGATAACATGTTACTTATTTAAGATTCAAATTCCAGATCATCTATTGACTTGGCTGAGGTCATGTGCCCACTTCTCGCCTAAGAGATGAAAGAGCATTCTAACTAAAACTCCCACTAAGACTCTAAAGGTAAGTAAGTAAAATCAGGGTACTGTTACTAGATGGAGAGATACATGCTGGGAAGGCAAAGTAAACAGATATGTACCATCTTACTAACCTCCAACCTTGAATGCTTGGAATTTGTTTACATTTTGCCACAGATGCCAAAATAGGTGTGTTAAAGTCCTTTGACTAACCCCATAAGGAAGCCAGTTTGACTTACAATATGCCAGAAACAACATTAAGGATATTTTAAAGCCCAAGACACTGAAGGATTCTTAAGCCTTTAGTTTTTTCATGGGGTATTTGGTTTTTAACTATAGGTATCAATGGCCTAGAAATGTTGCTTCACAGATTCTACAAAAAGAGTTTTTCCAATCTGCTGTATCAAAACAAAGGTTTAACTCTGTGACATGAATCCACATATCGCAAATAATTTTCACAGATAGCTTATTTCTAGTTTTTATCGCGGGATATTTGGTTTTTCACTATAGGCCTCAATGGGCTCAGAAATGTCTCTTCATAGATTCTACAAAAAGAGTGTTTCTAACCTGCTGAATCAAAATAAAGGTTTAACTCTATGAGATAAATCCACAAAAATCTGTGAGATAAATCCCTAAATCTGAGCCCTTCTCTTTAAAAACTGTGTAAGAATTTTGGAAAACAGGCTCGGGAGCATATAGACCTATAAAAATTTCTAGGAGGCTGGCTGTATAACACCATGTTGATGTAGGAAGGAAACAATACCAGAATAAAAGATGAGGGGATGGGCAGGGCCTGGATTCTGTGGCTCCACTGGAAATAGCAATGGGAAGCTTCCAAAGAAGATATAAAGTTTTCAAAAAGTTAAAATATGATTCATACAAATTAAGAATGCAAATGAATAAAGGTTTTATTGAACCTATTAACTAATATGAGAACCAGAAAAACATTATAGCTGGTGCAAAGAACATTTTGAAGAACTGAATATATATCAGCATTTTGAGGAAGAATGCTAGAATAAGATTCCTAGATTAAATAACAAACTGGTAAATATCTTTCAGGAAAATAAAACCATAATCAGCATAACATTTAAGTTCCCTTTTATACCAGACAGAAATAATTTGCATCTCTACTGGAGACAAATCTATAAACTAAAATGTAACTTCCCAAATTCTGGACCAAATAGTAAGTAGCTAGTCTCAAACACAGGTGCATGCCTCTAAGATAACTGAATAATCCTTGATGATGGGCGAGAGCTTATTGTTAAACATTGTCCTTTATGACGAGGAGAGTATGTGAAGAATTCTCTTGATTGTATTTTCAAGCTCTCCTAATGTTTCTTAAGAAAGGGATATCAGCAGAAAGCAAGAACTAAGGGAGAAAGAGCAACAGTTGCTGCCAGGGTATCACAGGTAGGAGAGGTCTCTGCCTAGTGGCAGGAGACCAGAGGGGAGGCCTTCCTGCACACAAGGTGTTCCTTTGTCAAGTGTTCTTGAGTAAGAAACCATAATTAATACTTGCAATGGTGACAAGTCACAGTGGGTGCTTCGTGACTAAAAAAGGACATCAAAAGTCTTGTGTGGGTTACATGCTAGAATAAATGGATTTATTAAAATGTCTTGGTTGGTTAAATACCCTGTGTGCCTGATGCCACAAGAATTTTATTGCATATTATTTAGGCTGCTGTTCTTTTTCTGAAGGAGAAAGCATTTTTCTTTCTCAGCTCTTTGGTTTTTGAAATTCCTAAAAATCCAATTTTCTGTCTTTTTAAGTCCTGTAATTCAAGGACAACGCAGTAGAAATCCAACAATATTATGCCATGATAACTTTATTATCCCAGAATAAAATCATTTTTAGGAAGTAATATTTCTCAAGACATTAAAATGGAATGGATTTTTACTTTCTAGAATTGTTTTATTGTATTGCTCTCTGACACAGGAAATGAGTTCAATGGCCTCTAGGATTCCTTTATTTTATTGTGGTCCAAGGATTCTATATTGATTAGATTTCCCAGATGGTCATATAACACATTTTCATGATAGATTAAAACTGTACATTGTGGCAGATTTTGCCAGTTCTTTTAAATTTCATGTCATTAACACAATTAAAATATAAAATATGTGCTGGCTCATTCCTAAGAACTTTTACAATACCATACTTGTGTTGGTCTCCAAAATTGAAAACCATTTTGTGAGAATAATGATAAAAAATGTATTTTAAAAATTATTGTTTCCCACTAGAGAATAGTTTATGTTTGAATATAAAAAAGAAAAGATGGAGAACAGAATTCCTTGCTATTAATCGCTACACCACAGGTAAACCAAAGACTCAAATATTATTGATGGGGTTAGAGGCCTATGGTATTCTTCACCAAGATGTTTCTTCAGCATCTTTTAGAGCATCTAATTTTTTTTTTTTTTTTTTTTTTTTTACTATGTGTGTATCTCAGAAGGAAACTTCTGGTCATTATTTGCAACTATCACAAAATGATGAAGCCTTTTGTTGTTTTGTTTTGTTTTCCTTGTTGCTAAAAAGTACTGAATAATTAATGTTTAACTTTTCAGGTCACATTTTTTTAAAAACACATATGCTTCTCTTTCTAAATGACCTAAGTTTTATTTTAATGTGTTTTTTAATACATGTATTTTGGAAAGAAGGGAGGGTCCCTTCAAAATTAAAAGCAGATGGTAAAGAAGTTATTTGAGACCAAACTATAAAACTGCTGGAAGTCTACTATAGTTAAATAAAATAAAATTTCATGTCAAAAGCTGGCTTCCAGGAAAATTATTTTGTTTGAAAAAAGACTCAAAATTTCTACTGAGGGCACATGCAATGTAACAGTAATCTGTCTTTTATTCTTGCTTTTGCAAACAGGCTTAGATAAGGGAACTGAAGAAAATGCACTTTGGGATCTACAGAAAACTTCCTAATCCATTTATCCAATAAATGCTATTTCCATCTTCTCAGACACTGTTCCAGATGCTGGTGATAATTAGTGAACTAAGTACCCAAGTTCTCAGTCCTGAGGACCTTACAGCCTCGTAACTGAGACAGACAATAAACAAGTAAGCAAAGAAATTAAAGAGATAATTACAAACCGTGGTAAGTGCTATGAAGGAAATAAACAGGGTTCATGATAAGGGGTAGTGGGGACAGGGAAACACTTTTTATTTATTTCTTCCTTAATTTCTTCAGTGACTCAATGGTCATTCAGGAGCATGTTATTTAATATTTATGTATTTGTACAACTTCCAAAGTTCCTCTTGTTATTAATATATTCAAAGTGTGATTATCTACTCACTATTGTGGTTCTGCAAACTCTCTTTTCTTACCACAAAAGGTAACTGAGTGGAAACATGTCAGTTCCGGGTAACCTATCTACCTTGGGTTGGCTGTCCCATATTCAGATATTTTCCTTGGCATAATAAATAACTTCATATGAGCCAGATTAAATAATATAAGACCATAACAAATAAATATAAGCTAGATTAAAAAATATAAGACCATTATAAATAATATAATACCGTTCTGGCATAAAATGTCATATATGTTAAAATTTTTCTACATAAATCCCATACTTGATAGTTATTCAGGCAAAATTAGGGAGCATCTGAGTGAAAATAAATTTTCTTGAATTAGTTGGTAACAATTTGCTTGAATTACGGAGTTAATAGTAGCAAAAACAATTGATTTTCTAAAATATGTAGTAAACTGAGCATTAAATGAACAGTATCATGGGCCTCACCTTAAATGCTAGATCATGAGTTAAACTGAAACTGAGTATTTTAGATTATTATTTAGTTGACTTCTGAAATTGCATAGCTCAATGGAAAGAGTTGTACTAATTTTGAGGTCAGATAGGGCCTCAATTTCAGCTCAGTCACTTAGCAGCTGAGTTTGAGCAAGTTAGTTAAGCCGTCAGAGCCTCAGTTTGATCATCTGTAAAATGGTGCACCACTATGCACTCCTCAGAAGTGTTTTGAAGATTAAATGCCTGCATGCACATAACAGCATCCAACACATAAGACATGCTCAATAAATGTGGTAGTTTCTTCTTCTTCTTTTCTTTGACAATCTTAAGCTGAAATAATGACCATTAAGTGAAAGAAAACTAAATTAAGTAAAATGTGTTTCTTCTGGCAAGAAGATCAGTTTAAGAATATTGATTTAAGAAGAACATAGCTCTCAGGGCACATACTGCTGAATTCTCTAAGAAACAATATACAAGTATTTGACTTTAGCAATCTTTAAAATTTAGTTGCACTAATGTAGCTGGTGCTGAGATTTAAGTCTTCAACAACCCATACCTTAAAATAGCTTTTAAATTCCTACATTTGAATTATTTTCCACAATGATAACAACCAAAAACCCACAGGTAAATGACAGAACAGTAGATAAGAAGGAAAAATTTATTAACTTTTGTACTTTCAGGAAAAAAATCTGAGGGATTCTTAGAAATATGTTTGAATTTGGGAATATCAAACCTTTAAAAAAGTTACATAAATATATACCCATTACACAGATTTACCCTCTTAACCATTTGCCCCTTGGACTCTCTTGCTCACTCACATTCTCATTTTCTCTCTATCCAGATGGATAGAGAAATAAATTTTTTTCAAACATTTAATGGTAGGTTGCATATAGCCCTTTACCCCTAACTCCTAAATACTACAGTTTTTTGTATTATAAAAAAGATATTCCCTTAGGTACACACAAAAAATACAATAAATTTAACATTGATACAAACTCTATCTATTGTCTTTATTAAAATCTTGGCAATTTACACAATAAAGTCCCCATGAATGTAAGCTTTTCCTTTTTTTTTGTTTTTGTGTTTTGCTTTGGGTTTTGGTTTTTAGTTCCTGAGTTTTTCCCATCTAGAACATGATCCAGTAGGATAATTATATTCGGTTTTCATGTCTCTGGACATCCACCACAAAATTGTCAGATTCAAGGGTCAGGCAGTATGTCCAGATCATCCCCATTCCAGGAGCCCCAGGGAGCCCATTTCCCCAGTCAGGCCCTGCCAGCATGGGCGAAAGAGGAGAAGTTCCTCAGGCTGCCCTCTTCACTGTCCCTGGCTTTGTCTTTAGGGATAGTCAACAAGAAAGTCTTCCATCTCCTCTGAGGAGGGAAATTTCCATCAACAAAATGTTTCTGTACAATTAGGCAAGAATAGCCACATGCTACCACATCCTCTGAAAAACCTGGTCTCTGTTATGTTTCTCATAACCAAGGATATTTATTCTTTCCAAATATATTTGTTCTTCTAGTAACTGAGTGCTATCTTCTGTCTCTACTGTGTTTGGAGTATTGTTTTGGGAATCGCAGAAGTTTGAGCTCAGGGGAAGGAAGGAGTCCTCCTCAGCTCTTCCTGAGTGCCTGCTTTGGCTTCTCAGAGGTGACCACAGGTTGGGAGGGAGGTTGACAGTAGGTTTGCACATCCTCCCTGCTCAGTGGTAGGCAGCCAAGGGAGTAGGCAGCATGGGGCTGCTGGGTCTTTTCACCCACCTGGGTCAAGTGAACAGTGACTCATTCTCAATAGTCATGTTCTCAGGTTACAGACCTTCCCTTCTTCACTCACCTCAGAGAAGGTAAAAAGAGCTCAGTGTGCAAGGCACTGATATGTATGTGCATAGTAACCTGATTATGAGATTCTGTGTACTCACGGTGGAATAAGAGTGGTAAAGCAGTATCTATAGTTTCCTTTTCCTCTTTATGTCAGAAGGAGGACAGAGAAAGGGGAGAAAAAGACCAGGAGTCAAAAGAAGACAAGGACATGCAATCTCTATGTATTTTCATGTAGTGCTGGGTCACTTTCCACCACTAGAGTGTGACCTGGATTCTAAGCTTGATACACAAAATTGACTCTTGACCTGGGCAGGCTCTCCCCACCTCTTCTCCATGCTGCCACCTCCACTCCAAGAAAGCCTAGCTCCATAGTGCGTCAGGAACATAAAAATTTCTTCTGAATACTGTGGTTTTTCTGCATTTTAAAGAAGGTTTCCAATACCTTTGAACCCAGAGCTGCATACACATTTGGTGGGAGTTTGGGTGGTGGACAATATTGCTGTGTTAGATTGTGGGCTGGCCCAGGGTACAGTGTATGATCAGGGTATGTTTGCTTAAGGGTCTGTTGTATCTGTGGTGTTAATCTGTCTGGGAAGCAAACTCTAAATACATCAGAGCAATATCCCTCTGAAGTAGGCACCGTTAGAGAATGAAGCCTCTCCCCAAGGAGTCTACTCAAGGTGCCTGAATTGACATCATTGCTGAATGAAGGTATCACCCAGGTATCAATAGTGGAAACATTCATAGTGCTGCCTCTTTGTGCTTAGTGGAAAATGAGGCAGAAAGTGAGAAATTGGTTTGGGTTTTACTAAATAAAGAGGAAGAAAGAAGAACAAAAGGGGTCAAAAGAATGAACCAGCTGGTTGGAAGGAAAGGTAATGTTCCTATTATCCCCAATCCTGTCTGCTCCACCCACATACAACCTGATCTGGACGCCACCTCCTGGAGCCTCATCAGGCACTGTGAGCATATTGGCACCATCCTGGTGGAAACGTGTAATGGCCTAGTATTTCAGCCCAAAAATAATGTTTATAGAAATATTGTCAGATATGGTATGCCCCTCTCTCCTCTCTGGGGATGATGGCCTTGGTATGTTCCTTCTGGCCATGATTGATGACAAGATGCAGGAATTATCCTCTGTACACAGCTCAACCATCAAGGTTGAGGCACCACCACGTGATTTTCATGCTCTGGCTGGAGCACTGACAGACCTCCTCCAGAGACAACAACAGTTCATGTACCACAGGTGAGTCCTACACCTTGCTCCCTGGAGCAATGTTTCCACAGGTTGGCTTGGGCCCCAGTTCAACACTTTGAAGCCAAAGCAGTCAGAGATACCAAGTGGGTTCTCAACCTTGCCTACTTTTAATCATTTTTCTGTCCATTGGACTCTCTTACTTCATGTCATCTGGATTAAAGCCACAGACTTCAAGGGATGTCAAAGAAGGCAAAGAAGCTATCGAGAGAATGGAGCTACTAGTTCTTTATTTCTTTTTAAGTTCTTTTTTTTAAAGTTCTTTTTAAAGTTTTTTTTTTTAAGTTCTTTTTTTAAGTTTTTTTTTTAAGTTCTTTTGATGATGAACTTAAAGGAAACTTTTTAAGTTCAGAAAGGCTGAGTTACCCAATAAGTGAAAAATCTGGTACTGGGGAACTCAGGGGATGTGACTGCTTGTCTGGTGATGTTTGGCATGAACAGAACAAAGACACCTAATCAAGGGCTGAATGATTCCTCCAGGAATATAATCAAAGTCATCCGTGACCTCCAGGTTTTTGCTTATCTCTAGAGACATAAAGAAGATGAAGCAATCAGGCAGAGTTTTAAGACAAAGGAGTAAAGAAAGGATTTCCCCAATCTTACTCTGCTTCCTGCACTGTGTTTCTCCTTCCCAGGATCCATCCCATATGAAAAAGCAGGAGGACAGGCTGGGCGCGGTGGCTCATGCCTGTAATCCCAGCACTTTGGGAGGCAAAGGCGGGCGGATCACGAGGTCGGAAGATCAAGACCAGCCTGGCCAACATGGTGAAACCCTGTCTCTACTAAAAATACGAGAATTAGCTGGGTGTGGTGGCACACGCTTGTAATCCCAGCTACTCGGGAGGCTGAGCTGAGTCGGGAGAATCGCTTGAACCCGGGAGGCGGAGATTGCAGTGAGCCAACATCCAGCCTCTTCACTGCAGCCTGGCCACACAGAGCGAGATGCCATCTTAAAAAAAAAAAAAAAAAAGGAGGACAAAACTCATTCACTGCATACCAGTGGGAGAGATGAGGAGCTCTTTCTCATGTAAAATAAAATGTTGAAGCAAATTTTGTGCCTAGACCTAGGGCTCACCGTGTTGCTTAATTCCACGGGTCATTTTTCACTTCATATAGATGACTCTGATATCGAATACAATGTGAATGGGCTCCCTGGAGTCATAGGATACTAAGCTCTATACCCCACACCTAATAGAGGGCTAATAAAAAATGCATGAAGGGCTAGGTGCAGTGGCTCACGCCTGTAATCCCAGCACTTTGGGAGGCCAAGGCAGGTGGATCACCTGAGGTCAGGAGTTTGAGACCAGCCTGGCCAACATGATGAAACCCTGTCTCTACTAAAAATACAAAAATTGGCTGGGTGTGGTGGCGGACACCTGTAACCCCAGCTACTTCAGAGGTTGAGGCAGGAGAATTGCTTGAACCCGGGAGGCGGAGGTTGCAGTGAGTTGAGATTGTGCCATTGTACTCCAGCCTGGGCAACAAGAGTGATCATCCATCTCAAAAATAATAATAATAAAATAAATAAAAATTTAAAAATGCACGAATGGGCTGGAGCTTGGGGATGGAGTGGCTGTGGCCTACATATTTTGGGAGGTTGGTGTTTTAATGTTATAAGAATGTTTTACATTCTTTTATTTATTATGAAAGAAAATAGAAGCATCTAGCTGAGGCTCCAAACAATCACATTTTAACATTTCATCTGCCATCATCAGAATAACCCTCTAAAGAAATTTCCTTTAAAATGTTCCTCTTCAACAAATGTCCACATAAAACTTGTACATGAGTCTTCACGGCAGCATTACTCATAATAGGCAAACAGCAGAAACAATAAAGTGTTCATCAACTTATAAATGGATATGTATACTTATAAATGGATATTTACAAGTTCATCAACTTATAAATGGGTATGTAAAGTAAGGCATACCCATACAATAGAATATTATTTGGCAATAAAAAGAAATGAGTACTGATACATGCTACAACATGGGTGAGTCTTGAAAACATTACACTAAGTGAAAAAAGTCAGTAACAAAAGCCTACATATCATGTGATTCTATTTCTATGAAATGTCGAGAATAGGCAAATCCACAGAGACATAAAATAGATTAGTGGCTGCCTTGGGAGAAAACAGGGAATGACTACTAATGCTGCTAATGGGTGTGGGGTTTTGTGTTGAGGCGATGGAAATGTTCTAGAATTATATTTGCTGATTGCTGTACAACTCTTTCAATATATTAACTTGATTAATTTATACACTTTAAAGGGTAAATTTTATGGTATGTGAATTATATTTCAACAAGGCTACTATAAAAAAGTTTCCACTTTAGATGCAAAGCTCAGAAGTACAAGTAAATAGCAATTCAACAAAGCAAAAACTAAATGAAAAAAAGAAAACACTGCCTGTACCTCAAATAAAGATGGAAAAGAAAAATATCAAAATTGGTTTTCTTTGAGTTGTGGAACTCTCATCAAATTTTTCTTTCTACTGTATTTTCCACATTTTAAAAAATAGGCATGTATGAATTTTTAATGAAAAAACAAACACCAAAACTAAAGCACATAGAAAAAAAAAAAACAAATAAGTACACCAAGAAGTTAACAGACTTTAGCTTGGGGGAGTAGGATGGTGATTGATTTTTAATTTCTTCTTTTTGTGTGTCTTTATTCTCAACTTTTAAATATATAAATAGGCATTACTCACTTAAATAAAGGGAGAAAATTCCTGGATTATGGACATGGCTGAGCTCATTTTCATGTGCTCCCAGAGGTCTGGCCAAGGTGCCATAGGCCTTCATGGAAGGGCGTGCACCATCATGCTAGGCTTGAGGATTCCTGAAAAAGCATACTGAAGCTCTGGAAGGAACCATTCATGACCAAAGGTAGAAGACGTGACTTGCCCACGTAGAAATTAGTCAGCCTTTAACATGTCCATTTCGGTACAGCAGTACTTGCTGTTCATCCAGCTTTGATGCTGAGGATAGCCGGCAGTCCAACATAAAGGTAGCTCATCAGTAAATATCTCCAAAACTCAGAAATTTCATTGAAGACTGGTTACGGCGATTATGAGTAAATACTTTTATCTTCCCTTTCTTTTATATCCACTCTTTCATCCTTTGCTTAGCTAATTTGTATCCCTTCCAGTCTCATCTTAAGTCTTCCGAAGCTTGCCCTGACCTCTCTCTGTTCACCTCACCCTTTCTCTGGTTTGAGGCTCCTCCTATGTGCTCTCACAGCAAATTGCACTTCCCATGTCACAGTATTTATTGCTTCAGAAGGTAATTTTCTGTTCAGTTCTCTGCCTAACTACATCATGCGCTACCTGAGGCAAAGACAGCTGTCTGTGTTGTTCACTATTATATTCCCAGTACCTAGTTTAAAATAAAGAAGCTAACATTTACTTGTGGGATGAATGAATAATATGTGTATGGCTCTACAGGAAGCACTGCATCAGTCTCATATCTTCATTCTACACAGGAATTGGGAAGGCACGCTGGATTAAAAGTGGTCTTCCATGCTAACGCAAGACATGCCTTCTGGATGGGTAGTGATACACAGACTGTGTCTCCAACAGAAATCTGGAGAACTACAAAAACATGTGGTCATTTGAATCTATCTCCCTGTTAGCTAGGGAGAGCTCAATTTTCATTCCAGAGAATCATCTATGTTATTCCTATTGTTTGAGTTATTTTGTTTTTGTAATTGAAACCTGAAAAGGAATCAAAACACTAACAGGAAGCATACGCTGCTAAACAACATCAAGGGCTGGGGGCAGGGAAGAACAGACGGAAGTAGAAAAGGGAGAATGAAAACAAACAGAATAAAACAGCATTCCAAAACGCACTCTTATTCTAAGACAGCAGGAAGCTATCTGACTGTGGTTCTCATGATGTAAAACATTTGACAAGTTGGCTCATCTTCAAGAGAAAAAAAATAATACAAACAACTTCTTGATTTCAATCTAGACTTTTTCTTGGACATCAAGCCGAAATATATATATATATATAATCTTTCTTTTTCCAAGCTGGGATCTTAGCCAAAAAAAGAAAACAGAAAATTCTGAAATTCAGTTTTCATTAATAGGATTACGTCATATAGGTCGGGCATGGTAGGTTCCACCTGCAATTCCTTGGGAGGCCGAGGTGGGTGGATTGCCTGAGGTCAGGAGTTCTAGACCAGACTGGGCAACATGGAGAAACCCCATCTCTACTAAAATACAAAAAATTAGCTGGGCATGGTGGTACACGCTTGTAGTCCTGGCTACTCAGGAGGCTGAGGCCCAAGAATTGATCCAACCTAGGAGGCAGAGGTTGCAGTGACCCAAGATCACACCACTGCCCTTGAGCATGGATGGCAGAGTGAGACTCTGTCTCCCAAAAAAAAAAAAAAAAAAAAAAAGGATTATGTTACATAGGCTAAACATAAACACTGAGAAACAGTGAAAAGACTGGATGAACAGAATATCACCTTCAGAATGAACAGAAAAAGGTTGGCTGTTTATCCTGATGATTTTTAAAAAATGTTTTTAATGCTCTTAGAAGACAAACATGCTCCTTCACTGTTTGAGCTCAGCAGTTACTACAGTAGGCACTTCAGGAGTGTCTGTATATCTGGTGCCTTTCCATTCTCTCCCCACTCACCCTCCTATCAACACACACTTGCTAGCACCTTTTCCCTTTAGGAAAGATGAATCCCAGGAAACATGTGACGCCCCCTCCCTGACCACAGGTGACTGGATCAGCACCAACACCTTCCCTCACTATTACCAAATATATGTTCTCAATTTAAAGCAACATACAGATGGCAAAGTCAATTTGGTTTTAATTCATCCCCCTTTATATCAAGAATAAATTTATGCTGCTTTGAATCACTAATTTAAACACTATTCTATCACAATATAGTGAAAGAAGGAAAAGGGAGGGAGGAAAAACAAAAGGAAGGAGGGAGAAAGAAAAGAAGGAAGGGAGGAAAGGTGGAAAGAAGGAAGAACGGAAGGAGGGAAAAAGGAACAGAAACATATTAAGCATTTCCACAGAGGTAAAATAAATACACATTAACCTGAGTTATGTTCTCAAAGTGATTCAATACATTTTGACCTTTCAAAAGTAAAATCTTGTTATTGGGATTGAGAATTTATAGATACTGAACGTATCTATAAATTCTGCTTCAATCTAAACAATTGTACTACATTAGTCAGGCAGTCATAAAATTACCCATGAACTTTGAATTTAAGTATGAATCCAGGCAGCAAAAAAAAAAAAAATGAAATAACTCTCCTCTTTTGAGAAATATGGAATAAAACTGAATAAGATGAAGCCATTTTCGAGAGTATTTACCTACCTGGTAAAAACAAAAAAGAATTCTTTAACATGTAATGCTATGGTGAATTTAGCTGAATTCTAGTTAAATCCAACATAACTAGTAATAAAATTATATTCATTTATTTAACAATCATTTACTGAAATCTACCACACCAGGCCCTGTAGCAGGCACTAAGGATATAACAATAGACAAAATAGACATAAATTCCTGACACATGCAGCTTACATTTGAGAGGGGGAAGATAAAATAATAAAATATACAGCATAGTCTGTTATATGTGGTGATAAAAGTAAAATAGAGAAAATGAAACAAGGGATGGTCAGGAAATTCCTCAATTAAAAACTTACATTTGATAAAGATCTGAATGGACCTTTAAGTGTATCCACATAGTCTAAATGTTTAGATTGAAGTGATACTTTCTGAAAACAAAACATGAAGGGCAACTCTTCCTAGGTAAGAGTAGACTTTCTGTTCCTAGAACAAGGATACCATCAAGGTGGCATCATCCAGCCTTTGTCCAGCTGGCAAACACCATCAAAGTTTCGTGGAGCCTTCCCAGACTCCCTTACTCTCAGACAGGATTAATCATCCTCTCCTCTGTCTGATGCCTCCTCACTACGTACAGACTTTTATGACATACCAGGCGTTCTTCCCTAGTAAATTATAGGCGCCTTAAGATTTTTTTTATGGCTCTGTTTGCCCCTAACATGTAGCACAAGGACTTATTCATTATAGGATTTATTATATAACTCTTTTTTTTTTTTTGATACTGGGTCTTGTTCTGTCGCCAGGCTGTAGTGCAATGGCACAATCTTGGCTCACTGCAACCTCCACCCTCCACCTCCTAGGCCCAAGTGATGCAAGGGCCTCAGCCTCCCAAGTAGCTGAGACTAAAGGCATACGCCACCACACCCGGCTAATTTTTGTATTTTTAATAGAGACAAGGGTTTCACCATGTTGGCCAGTATGGGCTTAAACTCCTGACCTCAAGCGATCTACCTGCCTTAGCCTCCCAAATTTCTGGGATTACAGGCATCAGCCACTGCGCCTGGCCCTCATTTTTTTAAATTTACTGTAACTGTAATTAGTTACAGTAAACACAATTATAAAACAAACATCTCAATATCCAAATTAGTAACCACTAAATAAAACAGCAGTTGGCTAGATTATCCTTGTAGGGTACTCCCACCTATAAATTCTTCAAGTGTTTCTCACGGCTTATAGGAGAGACCATTAAGAGAACTTAGCCTGGCATTCAAGGCCTGCAGCAGCTGGATCCTGCCCGCCTTCCCAGCCTCCTCTCCAGCCATCACCCCACACCTCTCCGATTCCAGTCATACCACCATGTTTATCGTCCCCTAAAGCCATGGCTCTGAGTCTCTGCAGAGGCTGTTTCCTTTGCCTGGAGTCCTTGTTCTCCCTCTGTGCCTGGTAAACTCCTGCTCATCTTAAGCATCTGTTCCAGCTTGGTTTCCTTTTAAAAGTCTTCCATGATTTCCTCAGGTAGAGTTACTCTTTCCTCTGAGCTCCCAAATTTCCATTCCTCAGCTACAATATTTATTACATTGTGGTGTAGCTGTTTCCTTGCCCAGCTTCTCCACTTGGCTGAGACTTCTTTGAGGATAGAGACCATTTTACTCATCTTTGTACCTTCAGTAGGTAGCAACAGTGCCAATCACATAGTAGTAACTTAATAAGTCTAGGTTGACTGAATGTTGAATATGTTTTAAATGCTTGATTGAGAACATTCAGTGACATTGTCAGAGAG
The DNA here is from genome assembly GCF_000001405.40 of Homo sapiens. Classification (NCBI taxonomy): domain Eukaryota; kingdom Metazoa; phylum Chordata; class Mammalia; order Primates; family Hominidae; genus Homo; species Homo sapiens. Next base: position 189,633,245 of record NC_000002.12, read on the forward strand.
AAGAAAAACAAGTTTCTAGTGTACTTTTTTCTATATACCATTCTGCACTTTGTGTAAGGTGGCTCACATTGTAAAAGCATACAGACCTAAACCAATAACATCATTTACCTAAAAAGCAAGAATCCCTTACATCCTTGGTGATAGAACATGTATGTAGTATGCTGTATTTCATATGACATTAAAGATTTAAAATACAGTTGAAATTAGAAATGTAAATAAGTGGAAGAACTAAATAAGCAAGTGGTTTTAATTGGGGATGAGTTTGCCCCCTAGGGGACATTTGGCAAAGTCTGGGACCATTTTTGGTTGTTACAACTTGGAGGATGGGGCTGCTGCTACCATGTAGTGGGTAGAGGCCAGGGATGCTGCTAGACATCCTATAAAGTAGGGGTCCCCAACTCCCAGGCCACGGACCAGCCTGTTAGCAACCTGGTCATGCAGCCGGAGGTGAACAGCGGGAGAATAAGCAAAGCTTCATCTGTATTTACAGCCACTCCCCAATGCTCAAGTTACCACCTGAGCTCCACCTCCTGTCGGATGAGCGGTGGCATTAGATTCTCATAGAAGTGCAAATTCTATTGTGAACTGCACATGCAAGGGACCTAGGTTGCATGCTCCTTCTGAGAATCTTATGCCTGATGATTTGTCACTGTCTCCCATCACCCCCAGATGGGACCATCTAGTTGCAGGAAAATTAGCTAAGGGTTCCCACTGATTCTACATTATGGTAATTTATATAATTATTTCATTATATATTACAAGGCAATAATAGAAATAAAGTGCATGATAAATGTAGTGCACTTGAATCATACCAAAACTACTCCCCCCGGCCCCTGGTCTGTGGAAAAATTGTCTTACACAAAACTGTTCCCTGGTCCCAAGAAGACTGGGGGCAGCTGCCATAAATCATAGGACAAACCCCGCAGCAAAGAATTATCTGGCCTTAAATGTCAATGGTACCAAGGTTGAAAAACTCTGACCTAACCCTTTTACCTCAAGAAACTATAATTTTTTTTTTTGCAAATTACTATAATGACATTGAAGTTATGATGGGTTCTTAGGGGAATGTAATTGGTTCACTAGTCAACTGCTAGGAATGTACAACTTCTAAAAATAATTGTAAAATGTTGTACTCTGAACTCAGGGAAATATCAATCTTGAGAAAAGTGAAGGGCTGGGTATCATGTTCAACATTTGATCAGTAGTAATTTGAACTCTGCTAAAACAATTAGATGATAATAAACATCATATTCAATCTCAAAACATTTGGGTAATTATTAATAAGCATTAAAGAAAGCATTATTGCTGATAAAATGGATGATGACTTTGGAAAGAATCACTTGGCTACTTAGCAATAAGCTTACCAACCTTTGTAACATTTCAGCAATGCATACAAGATTAGGGTAGTTTAAAAATCAGAAAATACATCAAAGCAGAATCAGAAAATGTGAAAGTACTCTAAATAATGAAAACTAAGCTTAACTTGTCACCCAGATTCCAGAATATATGTTAAGAATATGGTGAGAATAGCAACACTTCAAACTTACTTACCTTATTCCAGTGACAATATAGGAATGTGATGCAAAACAAAATCTCTACCTCTGTCTCTAACTTGTTACTGACCATATTTTGACAACCTACAGGTGGGCTTCACTTAGATTTACCTTTGACATACAAATACAGATTGAGCATCCCTAATCTGAAAATCTGAAATCTGAAATGCTCCAAAATCCAAAACATTTTGAGTGCTGATATCACCCTACAAATGGAAAATTCCACACTCGGTACCTTTGCTTTCTGATGGTTGAATGTACACAAACTTTGTTTCATGCACAAATTTATTGAAAATATTGTATGAAATTACTTTCAGGCTATGTGTATAAGGTATATACGAAACATAAATGAATTTTGTGTTTAGACTTTAATCTCATCCCCAAGATCTCATTATGTATATGCAAATAGTCTAAAATCCAAAAAACTCTGAAATACGTAACACCTGCGGTCTCAAGCATTTCAAATTATACTTAACCTGTGTAACACTTCAAAAAATGAACTTATCATTTTTCCATAATGAAATGGAAGCTCTTAAATTATTTTCAATGGCATCACCCAATTTCTGAGTACCTAGGCTCATAATTCTATTATCTTTCATTTCACTCTCTACACTTCAGCCTCAATATCCAACTACCCTCTGGATTTGTATCCTACAGTATCTTTTCGATTTGATCCTTTGCCCAGTTTATTCCCTTTTATCCCTGCTCTTAAAGCCACCGCTTTAATGAGGTCCTTATCATTTGTTTCTAGATTTCTGTAACAACCTCAAAGGTCTCTTATCTTTCTTTAGTCTCTCCCTGCTCCACTCAGGTTATTACTTGACAATGAAATAATAACAACCACAACTATAATACTGACAATTCTAGGCTACTGCAGCTTGGGGGTTTATAGTCCAAGTTTTGGAGTCAGACTGCCTGGATTTCAAGTACTTAATAACAATCCTATGAAGTAGCCACTATGATTATCCCCATTTCACAAATAAGAAAGTGTAAGTGTAGAGGATGGAAGTCACTTACCTTAGGTCACCTATCTAGTAAACAGGTAGCCAGGACTTGGTCTAGTCAGTTTGGCCCATCCTCCAGCCTATTTTCACTCCGGACTTGGTGGGTCCTATATCCATACCATGGAGCTACTCTCCATATATCTTGACCCTATGTGCCTAACTTATTTTCTCTTTCAGTATCGCTTTTGCATGTAATAGGCTAGTAACATTTATTTCACTTTTTATGATAGTGAATCATTTTGAAATTGTTCTCAAGTAGCTCCATTTTTTTATTTTTTGTCGCTTCATCTAGGCTTAAGTTTTTTAAGGGTTTTTTTCTCTCAAATTACCTAGTATAACACCAATTAATACATATTATATATATTATATATTATTTATATAACATATATAATATATATTATTTATATAACATATATTATATATATTATTTATATAACATATATTATATATAGCATTTATATAACATATATTACATATAGCATTTATATAATATATTATATATAGTATTTATATAATTATATAAAATTATATGTTATTATATATATTTATTATATATATAATTATATATGTTATTATATATATAATTATATATAAGTAATTATATATAATATACTATGTATATATATTTTTTGAGATGGAGTCTCACTTTTGTTGCCCAGGCTGGAGTGCAGTGGCATGATCTTGGCTCACCACAACCTCCACCTCCCGGTTTCAAGTGATTCTCCTGCCTCAGCCTCCTGAGTAGCTGGGACTACAGGCATGCGCCACCGTGCCCAGCTAATTTTTGTATTTTTAGTAGAGACAGGGTTTCACTATGTTGGCCAGGCTGGTTTCGAACTCCTGACCTCAGGTGATCCACCCGCCTCCGCCTCCCAAAGTGCTGGGATTACAGGCGTGAGCCACCAGGTCTGGCCAACACTGATTAGTATTAAGTACTTTCAGACTATCTTTAATTAAGTAGGTGAAAACCCTTTACAAATAAAAAATGCAAGAAACTGAGGTGAATATCTAATAAGAGGCATTATTATAAGTATAAAAGTCAAGTTGGAGATTCCCAACATTTCCTAACAAATAATCACAGCAAGCTAAATTTGGGGATCCTGAAAAATAGTAAAAATTTTTAGGCTTCATTTGCTAATGCCAAATACAAGGGTTGAAAAATCAAAAACTTTATTTTTCTAATTAGTATAATTGGTCCAGTTGTTCGAGAATAACACCCAGCTTGAGGGCATAAAAGCTTCTGACACTTTCAACTGAAATCACAACCTAGATTGGAAGTCAGCAGTGACAGTTTTTACAATTTTTACAATAACAGCATTTGAGCAAGAATCTCAGGAAGGATAGAGAAAAACATTTTTCTCCATTCAGTACCACTGTTACCACTATGGTCACCATTCAGAAACCTTTCATTGGAATGATAGCCACAAGTCTTCAATTTGGCTTATCCATATTCAGAAAAGAGGAAGACATAAGAAGCTTATATTTCTATTGTTTTTGAGTGCCTAGTCTGTGTCAGGCACTGGAACAGGGTTTCTCAACCTTACCACGACTGATATTTTGGGCCAGATAATTCTTTCTTGTTGGGGGCTGCACAGTGCCTTGTGAGATGTTTAGCACATCCCCAACCTCTCTACCCACCAGATGCCAGCAGCGTATCCTCAGTCATGACAATCATGACTGGGGAGCAAAACCATCCCTGGTTAAGAGCCACTGCACCAAACTGAGGTCTTTCTTTACAAATGTCTTATTGATTCCTCAAAACAATTTGACAAACATGCCAATAGTATTGTCTCTATTTTACAGATAAGAAAATGGCAACTCAGGGATGCTACCAACTTGGCCCAGGGGACCCAACCTGCCCAGGGTCAGCTGACCCCATGTTTTTTGTTTTTGTTTTGTTTTGAGATGGAGTTTCACTTTTGTTGCCCAGGCTGGAGTGCAATGGCACGATCTTGGCTCACTGCAACCTCTGCCTCCCAGGTTCGAGTGATTCTCCTTCCTCAGCCTCCCAAGTAGCTGGGATTACAGGTCCTGCCACCATGCCCAGCTAATTTTGTATTTTTTTTAGTAGAGACGGGGTTTCACCATGTTGGTCAGGCTGGTCTCGAGCTCCTGACCTCAGGTAATCCACCCAGCTTGGCCTCCCAAAGTGCTGGGATTACAGGCGTGAGCCACCGTGCCTGGCCTGACCCCATGGTCTTGACTGTGCATTGCCACTTCTTTAATGTAGGTGATGTTTGGTTTTGTGTCTCTCTCTCTTGGTTTCTCACCCACAAAGGTACTACCTGTAGGCAGAGGTTCAGAAGAACCTTCAGAAGATAACAATGAAGACAAATCTCATCTCTACAGGGTTGTGAGATGATCTCAGGAATCCTCATATTATGCCCCAAAACCTTCAGCCACAGTATTTCTATGCAGAGCAACAGAATTTTGGTAAATCTTACCCGGAGTGGGTAAATAAGGAAAAATGGCATTATTCCAAAAATATGTTTCAGGAATATGAACTTTAAATGTATAAGGTTCCACCTTTAATTCCTCCCTCTTCCTCAGTTTCCCTGCCAAGTCCCTCATCAAGTAACATGGATGGCTCTTCCACTCAGCTTCTCTTTTCTGTTCCTACAAACTTCACTGTATCCCTGACCCTCACGAGGCTGTATGGCACTCCAGTTTATTCAGCATCCTGCTGCCAGACCAATCTTTCACAATAATTAAATTCACCAGGCTACTGCCCTTTCAGAAAACCACTAATAAATCCTCATTTTTCTGAAGCATCATGTTTAAATTTCACTAAATTGACATTCCAGGCCCTTCAAATGCTGTTTGTGTCTATCCCTTAGTCATGTTGTCTCTCCTCCTTGCACCAAATTCCTCACTATCCTACACATTTGCTGAGGAGAATACTGCCTTTTTAAGCCCCTCATCCTATGGCTTCCTTGCTTGTCAATGCCATCCCTTTTCTGCATCTCTGTGTCAAAATCCTGGCCACTCTTGTAGGCCCAGCTCAGTTGAAGGCCCTCCAGAGAGCATTTTGACTATTGCAGCCTCATCAAGGCCTTTAAAGATATTCACAGCCCTGACTGTCTAACCCATACCACCTAGAATCTCAATTTTAACTCTCCGGTATCTGCTGGAGTTTCACGTTTGCCCAGATGGATTATAATTCTGTTGCATGTTGGTACTGTATCTCAGACTTACGGACTATGCTCAGAGAAGGTCCCCAGTGAGCCCTCACAAATGGAATCCATAAAATTCTCCTGCTGCTGTAGGAATAAAGGGAATACTTCAGAGAAATCTAAACCCCTAATCTTATCTTTATGTCTGGGGCTCCACCCAATATGAGGTCACCTTATGTTCACTGCTACTTGGAAACACTACTACCAGCACACCTGCCAACTCATTTCCAGCTTTGGCCCTTCGTCAGCCCTGAGCTTTCGAGACTCCTGGTCTCCTTTTCTTATCAGCACACCTTGACTTACTTCTGTATCATGGTCTTTGACACTGACCTTCTTCCTGGGGAGTAAACCTAAATCATCACTCTGAGATTGTGCTTTATGGCCTCTTTACTGGTGTCTCCAGGAATGGAAATTACGACATCATCTGAGCCTATGATTCCCAAAAACAACTGAGGATAAGATCACTTGTGTGTGCTTATTAAACATCCAATTCCCAGGCCCTGCTCCAGACCTGCTGCATCAGAATATCCAGGATAAAGGCCTAGGAACTGGAGAGATTAACAAGCATCCCAGGTGGTTCTTATGCTCAGATGAGTTAAGGAAGCACTGATCTCAGCTACTGGGTAATATTTTACCAACTCAGCTGATGAGATATTCGGTTTCAATTGACAATCAGAAAATAGGCATCCTGGAGAAGGAAATTATTGATATCAGGAGCCTGGCAGCATTCCTCCTCATCAACTTCCATTCTTCTAGCTATTAATATAAGGAAGTGTATTAGTCCATTTTTACACTGCTGATAAAGACATACCTGAGACTGGGTAATTTGTAAGGAAAAAGAGGTTTAATGGACTCACAGTTCCACGTGGCTGGGGAGGCCTCACAATCACAGTGGAAGGTGAGGGAAGAACAAAGGCATGTCTTACATGGCAACAGGCAAAAAGAGAATGAGAATCAAGCAACAGGGGAAACCCCTTATAAAACCTTAAGATCTCACGAGACTTATTCACTACCATGAGAACAGTATGGGGAAAATCATGATTCAATTATCTCCCACTGGGTTCCTCACACAATACGTGGGAATTATGAGACCTACAATTCAACATGAGATTTGGGAGAGGACACAACCAAACCATATCAGGAAGTATGCTCTATTAATGAACCACTAATATAAAAACTAGCTGTGGCTCCTTAAACAAGTCATCTAGGAATTCTGAACTTCAATTTCCTAACTTATACAAAAAGGGAGGGTTGGACAATATCAGTAGTTTTCTTTTATGGATACTCACTGCATTTGCCCTTAGACTCACCCCTGGGAATTCTAATTTTATTGATACAATTCTGTTGTAAAATTGAGGTTAAAATAAAGTGAACTGGTGATTTTTAAGATGACTCACGGCTCTGAAATAATCCTTTGATTTAATAACTCTATTATTTGTAAATACTTGTATCAATTCTAGACATTTATTTCACACCATATGTAAATATATATATACTTTTTATTCCATTTTTTCAATATCATCTTTGTTAAGTGTTTGACATTTATGTAGAAGAGAGGCTGAATAATTCTCTCTGTGTGTTTTTTTGAGATAAGGTCTTGCTCTGTTGCCCAGGCTGGAGTACAATGGCTTGATCACAGCTCACTGCAGCCTCAACCTCCTAAACTCAAGTGATCCCCCCACCTCGGACTCCCAAGAAGCTGAGACCACAGGTGTGCACCACCATGCCCAGCTATTTTTAATTTTTAAATTTTTTTTAAGAGATGGGATCTCCCTATGTTGCCCAGGCTGGTTTAGAACTCCTGGGCTCAAGCGATCCTCCTGCCTCTGCCTCCCAAAGTGCTGGGATTATAGGCATGAACCCCAGCACCCAGCCTGAGGCTGAATAATTCTAAACAATTTGTATGAGTTATTATTACTATACAAAAATATTCAGGAGTATAATGAAATCTTTTAAAATATATAAGCCAAGAGACATGTGAATAGCAACAACCTAGCTGTTAATCCAATCAAAGGTAGGAGTATATTTATCCATTCCCTCAGTACTTTGACTAATATTTATTGTTGAATGCCTGCTAATTTATCAGCCCCAGTGATAGTTACTAGAGATATAACAATACATGAGAAACAGTCCAATTCCACATTGGAAAAATAAGCATACTGTCAATAAAACAAACCTGATAAGGATCACAAAGGAATCCAAGGAGCTACAAGAACACATAAAGAAAATAAAGAAAGTCTTAACCTCCTCCTGTGCTCAGGAAAGGCTTGCAGGAAGAAGTGACAAGTGACAAGTAGGGTGAAACCTGAGAAGTTAATTGGAATTAAGCGTGTATGTTAAGGCAAGGTAAACAGCATGTTGGAAGAACCTGAAGTAGAAAGAGCTTAGAGAGTACTAGGAAGAGAAATAAGATCAAAAAGGCTGGAAATAGTCAATGAAGGGGACAGTGGCACAAGCAACTACCATGTAGGCCCAGGTAAGAGAGTTTAGAATTTAAAAGCACTGGGGAGCCACTGAATACTTTAAGCAAGGGGCTGAAGTAATCTTATTTACATATTTAAAAGTCCCCAAAGTGCTTGGAAGGCAGAGATGCCTGAGTGGGTACAGGGAAAACAGGCTGTTGCAGTAGTCAGGGGAAATACGATGGACTAAAGTGATAGCAGCAGAGATGGAGTAAGGTGAATGGATTTAAGAAATCCATCTGAAGGAACTCAGAAGAGCTTAATGATTGGTGGGCTGTGAGAGGTAGAGGAATCCATGAGTCAAGGTTTCAGATTTGAGCAACTGGGTGGGTGGCCATGTCATTTGCTGAGATAAGAAACCCTGGAAGAGGAAACATAATGAGTTCAGTCTGGGACACATTGAGTGTGAAACATCTGTGAGTCAACCAGGCGCAGGTCTTGAGTAAAATGGGACTAGAACTCAAAAGAAAGACCTGAACTCAAGTTACAAATTGAGAGTTGTCAGCATATAGATAAAAATGGAAGTCATTAGAGGTGGATGAAAGCACCTACTATGGAAGGTGCTGGAGCTAAACTTGTATACCTGTAGACCTATTCACTGTCAAGTGGTTCACAGTCCAACAAGTGCAGCCACATATGAACAAGGCCAGAATTTTAGTTCAACTGCTATGAAAACTACACTGAAAAGCCCTATTATTGATCACTATAGGTATACCCCTTCTCTGTTCTACCCTCTGGAGGTATATTTCCCAATTCAACTCAAAACTAGAAATGCATCTAAAAGTAAACTAGCCACCATTTTGTTTTAATCAAGTAGGCTTCAACAGAGAGTACCTCTTGAGCCACTAAGAGCTTTCAGTGAACTCTTTTCCTTTTTATTTATTTATTTTTTTTTGAGACGGAGTCTCACTCTGTCACCCGGGCTGGAGTGCAGCGGCGCGATCTTGACTCACTGCCACCTCTGTCTCCTGGGTTCAAGCGATTCTCCTGCCTTAGCCTGCCGAGTAGCTGAGATTACAGGCACGCGCCACTAGGCCTAGCTAACTTTTGCATTTTTCGTAGAGACAGGGTCTCACCGTGTTGGCCAGGCTGATCTCAAACTCCTGGCCTCAGATGATCCGCTTGCCTCGGCCTCCCAAAGTGCTGGGATTACAGGTGTGAGCCACTGCGCCCGGCCCAGTTAACTCTTAACAATAAAATTTACAAGTTGAAATATATTTACATTGATATCATGCTTTTCTAAATCATTGAACAAGAAAATAAAGGGAGTAGATTGCAGATTTTGTGTGTGGTCACTCTCGTAGTGATGTGAACTTTACAGTTTACAAGGCTGTGATTATGAAGCCCAAGGTCTGCTAGACTTGTGCCATATGCAAGTCTGTTCACAGTCGAAGGCGGTTCTCGGGACAAAGTCTATTTTTAAAATGCATTTTGTAGCTTAAAAGAGCACTGCATGCAACAGCTAAGGTTTCTGTTTGAAAGTTCACTTGATATCATAAATAATTACCAATTAACCTAATGAAGATTGACATTTTTGAGATTTGACTCAATTATCCCTTTTCCTTCCTCCATTCCTTTCTCTTTTTCTCCCACTTCTTCCCCTAATTCTTCCCTTCCTCTCTTCATTCCTTTCATCCTCCCTCCTTCTCCTTTTTTTTCTATTTTTCTCTTTTTTCCACAGTTTCTGCTTCTAAGCTTTTTATGGAATGACACAGAGCACATATATAAAATCGACACACCTAATACAGCAATGTTAAGCAACCTCTTCTATGTAAAGCACTTTGACAGAACTACAGCATCAGTATTAAAAACTGAAGAGTCCTTGTGGATCATCTTACCCAATTCACCCATTTTACAAATCAAAAAAGGAAAACTTCTATCCCACTGTTATGCTTGAGAATCATCTTAAGGCTTATTTGGCCATCATGCTAGATTTCACATAATAATGACAGACACTCTTTTGTATTATTTTATTAAGTTAGCAGGCCTAGACCTGTACTGACCGATACAGTTAGCCACTGACACATGTGGCAACTGAACCCCTGAAATCTAGCAAATTTGAATTGAAATGTGCTGTAAGTGTAAAATACACAACAGATTTTGAAAATAGCATAAAAAAGTAAAATATCTTAATAATTTTTATATTGATTTTATGGTGAAATGGTAATGTTTTGATACATTAAGTAAAATATATTCCTGAAATTCATTTTACCTGTCTCTGTTTACCTTTTTAATATGGCTACTAGAAAATTATATATGATGTTCACATTTTGACTCATTTCTATTCTGTTCCAGAATAATAGTGCCTATCTCATACAAATTTTTGTTGGTTAGCTAACATTTCAGGCCTTTATCTTAAGTTCCTAAACTCATCCAACATTGATAAGTAAAGAAATTCATTCGCCTTACCAAAAAAAAAAAAATGGGTGGGGGAGCGGGGGGCTCACATGACCTAAAAGATATTGAGAATACATTGGTCATAGATCAATAATCCAAAGAATGTAATGTTTTGTCCAACGTCACATAGATCAGTACAGAGATGGTTCTAGGGCTCAGGACTTCTATTTTCTCACTGACCTTTTATCTCGAAGCGTTCAGTGAACAAAATTGTGGAATGGTCTTCAGTGGCTACAAAACTGATTTCAGTTGAATTAGACAAATATTGGAAAGCCTAATAGGTGCCAGGCATTTTGCTAGGCAGCAGTAATTGAAGGGCTTAAGTTTTATCACTTTAATGTGTGGGGAACTTTCCTTGAGTTCTAAATGAAAAAATAAAACTACTTTTGCCACACTTTTCTCATATTCATAATTCAATTATGACCATGTCCAGATGGGCAAATTTCTTAATTTTAAAGCTCTAAACTGAATATTTCATCAATGTAAAAAAGCTGTTAAAATTTTCATAACATGTGGCCGGGTGTGGCAGCTCATGTCTGTAATCCCAGCACTTTGGGAGGCCAAGGTGAGCGGATCACTTGAGGTCAAGCGTTCAAGACCAGCCTGGCCAACATGATGAAACCTCGTCTCTACTAAAAATACAAAAATTAGCCAGGTGTGATGGTGTGTGCCTGTAATCCTAGCTACTTGGGAGGCTGAGGCACAAGAATCACTTGAACCAAGGGGACAGAAGTTGCAGTGAGCCGAGATCATGCCAGTGCACTCCAGCCAAAAAAAAAAAAATCATAAAAATGTGATTATATGTTAATTAAAAATTAATTTTAACTTAAAAAATACATTAAAGCCATTATCAATTTTTTTTTTCCCAAAATGGTCTTATTTCTTCTGGTTATATTTTAGTTAAAGCTTAAAACTTAAGTGTACTATCTGAAATATACTATTTACTCTTTCCTTAAAAGACCAGATTTTGACATCTATTTATATCACTTCTGGTTATGAGGTTTAGAAATGTTCTGTTACCAAATAGCAAATTTTAGTTTTTAACTATAGGCAACTCTTTTAAATATTCTTGGCAAATTTAAAGGAATTAGACTTTATTCAGAGTAATTCTTCATTGCAAGAATAGTAAAGGAGTTACTTAAATTACTTGCCTTAAACCTTTGGACACTGTGGCTTAGTTCTTCTTCTATCATCATCTTGGCCTTAATCACTTATTGTTTAGATCATCAACAAGGAAATGCATCATTGCTAACTATAGAATTAATTCTACTTTGTTTTGGGTCTTCTAGTATGGTGATGGATTCAGTATATCGATATTTTAGTTAATTATTTGCATCTATACTCATGAGTTTTGGGGGCTATTTCTATCAAGTTTTGGTATGTAAACCATGCTGGCTTCAAAAATTGGAGGTTTTCCATAATTTTTCATAATTATCTATGAATTAGACCAGTTCAAATATGTGAAATTGTCAGTTCTTTGTAGGTTAGAAAAATGTCAGCAGTCGAAAAATCACTCAGGTTTACGCCTTTTAAAATAGTATTTCTCCAACAATCTTTTCAATTTCTTCTATATTCATTAGTCTTTCACTGTTTACTTCCTTTTCTTGAGTTACTTGTGTTAATTCATATTTAGCCATAAACAGTTTTATCTGGAGTTTCAAATTTATTGCCACTGAATTACAAATAATCTTCTCTTTAAAAGGTTTTCTTTTTAATTCTTCCATGCCTGTGTTTATATTCCCTTTCTCATTCCTGAATTTATATATTTTACTTTTTTTTTCCTTTTTAGTTAATCAGGCTTACTAATCTTTTCTAAGAACCTAGGCTTGGTCAGGCATGGTAGCTCATGCCTGTAATCCCAGCATTTTGGGAGGCCAAGGTAGGCAGATTGCTTGAGCCCAGGAGTTTGAGACCAGCCTAGGTAACATGGTGAAATCCCATCTCTACAAAAAATAACAAAAAATTAGCCAGGCACAGTGGCACATGCAGGTAGTCCCAGCTACTCTGGAGGCTGATGTGGGAGAATCACCTGAGCCCAGGGAGGTGGAGGCTGCAGTGAGCTGTGATGGTGTCACTGCACTCCTGGGTGACAGAGTGAGACTCTGTCTCAAAAACAAACAAACAAACAAAAAAAACTTTAAAAATCTGTTTTGCAATTTCAAAATTTATCATCATTAAATCTCTGTTCCTACTTGTTTTTGTTTTGTTGCTCTCTTTTTCAGTCTCTTCATTTGAATTTTTAAATCACATGTTTTCATATGTACCTGTTTTGAAAATAAGCAAATGTTTTAAACACTCAGGTGGGAGGGGGAAAAGAGGAAAAAAAACCATTTTTTCCTTTGTACTTTTCTTTGTCATTTGACTTCTTGCCAAAATATAATCTTATCTTGCCTCTGTAGTTTGACAGAAAAACAAAACAATCAGCATATTTTTAAATTTGTGATTTATTATCTTAGGTCCCACAGAAATTGTGGTGGGTAGGGAAGAAAAAATCTTCATCTCTCACAATCATTCAATAATCAACCCACTATAAAATTTGTCTCCACTCGAACATTTCCATCCCTTCTTGTTCCCATGAACACTGGCATCTATGCCCAATCATGGACGGTTAATTTCTGGCTAAACTGTGGGATATTGGAAACATTTAGTGTAAATAAAATGAAAATCTATTTCAAAGTGATATTACAAATCTCACAAAGCTGTGAAGTGATGTTTCAGGAATTACTGAAAAAGCCTTTGACTAAAGACAAATTCAAGAAGGCTTATATATAATACAATAGGTTCTTCAAGAGAGAATATTTTGAATACCAAAATACTTAGAGTTAACTTTGGGAAAACTGATGAAGTATGAAGTTTGCAAATATTTTTGGAAAATCAGCACTTTTTGGTCATTTCAGGCAAATCAAATGTGAAGTGAAAGATGTCAAGTCAGGCTCTCTTATGTTGTTGGGGTTTTTTCTGGTGCTTACAAAAGCCAACACAATTCATTCTTTGTTCATTCCAAAAATTATGGCATAGTTGACATATAACTCCATTTTCTTAAATATCAGATGGTATGAATTTATTTTAATAACTGTTAATATTCAAAGCTTTTTCTGTATTTATGATAAAATTTGTTTTCACTATAAATATATTCAATGTAATAAAGTGTTCTTGTACAAATTATCCCATTATTACACTTAGCAACATTCCCAGAAAGTTTAGCAACCTTCCCAGAAACCATGTGAAAACCATTTTTTCCTTCTTCTTACAATAGAATAAAATGTAAAAAGGAATGAAGAGAGAAGGCATTGAGAAATAATTTAACTGCTTCCTAGTCCCTCCCAACTAGGCCTTTCTCACATTGCTTTATTACCAGTTTTTAGTTGAGTTCTGAAGACAATGGGCAAAAAAACCTGTAATACCATATCAGGAGCATAGGTCCTGGAGCCAGCTTGCCTTCATTCATGTCCCACCTTTACTATTTACTGACTGTGTAGTGTTGGGCAAGTTAACCATTCCCTATGCATCCTTATCTATAAAATGCAGACGATATTAATTGCGCTTGCTCCTTATGACGTTATTACAAGGATTAAGTGAGTTAAAATATGTAAAGTTATTAAATCAGTGCCTGGTATGTAGTAATAAGTTTCCAATAAATTTAGCTGCTGTTTTTATTCATATATTCATGTTCAAATGCCAAGTATAAAAGCACGTACCTTCAATTGTGTAGTATCATTAATTATCTTCGGTTGCCTTTGAGTGGTTTCATTGGAACAGATAAATAAGAGTTAACTGTAATAGTTGCTCAGGAGTTTTATCATATTTTGTTTACCAAGTAGAAAAATTAACACTAAACAATATTACACTTCCAATTATTTAATTTGGTTATAACAATAGATGATAACTTGATCTTGAAAATAAAGATTATACTCTAAAAAAAGGTTATAAATAAATATTTTTCTATTCCAACAATAGCATCCCTATTATTTTTCAATCTGTTGTTTTTCTAATATAAAACAATTTAGTTTTATATTAGAAAAAATGTAATTCCAAAGAACAGTGGAAATATCTGACAAAATGATATTATCTTACTCTTTCTGTACTAAGAGAAGACAGTAAAATCTTAGTGATACACATGATCCTTTGCTATTAAGTATAAAAATACCATGTAATGGAAGGATGAGGTCAGAAAAAAAAGTATGGAAACACTGGAATTCAACTGTTTACCAGGTGTACAATAAAAATGGCAAATATGTTTGCACCTGTGTGGACAAATCTATTCCTTCTGTCTTTTTCCATCCCTTCTACTTATTGTTTTATTCAAATACATTAATTATGGCAACACCAAAGCTGTAAGTTGCTTTTAAAATCTAGGTTTTATTTTCCTAGATGTCATATTGGTATACCGAATCTATTCAACTGTACCTGAAAATGTTTTGATTGATTATTTTAAAACATACCCTAATAACTTGTTTCAGAGGCTCTAGGTTCTCTCTGGAATTTTTCTTTTTTTGAGACAGAGTCTCGCTGTGTCGCCCAGGCTGGAGTGCGGTTGCGCAATCTCGGCTCACTGCAAGCTCCACCTCCCGGGTTCACGCCATTCTCCTGCCTCAGCCTCCCAAGTAGCTGGGACTACAGGCGCCTGCCACCACACCCGGCTAATTTTTTGTATTTTTTTTTTAGTAGAGATGGGGTTTCACCGTGTTGGCCAGGATGGTCTCCATCTCCTGACCTCGTGATCCACCCGCCTCGGCCTCCCAAAGTGCTGTGATTACAGGCGTGAGCCACCATGCCTGGCTGGAATTTTTTTTCATATATGCTTTATTTCTCCCACCAACCTGTCTTTTTTCCAAATTCCCAGGGCTACGAGTATAACATTCTGACTGGTTAGAAAATAAAACTATTCACCCATACATTTGGCAAATACTTAATAGTGACCTATGTGCCAGACAAAACAGTCATAATCTCTGCCCTCATTGAGGTAAGTTAAGTAAATATAAATAAATACATAGTTACAAACTGCTACAAATGAGAAGGAACATTTTCTAATTAAATTCAGAAGGTCAGGAAAGGCCTCTCTCAATATGAGGAAGCTATTGCAATAGTTTATGCAAGAGATGGTGAATTGGCCTTGGATGGTGCCTAGGTAATGGAGAGAAGACAGCAGGTTTGGGTTTTATTTTACAAGTAAAATAATAGGACTCTGACAGTTTGAAAAAGAGGGATGAGAAAGAGGGAGGAACTAAAGATGACTCAAAGGTTATGACATGTACAACTTTTTGGATGGAGGCACCATTTACTGAACTGGGGAAAATTAAAAAAGAAGTAGATTTTCAAGGGGATTACATAGAGTTCAATTTGGGATATGTGTACTGTAAGATGTTTGTAAGGCATTTATATTGAAAGGTCAAACGAAGATTTAGATATAACAGGCCTGAATCTCAGAAGAAAGGCATGTGCAAGATCAAGTTGAGCTGCTGGGATTTAAACAGATTAAAAGCCACAGAAGTAGATGAAGTTGCCTAAGACCAGAGTGTGAGTTAAGAAGAGAGGAATGCTTACAACTAATTCTCAATTACTTTCAACATTTAGAGATTGGATAGGGATGGTCAAAAATGTCTAATTTGACTAAGAAATCAAATAAAACATGATGAATTAAGAGTTATTATTCCCATTTTCCAAAGGAGAAAACCTAGGTTTAAAGAGGTTAAGCAACTTACCCAAGTTGACACAGCAAGTAAGTCATCCAGACACTAGATGCAAACCTAGGTATGTGTGGTACCAAAACTTTATTCATTTCCTGTGCCAAATTGTCAGACATACTACTACTCTGAAATTACTGCTTTTCCATCTGCTAATTTAGGGCTATATCTAACATGTTCCTCTATCAATGTAGACATTTATCTGTTCCCTAAAATATGCTCACACTATGAGTTTAGTCACCAATAAGAATACATCAGTAGAATGCATAATTGTATGCCCTATATTTGCAAATAAAAAATAAATAATTTTTCCTGGAGAAAATAAAAGGCTTAGCCTCATACTCCCTTGCAGTGTGGAATTAAATAAGTCATTAATTTCTTTGAGCTATAGAATCCTCATCTATAAAACAAGCAAAAGAATACCCATCTCACAGGATTGCTGAAGATTAAATGGAATGACACATATTAAAATGCTTGTAAACTGAAAAGTGTTTTACAAGTAGCCATTTTTATTATTATTATTATTTTCATTTCCAGGGTCATTATATGCTGCTTCTACCAAAAACACTGAAGTTTTCTAATCCCACAATTCATCTCTCTAAAACAGCATTATAACATGATATAAATACAAAAGAGTTTACTTATAGTTAAAGAAGGTACATTAGGTTCAATATATAAAACGAAATGAGCGATCATTAAAACTAAAATAATTTCTAAATAAAATGCTTTCACCTAAACAACTTTTTAAACTTTTCTGTGACATTTCTCATTTTTTATCCCTTAAAATAAATAATTTTCACATAATTATAATAGTTTTAATCAACATTATTTTATATCTCTATACCATTCCACATGTCTAGCTATCTTATGTTTATTATAATGAATGTACAGTGTTTCACAGAAATAAAACCATAAATTGTTAATAAGTACTGACCTATAATTGAAAATTTAAAGTATTTTCAGATTTTTGCATTTAAAATTAATTCTGCTATGAACATTTCCTTGCACATAGCTTTTTGTTTCACTTTTAAATTATATTCCAAATATTGGTATGCCAGCAATGTTTAACAACTGCCATCTTTGAGGTCGAGGAGAGGAGGAACAGGAGAAGCCCCAATTTGTCCCATTTGCCAGCTTATGTAGTGTACATACTACAACTGAGAGGTGAAGCCAGCTGGACTTCCTGGGTCGAGTGGGGACTTGGAGAACTTTTCTGTATAGCTAGAGGATTGTAAAATGCACCAATCAGCACTCTGTATCTAGCTGGAGGATTGTAAATGCACCAATCAGCACTCTGTAAAAACACACCAATCAGCGCTCTGTGTCTAGCTAAAGGATTATAAACACACCAATCAGCCCTCTGTAAAATGGACCAATCAGTGTTCTGTAAAATGGACCAATCAGTGCTCTGTAAAATGGACCAATTAGCAGGACATGGGCTGGGACAAATAAGGGAATAAAAGCTGGCCACTCCAGCCAGCAGTGGCAACTGGCTTGGGTCCCCTTCCATGCTGTGGAAGCTTTGTTCTTTTGCTCTTCACAATAAATCTTGCTGTTGCTCATTCGTTGGGTCCGTGCCAACTCTAAGAGCTGTAACACTCACTGCAAAGGTCTATGGCTTCATTCTTGAAGTCAGCAAGACCAAGAACCCACCAGAAGTAACCAACTCCAGACACATAACCATAGCCAATTTCAAGCTCCAATGGGCATTCAAATACTTAAATCAAAATCAAGGCAAGAGTACCTGGAAGAAATTATGTTAAGTGAAATAAGCCAAGCATGAAAACACAAACATCTCATGATCTGACTTACACATAGAATCTAAAAAAGTCAAACTCATAGAAGCTGAGAGTAGCATGGTAGTTATCAGAGGATAAGGGACATGGGGAGGATTTGGGGAGATGTTGGTCAGAGGATACAAAATTTCAGTTAGACAGGAGAAATAAGTTCAAGAGATCTATTGCACAATATGAAACTATAGTTAATAACAATGTACTGTATACTTCATGTATGCAAAGAGAGTAGATTTTAAGTGTCCTCACCACATAAAAATAAATGTGAGATAATGGATATGTTAATCAATGTGATTTAGCCATTCCACAATATATACATATATCAAAACATCACATTGTACTCTACAAATATATACCATTCTTATTTTTCAAATAAATAAATAGAAATCAAACCAAGAGCAATATTGATCACAAAGCGAAATTTAACAAGTAGCAACAATCTTACAAGATAAATACGAGCCAAAAACTTCCCATGCCCTTTGACCCTTTAACTCTATCTATTCTATTATTATTCTAGTAAAAATGTAGCCTTAGGGTCAGCGGCAGCTGGAGCCTTCTGAAACCGGCTAATTGTTAAATTGTATATGCTGGAACCACACAAATAAGCCCACATAATAACCAGCTAACAGCACAATGACAGGATCCACACATACCAATACTCACCTTGAATGTAAGTGGGCTAAATGCCACAGTTAGAAGGCACAGAGTGGCAAGCTGGATAAAAAACCAAGACCCAATGGTATGCTATCTTCAAGAGCCCCATCTGAGATGTAATGACACTCATAGCCTCAAAATAAAGGAATGGAGGAAAATCTACCAAGCAAATGGAAAACAGAAAAAAGCAGCAGTTGCAATCCTAACTTCAGACAAGACATATTTCAAACCAACAAAGTTCAAAAAAGACAAGGAAGGGCATTACAGAATGATAAACGTTTCAATTAAACAAAAAGACCTAACTATCCTAAATATATGCACCCAACACAGGAGCACCCAGATTCATGAAGCAAGTTCTTGGAGACCTAGCAAGAGACACAGACTCCCACACAATAATAATGGGAAATTTTAACACCCTACTGACAATATTAGACAGATCATCAAGGCAGAAAATTAACAAAGATATTCAGGACTTAAACTCAGCATTGGACCAAATGGATCTAATGGACCTTTACAGAACTCTCCACCCAAAACCAACAGAATATACATTTTTCTCATCCTCACGTGGCACATACTCTAAAATTGACCACATAATTGGACAAAAAACAAATGTCATCAAATGTAAAAGAACTGAAATTATACCAAACACACTCTTAGACCATAGCACAATAAAAATAGGAGTCAAGATTATGAAAATCACTCAAAACCATGCAATTACATGGAAATTAAACAACATGCTCCTGAATGACTTTTGGGTAAATAATGAAATTAAGGCAGAAATCAAGAAGTTCTTTGGAAATGACAAGAACAAAGATACAACATACCAGATTCTCTGGGACACAGATAAGGCAATGTTAACAGGGAAATTCATAACACTAAATGCCCAAATCAAAAAGTTAGAAAGATCTCTAATAACCTAACATCACAACTGAAAGAATCAAAGCAGCAAGAACAGCTCCCTCCCCGTCCCCCTCTCCCTCTCCCCACGGTCTCCCTCTCCCTCTCCCTCTCTCTCCACAGTCTCCCTCTGATGCCCAGCGGAGGCTGGACTGTAGTGCCGCCATCTCGGCTCACTGCAACCTCCTGCCTGATTCTCCTGCTTCAACCTGCCGAGTGCCTGTGATTGCAGGCGCACGCCACCAGGCCTGACTGGTTTTGGTATTTTTTTGGTGGAGACGGGGTTTCACCCTGTTGGCCGGGCTGGTCTCCAGCTCCTAACCGCGAGTGATCTGCTAGCCTCGGCCTCCCGAGGTGCCAGGATTGCAGACGGAGTCTCACTCACTCAGAGCTCAATGTTGCCCAGGCTGGAGTGCAGTGGCGTGATCTCGCCTCGCTACAACCTCCACCTCCCAGCCGCCTGCCTTGGCCTCCCAAAGTGCCCAGACTGCAGCCTCTGCCCAGCCGCCACCCCGTCTGGGAAGCGAGGAGCGTCTCTCCTTGGCCGCCCATCGTCTGGGATGTGAGGAGCCCCTCTGCCCGGCCGCCCAGTCTGGGAAGTGAGGAGCGCCTCTTCCCAGCCGCCATCCTGTCTAGGAAGTGAGGAGCGTCTCTGCCCGGCCGCCCATCCTCTGAGATGAGAGGCCCATCGTCTGAGAGGCGCTCCCCAGCGCCTCTGCCCCGCTGCCCATCGTCTGAGATGTGGGGAGCGCCTCTGCCCCGCTGCCCCATCTGGGATGTGAGGAGCCCCTCCACCCGGCAGCTGCCCCGTCTGGGAAGAGAGGAGCATCTCCGCCAGGCAGCCGCCCCGTCCAAGAGGTGGGGGACAGCCCCCGCCCGGCCAGCCGCCCTGTCCGGGAGAGAGGTGGGGGGCAGCCCCCGCCCAGCCAGCCACCCCGTCCGGGAGGGAGGTGGGGGGCAGCCCCCGCCCGGTCAGCCGCCCCGTCCGGGAGGGAGGTGGGGGGCAGCCCCCGCCCGGCAGCCGCCCCGTCCGGGAGGTGGGGGGCGCCTCTGCCCGGCCGCCCTGTCTGGGAGGTGGGGGGGCCCCTCTGCCCGGCCGCCACCCCGTCTGGGAGGTGTACCCAGCAGCTCATTGAGAACGGGCCATGATGACGATGGCGGTTTTGTCAAGTGGAAGAGGGGGAAGTGTGGGGAAAGGAAAGAGAAATCAGATTGTTGCTGTGTCTGTGTAGAAAGAAGTAGACATGGGAGACTCCATTTTGTTCTGTACTAAGAAAAATTCTTCTGCCTTGGGATGCTGTTAATCTATGGCCTTACCCCCAACCCCTTGCTCTCTGAAACATGTGCTGTGTCCACTCAGGGCTAAATGGATTAAGGGCGGTGCAAGATGTGCTTTGTTAAACAGATGCTTGAAGGCAGCATACTCGTTAAGAGTCATCACCACCACTCCCTAATCTCAAGTACCCAGGGACACAAACACTGCGGAAGGCCGCCGGGTCCTCTGCCTAGGAAAACCAGAGACCCTTGTTCACATGATTATCTGCTGACCTTCCCTCCACTATTGTCCTATGACCCTGCCAAATCCCCCTCTCCAAGAAACACCCAAGAATGATCAATAAATACCAAAAAAAAAACAAACAAACAAACAAAAAAAACAAAACGAAGCAAGAACAAATCAACTGCAAAGCTAGCAGAAGATGAGAAATAACAAAAATCAGAGCTGAACTAAAGGAAATCAAAACATGAAAAACCACTTAAAAGATCAACAAAATCCAGGAGCTGGTTTATTGAAAAAATAATAAAATAGATAGGCCACTAGCTAGACTAATAGAGAAGAAAAAAGAGATGATCCAAATAAAACACAATTGTAAATGATGAAGGGAATGTTACCACTGACCCCACAGAAATAAAAACAACCACTTCAACATTCGGTCAAGTTGTATTTCTTTTGATGATATCATATCTTTGCAACGTTATACTTTTGGTGGTTGCTAGGATAAAGTACAAATACCTTGTGAAAATCAGTGAGGAACAGAAAATGAAAGTTATGATGTCCAATCTGATTCCAAGGTTTGAGAAGTTATATAGTGCCTAACAGGCATACATATCCCATTAGCAATCGTGTTAATTTAAGAATAAAATAAAAACATTATATTCTATTTCAATTTATGTATTTTTTTAATGGCTACTAAGTTGTTAGAACACAAATACTAAGTTGTTTAGATTTAACTACTTACTAAAATGACTTATTTGGGTTTTTTGTTTGTTTTTTGTTTTTGTTTTTGGCTTCAGAGACCATGAAAAATTATGGGGACAATAAGAATGCTGTGAACTGAAAAGTTTAGGAGTCTCTAGCTTAGGCATCAAACTCATCAAGAAGGAATAATGGGACTCTAGATGCTAAGCACCAGAAAGTACAGCCATAAAAAAGTTAAAAACAAATATTGTATTGAAAATATGAAAAGGAACTAAAGAGCAGAATTACCACATGGGACAAATAAAAATATGTAACCATGTATTTAGCACTACTTGTAACACTAAAAGAATGGAGACAACTCAAATGTCCAGAAATAGAAAGGTGTTTGAATAAACAATGATAGAATACATGATATAATACCATGCAGCTGTCAAAGGGATGAAGAATATTACTATACACTACTGTGGAATGATCTCCAGTATATAATATCTGATAAGAAAGTCAAAGTGGCAGAAAATATGTATAGTATGTCATTTGTCTAAACAAAAGGGTATTATATGAATATATATTTAAAAAGCATTTGCTTATAAGTAAAAATACAAGATAATATAAGTGATACATTGTAATTATAAATAATTATAATTAAATAAACAGTAATAAATAAATACATGGCCAGGCACAGTGGCTGACGCCTGTAATCTCAGCACTTTGGGAGGCCAAGGCAGGCAGATTACTTGAGGTCAGGAGTTCAAGACCAGCCTGGCCAGCATGGTGAAACCTCATCTCTACTAAAATACAAAAATTAGCTGGGCATGGTGGCCTGTGCCTGTAATCCCAGCTACTCAGGAGGCTGAGGCAGGAGAATCACTTAAACCCGGGAGGCAGAGGTTGCGGTGAGCAGAGATAGCGCCGCTGCACTACAGCCTGGGCAACAGAGTGAGACTCTGTCTCAAAAATAAAATAATACATTTAAAATGATTACTAGACATCAAGTTTTTACTTAAGGTATAAAAAGCCAGAAAAAAAAATCAGTCTCCCACTTTCAAAAACACACACAAAAAAATGGATGATCTGCAAAATCACAGCTTTTCTTGAACACATCAAAAAACTGAGTTTATGCCTTTGATCCCTTATCGCCAACATATGCCACCAGATGTCAAACAACTCAGAAAGAAAAATTCAGCTAAAGTTTTTAATGAATGCTAAAAGTCAGAGGTAAGCTTGTGTGAGAGTACAGAAGCCCTGGGAGCCACAGATACAAGGGGAATTCGCAACCATATTTATAAATTATATAAAATTACACATAATTTATATAAATATTATAAATTTATATAAAAATTATTATAAATTTATATAAAATTATAAATATAATTATTATATGTAATAATTATATAAAACCATATTTATATACTATATAAAATTGAAATAATTTTTTTAATGCTCATCATCACTGGTCATTAGAGAAAAGCAAATCAAAACCACAATGAGATACCATCTCATGCCAGTTAGAATGGAGAGCATTAAAAAGTCAGGAAACAACAGATGCTGAAGAGGATTTGGAGAAATAGGAATGCTTTTACACTGTTGGTGGGAGTGTAAATTAGTTCAACCATTGTGGAAGACAGTGTGGTGATTCCTCAAGGATCTAGAACTAGAAATACCATTTGACCCAGCAATCCCATTACTGGGTATATACCCAATGGATTATAAATCATTCTACTATAAAGACACATGCACATGTATGTTTATTGCAGCACTATTCACAATAGCAAAGACTTGGAACCAACCCAAATGTCCATCAATAATAGACTGGATAAAGAAAATGTGGCACATATACACCATGGAATGCTATGCAGCCACAAAAAAAGGATGAGTTCATGTCCTTTGCAGGGACATGGATGAAGCTGGAAACCATCATTCTCAGCAAACTATCACAAGATCAGAAAACCAAACACTGCATGTTCTCACTCATAAGCAGGAGTTGAACAATGAGAACACATGGACACAGGGAGGGGAACATCACACGCCAGGGCCTGTCTGAGGGTTGGCGATGGGGGAAGGATAACATTAGGATAAATACCTAATGGAGGTGATGGGTTGATGGGTGCAGCAAACCACCATGGCACATGTATACCTATGTAACAAAACTGCACGTTCTGCACATATACCCCAGAACTTAAAGTATAAAAAAAAGAAAAAAGAAAAATAATAGTTTTTATAAACCATTGAACAAAGAAAACTTTAGGCACAGATAAATTCACTGGAAAATTCTATATAATATTAATAGAAGAAATAACATTAATTCTACAAAAACTCTTCCAAAACATAGAAAGGAAGTATTAAAATAATAAATCGGAAGGCCATTACACTGAAGCAGCTCTAGAGCTGAGTGCCTACCTAAACAAACCAAAAGCTAAAAGGTTATATTCTAGGTAAACAGAACTTAGCTTAACCAATCAGAAACCAACAACTAACCTCTAACTAGGGATTTTCCAATGGAATGATCCAAATAAGGCTACTGGTCCACTTTAACCAATCAAATATTTTCTTTGCCTTGCATCCATATTTGAATCTTTGGGAAAGAGGTGGACAGTGGCACTCATATGGAATAGTTCTAGAAGAAGCCAAGATAATTTCGATTAACCTTCTTTATAGCTGTCAGACTATGTGAAGATACAACAGGCATGGGCAGCATATAAAACATCTTTCATTGGTGACATTCACAAACCACACTGACCTCTAGATTGTAAAACAGAACTACCAACAATGAAATTTTCAAATCCAACTGGCAGGAGAGCAGTGGATTGGAAAGAAGACGAATATGCTTAGATGAGGCATGTGAGGCACCTGGGCAGAAAATTTAAAGAGCACTTACTGCAGGACCTGAGAGTCAGTGCATCTTCAAATTTGCACCCTACCACACTCACCACATCCTGTTTCAGCCCTGCACAAGAGCTCCAAAGTGAAGTTGGCTGCAAGCGTCAGGGAGGCCTGATGTCCGCATTCCACAGCTTTGAAGCAAAGCTTGAGAACCAGCCTTATCTCAAGTAAAAAGGATTTACTAATCTCTAGACCAGTACTTGGAAACTCTGCCATTTCCCTTGAGAGACCAAGACCAGCCTGATGTGCTTTGTTACTAGGGCGACAAAGCATTCTCCCTGCGTTCTCCCTGCAAAGAGTTTATGGTAAGGATCCAGTAGTTCCTTTCCCAGATCCTAGAGCCTTGTGGAAAACATCAGTCCAATATCTCAGGCCCTGTCACCTTCTGGCAGAATTATTGATATAAATCACCTATTTAGACTGTGATATTACCTCTCCTTTGACTTCACCCCCTTGGTCCTACAGCCTACCTTACTTCCCCCTCTCCAACCCCCTCCCCCCACCGGCAATTACCAGCACTGTCTACTTGCTGAGATTTCCCTTTGGTCTGCTAGTCTACGCCTCTTAGAAGAGTCTGTAGTTGAGTCTGTCTCCTTTCAAATGACTTCCAGTCTGTCCTACCCATCAGAGTTAACAGAACCATCCAATCACTGTGACAACCAACAGTACCTCCAAACATTTTTTCAAGCATCAGCTAGGGAAACCCCTAGCTCTGTTGAGAATCACTGGAAGAGAAGACATAGTTTCCAGTTGTATGGTGGGCTGCAGATGGGCAGTCCTGAGCCAGTTAGGCATGACACATGGTACTAGCTAACCCCAAAGCTGACTTCAAGCAATGCAGAAGTTAGAGCAGCTGAAGGAGGAAATAGAAGCAAATAGATAAATATTTTTTAAATAAGACAAAGTGTGAAAGCACTTTTAAGACAGTTTAGCACCATACTAAAATTATTATCACCACTTTGTTTAGTACTATTTTGTTTAGTACTATGTTGTCTTGGGCAGCCCTTGTGAATAAACAAAAACATCAGAACCTGGCAGAGCCGTAAGCAACAGCCCACTTCCCAAAACGGGGTGAACAGCTGTAGACCAATCAGCGGTGTTGGGTGTTTCCGGCTACTCGATGTGGACATGATTGTGAGTCAGAACCAATTCAAACTTTAACCAGAGCTCCCACTCTGCCAGACACTATAATAGAAGGTGGGGTACAAAGAAGACCAATAGGCTAGGATGCTCAGTCTCATCAGCTTTACAGATAAGCCTCACTATTACCTCTAAACAAAGTGGAAGCCAGTCCTGGCAGCGCACACCTATAACCCCAGCATTTTGGAAGGCTGAGGCGGGCAGATAGCTGGAAGCCAGGACTTTGAGACCAGCCTGGCCAACATACTGAAACCCCATCTCTACTAAAAATACAAAAATCAGCCGGGCATGGTGGCACACACTTGTAATCCCAGGTACTTGGGAAGCTGAGGCAGGAGAATAGCTTGAATCCAGAAGGCAGAGGTTGCAGTGAGCAGAGATCGCACCACTGCACTCCAGCCAGGGCAACAGAGAAAGACTGTGTCTCAAAATAACAACAACAACAAAGTGAAGTGATACTTCACTTTGGAGCTCTCTTTTTCCTAAACTTGGATTCTTAAAATGTTTCTAAGCTAGCAGTTTTGTAAGAACTTTTTTCCTTAAAAATCTGGCACATTTAAAGTATTGGAAATTCTGGGCTTTTAAAAATATTGGGATTATACCAGTGCTTATTTTTCTCTATAAACTAGTCAGAACAGAGGCCCTTTAATTAGAGATACTATAGTGGGATTTATTAATACACTCCAGAAGTAGGGAAATATTTCATATTTACAAAGGGAGACATAAAGCCTGTTCTAAGTTACAGACACACAGACACATAAAGAGGTTATTGCTTCTGTCTTACAACTTCAATCTCAGGTCAAAAGTAAACACAAAACCACAAAAATTCACCAGTTCTTCTGCTTGAGCGGCCTTTATGTTAAAACAAACAAACAAAACCTTACTAGCCCACATCTCAAATAGCTGTCCTCCTTCCCTCTCAGTGGACACAAAAGTAATTAATTAATTTGAGCTCACAAACAATAAACAAAAAGACTTACAAACTCGCTTCTCTGTCACCTCTCTTATTTATTTATTTGAACCCCTGGCCTCAAGTAATCCTCCCACCTCAGCCCCGAGTGGTTGCGATTACAGGTTTGAGCCACTGCACCTATCTACCTCTCTACCAATGAGACTAGACGTCCATCATCCAACAGATACCACCAAATGGTTAGACCACAAAACCAAACTCCCAATCATTGCTGCTATCAATGTATCAGTAATGTATAAGTTATACCTGAATAACTTATCAGGAATGTACAAATCAGAAATGAAAACACAATCTTTAAAAATCAATTATAAAGGAAAAATATATAACCACTTGGGTTTTCTGTAAGAGCAAATAAAAAACATGCCTGGCCTTAAACAACCCATGATGTATACATTTCTTTCGCCAGATAGTTTGATTCATCACATAAATCCAGTTGGGCATCTCTGTGGAAACTTAAGATTTCCAATAATATAGTATAATTATCAAAAACCTAAAATCATGTCTCTAATGTGAACATAAAATATATACATGTCAAACTTTTATTCAACTCATTGGTTAGTGAGGGAACCGATGACTTTAAAACCAATACAGAATATTAGAGAAGCTAGGCATATGTTAATAAAGAAATGTTAGGACAGAATGCAGGGTTAGATACAAAACTGACTAATGTGTTGCAGAACAATAAATCATAACCTGTGTTGGTATCTGGTACAACAAAAAATTATTTGCATCTCTACCAAACCAAAATCTCTACCAAAGTTAACCTTTGCCCCTACAGAATTGTAAAACAGCCCAGTCAATATAATAAAGTCAAGTCCAGAGCAGCACTGAAAGAGCATCCAGTAAATAAATCTCTTTTGCCTATTTCCAAGTTTTAGTCATTTTTTCCACAGAAATGAGATATTGCAAATATTGCACGGGACATAGATGCACTAAAAAACTATTAATTCATCTGAAGTTCATACTGTATTTTATCCGGCAACCCTAACCACGAGTTAACCAAAACTTTACCAAGTCTGTACAGTTCTTTTGCCAACACGGTATCTCTTAAATCTGTTCCTTAGCTTCATCTTTCCCTAGATAATAAATATCATATTAAGCGCTGTTTCTATTGCACGACTATTCTTCATATTTACCACTGGAGGGCGCACAGAACTCGTAGTATACTAGATAAGAGGTCATGAAGAAACCACCTGAGCGTTTCTGCATCTCAACCACAAGAGGCCAGTACAGGAACCTCAGATTTTGCAACCAGACTGTTTACTCGCTCCCTAAGCAGCCATGCGCAGGCGCGAAACTCCTCCCCAGGCCAGACCCGGCCTGCGCATGCGTTCAAGTGAGCGCGCAGACGCTATTGGTAAGACTCGCGGGAAAAGAAAGGGTGAGCGCGGCTGGAAGCGCGCATGCGCTGTGGCTAATGCCGTAGGCTCCTTCAGGGCTGAGCCATCCCGCGTGTCTTGCGCTCGGTGGAAATGCCCAGCCGAGGGACGCGACCAGAGGACAGCTCTGTGCTGATCCCCACCGACAATTCGACCCCACACAAGGAGGATCTAAGCAGCAAGGTGAGTGTGAGACGCGACGAAAAGGCTCCTGGACTCGGGACCGGGCGCCACTGGACCCTGAAGGTGGTCCGCAGCGGGCAGCGTGGGGCCTGCCTGGGCCTCGGCTTTGCCCTGCTACTTTGCTCTTTTTATTCATAGCACTTGACAGCCACAGTTAGTCCTTTTATTTTCTGAAAACAGTTGCGAAAAGGGAGATCTTGAAATTTGTCCCGAGACTGGACCCAGGTGACAGTGGGGCGGAGTTTTGGTTGGGTGTTTTCCTCCCTAGTCTTTTTAAACTTTTGGAAATACCGCCCACCCCAAATCTGTTCCATCAAAGATATTCTCCATCCAGTTAACCATGCCAGCAACCCGGGGTCCATCCTTGACCCCCATCATGGAAGCCTATCAGTTCTACCTTTGAAGCTCATTTCAAATATGTCCCTTTATCACCGTGAACACTCTTACCACCCCAAATAAGCCACCGTCATCTGCTATCGGGACCCCTGCCCCCGGCAAGGCCTTCCTAAGCGGTCTCTCCTCATCCACCTGTTAGCTGCTGCTTCTCCGTTAACCAGAGCAATGGTCCTAAAACACGCATTGGGTTGTCACTCATACCAAACTGGGGGAGAGAGGAAGCCAATATAATATAAGCCTTAACTGCCATAAACAAACAACCTTTAAAGATAAATGGGGGTGGCGAGGGTTATAGCCCTTCAGGTATTACATGTCCTAGATTCTACTTTGGTTCTGTCCCAAACTTACAATGACATCTTGGGCAAGTCTCTTTAATCTTTCTGTATCAGTTACCTTCTTTGAAGTAAAGTGAAATGTACACCTGTCATTCCTAAAATGGGAAAGCCCTGTATAAATGTTAAGTCTCAAAGAATGTTTACAAATTTGGCCTTGGAATTCAACCTCATTACTACAGCTCTGCCAACGGGGGAGACAGAAAGGTGCACATTCATGGGGATTGGGGGTGAATTTTCAAAAGACACACAGCCCATTCTGATTACCACCATAGCAAGCCACTTACGCATACTGGTGGTTACAGATCCCTGAGGTGTGTGTGAGGTAGCACAAATATGATAAAAGCTGCTTTTAGAGGCTCTTGTGATACTATGTAATCAGTCATGTTCACAAAATAAATAGAGTTAAAAAGAAACTTAGTTTTCACTTAGTTGAGCCCTCCCCTACAAATAAATGAAGCCCAGGCCAGCATGGTGGCCCAGGCCTGTAGTCCCAGCTACTCGGAGGCTAAGGTGTGAGAATCGCCTGAGCCCGGGAAGATCAAAGCTGCAGTGAGCCGTGATCGCACCACTGCACTCCAGCCTGGGTAACAGAGCAAGACCCTGTTTCAAAAAAAAAAAAAAAAAAAAAGCCCAGTTCAACAGTGCCAGCTCTATGCTAGTCATTGAGATAAAAAGAGGGAAAAATACCAAGATGGAACATGATAGGTCTTACTGTCCCCAAATAGGGCATTGCTTGATTTGAATGTTTGACTGCAGCACTTAGTACATAAAATCATGAAAATATTGAAAAAAGTAACCCACCCCTCATTCAATTTGCTTTTTTTTAAATCTAAATCACAACTTAATTTTCAATCTAAATCACAACTTAATTCCTTTTGGTGTATATCATATATATATATTTTTTAAATTATTTATTTATTTATTTTTTTGAGACGGAGTTTCACTCTTGTTGCCCAGGCTAGAGTGCAGTGGTGCAATCTTGGCTCACTGCAGCCTCCGCCTCCCGGGTTCAAGCAGTTCTCCTGCCTCAGCCTCCCGAATAGCTGGGATTACAGGCATGTGCCACTACGCTTGGCTAATTTTGTATTTTTAGTAGAGATGGGGTGTCTGCATGTTGGTCAGGCTGGTCTCGAACTCCCGACTTCAGGTGATCCGCCCGCCTTGGCCTCCCGAAGTGCTGGGATTACAGGCATGAGCCACCGCACCCGGCCTGGTGTATATCATATATTTTTAACAAAAGGTATAAACCTTGTTTAGTAACTGTAGTCCTTGGCATGATTGCTGGTTATGAACACGAAAATCCCTGTCTGGTCTTAATGGGTTACCTAACATTTTGCAAGTCTAATCACTGTTTTTTCTCCTCCAGCTTTTCCTGAACTGTACCCCCACACAGAGACTCCTGTTGAAAATGATCTGTATATTCACAAACTGCCCGTTTGGAAAACCAGTACATCATAGCCCCTTATCCCATCTCTAATTTTAAAACAACCCCTTAAGGG
The DNA here is from genome assembly GCF_000001405.40 of Homo sapiens. Classification (NCBI taxonomy): domain Eukaryota; kingdom Metazoa; phylum Chordata; class Mammalia; order Primates; family Hominidae; genus Homo; species Homo sapiens. The sequence continues at coordinate 189,663,841 of NC_000002.12, forward strand.
ATTTTCATTGAGCATACTTTGAAAACATCTGACTTAAGGAGTTTTTCTTTATTTCAATAGATTAAAGAACAAAAAATTGTGGTGGATGAACTTTCTAACCTTAAGAAGAATAGGGTGAGTTATTATAGGAATTCTGAATAATATGTGGGAGGTTTATTTATGTTAACTATATATTAAAGTTATAAGAAGTATATATAAGATTTAATCATACTTTAATAAAATGTATAGTATTTCAGCATCTTTTAAAATTGCAAGTGTCTAGATTCTTTTTTTAAATGGATAGATCTCATAGCTGAAGATGTCTTTTTTCTATCATATGCCATTCACATTGCCTTTGCAACAAATGATACTAGTTGTATTTTGGTATCTTGGAGCTATAATCACTAATGATGTTTTATACCTGAATTTGATGTTTTCTTTTGATATAAACGAACTTTATATTGAGATGAGAAGAAACTTTTCTTTTAAATGAATGTGGATAATTATTGAACAAAAAAGGATACATTGCTTCCCCTCCCTCCAAAAAATTTTTACATAGATTTTCCTAAATGTGTAACATGGTTATTTAATGCCATTTCCATTAATATGTTACAAACAAGTAAGCTACTGCTTTGTGTATGGTTATAGTGTCAAATTGCATTTTAACATTCAGGAAGAAATGAGTTTGAGCTCTTAAAAGCTTTGTAAAGATTATGTAATAACTGGCTGGTTAGATATTTCTGATATTGTCACTTATGGAATATTAGAAGTTGAGGCACATACAAAAATTAGCCAGGCGTGTGCCTGTAATCCCAGCTACTCAGGAGGCCGAGGCACAAGAATCGCTTGAACCTGGGAGGCAGAGGTTGCAGTGAGCTGAGCACACCACTGCACTCCAGCCTAGGCTACAGAGCAGGACTCCTTCTCAAAAAAAAAAAAAAGAAGTTGAGGCAGAATTAATACAGACTTTCTCTAGAGGGCAAATTGGCAAAAAGTCTCAACAATTCAAAACTATAACACTTTGACCCAGCAGTTCCATTTATAGTAGTTGATACTTAGGAGAGAATCATGGTAGTGCACAAAGATTTAGTTACAAAGATAATCATCACAACCTTGATTTACAATAGCAAAGAGATGGTAACACCTTAAATGTCTAGTATTTGAAGCTGAGCAAATAAACTGTAATATATTATATCTATATAGCAGTAGGTATAATTTGGTCACCATAGCTTGCTTTGGCATTTTGGTGTTCTTGTAAAAGAACACTTACTGATAAGAAAAAGTATTCTCAATATATTGCTCATTGATAAAAGCATAAATCTGCAGGTACAGTAAGAACCTTTTTTGTTAAAATGGAGAGAAAATAGTTTCATTTCAGTAGTAGCAATTTCTGGTAGTTGGGCAGTGGGTGACTTTTATTTGTCTTTTTGCTTGTCTGTATTTGCTAAAGTATTGTACTGAATAGATTTTCAAGAATTAGTGATAATAGGGTTTAAGGATTTTAATATCTACTTTTTAGATCAAAATTTGATATTAGCCTAAATTATGTTTTCCAGAAAGTATATAGGCAACAACAGAACAGCAATATATTCTTTCTTGCAGACCGAACAGAAATGCTGTCTGAGAGCAAGAGTAAGTTTTTTCTTTTTTGGGGTTTTTGGGGGGTGCCTAAATTATACTCATCTGAGTGTTAAAATATATATCTAAAGATTAATGCAGCAGTTTGATTTTCTTCAAATTAGGCTTCCGAAGATGAGTCAACAGTTATATATATATGTGTATATATATATATATATATATATATATATATATATATATATATATATATTATAAATGTTTTAGAAAGCAATAGTTATTAACATGTGCTTTAGAATTTTAAACAGGTCTAAGTATGACAAACCATTACCACTTTCTACCTTTGTGACTTTGGGTGAAATACTTTAAGCCTCCAAGGTATTGTGGGATCTAAATAAGATGCTATGTTAAAAGTGCTTAGCCAAGTGCTTGGGCCAAAATCAGCACTCGGCAAAACAGAAGCTATTTTTCTAAAAGATAAACATTCTTTATTAGTAGCCTGTTGTTAATTATCATTGGTACTGGCACAGTGTGTGTGTTTATATGGTTTGATTTTGGTAAACAGCTTGTGTTGCCCTCTGAATTGCTAGGTAAAAGTCCAAGAATTTTTATGTTATTTAATATTTATTCTCCTTCCCTGCAACAGATATATTGGATGAACTGAAAAAAGAATACCAAGAAATAGAAAACTTAGACAAGACCAAAATCAAGAAATAGTCAACCTGATTTCACATAACAATGTGTGGCATTTGTTGTTCTGTAAACTTTTCTGCTGAGCATTTCAGTCAAGATTTAAAAGAGGACTTACTATATAATCTTAAACAGCGGGGACCCAATAGTAGTAAACAATTGTTAAAGTCTGATGTTAACTACCAGTGTTTATTTTCTGCTCACGTCCTACACTTGAGGGGTGTTTTGACTACCCAGCCTGTGGAAGATGAAAGAGGCAATGTGTTTCTATGGAATGGAGAAATTTTTAGTGGAATAAAGGTTGAAGCTGAAGAGAATGACACTCAAATTTTGTTTAATTATCTTTCCTCCTGTAAGAATGAATCTGAGATTTTGTCACTCTTCTCAGAAGTACAAGGTCCCTGGTCATTTATATATTATCAAGCATCTAGTCATTATTTATGGTTTGGTAGGGATTTTTTTGGTCGCCGTAGCTTGCTTTGGCATTTTAGTAATTTGGGCAAGAGTTTCTGCCTCTCTTCAGTTGGCACCCAAACATCTGGATTGGCAAATCAGTGGCAAGAAGTTCCAGCATCTGGACTTTTCAGAATTGATCTTAAGTCTACTGTCATTTCCGGATGCATTATTTTACAACTGTATCCTTGGAAATATATTTCTAGGGAGAATATTATTGAAGAAAATGTTAATAGCCTGAGTCAAATTTCAGCAGACTTACCAGCATTTGTATCAGTGGTAGCAAATGAAGCCAAACTGTATCTTGAAAAACCTGTTGTTCCTTTAAATATGATGTTGCCACAAGCTGCATTGGAGACTCATTGCAGTAATATTTCCAATGTGCCACCTACAAGAGAGATACTTCAAGTCTTTCTTACTGATGTACACATGAAGGAAGTAATTCAGCAGTTCATTGATGTCCTGAGTGTAGCAGTCAAGAAACGTGTCTTGTGTTTACCTAGGGATGAAAACCTGACAGCAAATGAAGTTTTGAAAACGTGTGATAGGAAAGCAAATGTTGCAATCCTGTTTTCTGGGGGCATTGATTCCATGGTTATTGCAACCCTTGCTGACCGTCATATTCCTTTAGATGAACCAATTGATCTTCTTAATGTAGCTTTCATAGCTGAAGAAAAGACCATGCCAACTACCTTTAACAGAGAAGGGAATAAACAGAAAAATAAATGTGAAATACCTTCAGAAGAATTCTCTAAAGATGTTGCTGCTGCTGCTGCTGACAGTCCTAATAAACATGTCAGTGTACCAGATCGAATCACAGGAAGGGCGGGACTAAAGGAACTACAAGCTGTTAGCCCTTCCCGAATTTGGAATTTTGTTGAAATTAATGTTTCTATGGAAGAACTGCAGAAATTAAGAAGAACTCGAATATGTCACTTAATTCGGCCATTGGATACAGTTTTGGATGATAGCATTGGCTGTGCAGTCTGGTTTGCTTCTAGAGGAATTGGTTGGTTAGTGGCCCAGGAAGGAGTGAAATCCTATCAGAGCAATGCAAAGGTATGACACAGTGTTTCTTCTCCTGAGAATTCCTGAGACCTATTTTTGACCCTTAAAGCTTTTAGCATTTTGATTGTAAGAATATAGCATATTTTAGGTGCATTTATCTTATTTTCTTTACTGTGTAGTTGATAACATTTTTATACGGATTTCTTTAAACCTCATAGGTAGTTCTCACTGGAATTGGTGCAGATGAGCAACTTGCAGGTTATTCTCGTCATCGTGTCCGCTTTCAGTCGCATGGGCTGGAAGGATTGAATAAGGAAATAATGATGGAACTGGGTCGAATTTCTTCTAGAAATCTTGGTCGTGATGACAGAGTTATTGGTGATCATGGAAAAGAAGCAAGGTAATTCTAATCATTTGAGTGTTCTTACGGTATTTTTATAAAAACAGCAGAGTGTAAATGGAGACTTTAAAGTTTGTTTTCTCTTTGGAGACTGTTCACATGAATAAGAGCAGCAATAATAGCTTGGCTTTGTATTATAAACAAAGTCAGAAACAGAGCTGGGAAGAGCCAGGAGAGCATTTATTTTCTAGAACTCATTCTCTAAGAAATGTCTTTTCAGTAATTTTCAAAGGTAACATAATGACAGGATTGTTTTTAAGACTATAGTGAAAAATACTGTCAAAGTAGGCCAGGCATGGTGGCTCACACCTGTCTTCCTAGCACTTTGGGAGGCCAAGGCGGGTGGATCACCTGAGGACAGGAGTTCAAGACCAGCCTGGTAAACATGATGAAACCCCACTTCTACTAAAAATACAAAAAAATTAGCTGATCATGGTGCTGCATGCCTGTAGTTCCAGCTACTCGGGAGGCTGAGAATGGCTGAACCCAGGAGGTGGAGGTTGCAGTGAGCCCAGATCGCGCCACCGCACTCCAGCCTGGGAGACAGTGCGAGACTCTGTTTCCACAAAAAAACAGAGTAAAACTGAGATAGTGAAATACTAAGAGAAGGTATTTAGAGGGTTTTGTTCAGCTTTTAATGTTTGCTTTCCTCCCAGTAAGGGCATAAGCCCCACCTGCAAGCCTTCTCCAGTGTTATAGAAACTGGCTTTGTCTCTATAGACATTTCTGTATGTACAGATCCATGCTGATTTGAAGGTAGTCCTTACACTGGATATTCCTCTGCCACGTTTTTTGAACACAATTTAGTTACATATTGCAGATTACCTAAAACCTTCAAAGAAACCAAGGCACTTTCATGTATGTATTCTTGCTTTTCAGGTTTATTTTTACCTATATCATATTTCTGAAGGTAGTGAACAAGTACAGTATTTGAATAAAACTTTCTAAAACATTAAGTAAGGATAAAGGAAGATGTGACATTTAGTTATAAAGAGCAAAAATTCATTCAAGTAGGCTAATTGATTAAGTGGTAGTTTATTACAAGGGTGCAAGCATCCAAGAATAGGAAGTCCAAGTAAGCTTCATGAGAATTAAACATACTACACTTTCTCTCCCTCTCTCTCTCTCTCTCTTTGACTTCATTGTTTCTTGTCTCTACTTCAGTCTTTTCCTCTTTCCACTGACTTGTAGTTGCCTTTACACAGTTGTCTTTCTTAAGTTTCTGGTCCTAGCCCATGTAAAAGTTTAGCTACTATGTCATTATTCTGTCATAATTTTCAAGATTTCACTATAAACTGATAACTAATGCCATAATAAAGTCCGTAAACTGTTAAACTGTTTTCTCTTTGAAGGACATGAGAGAGGTAGAAATTCAGTCTGTTATTTCAGCTAGGTCATAGAGAAAGGAATTTGTCTAGTAAAAGCCCTTACTTATGAAAGTATTATATTATGCTCAAATAAAAATGCATATGAAGAATGTTTAAAGCAGCTAATACAGAATTGTGATATAACAAATATAGTGGCTAGATCTAAATAATTTATTACGTATCTTGACATACATATTAACAGTAGTGTGTTGATTTGATTCTCTAGTTAAATTTGCTTTTGCAACTCATTCATTTTTATGTAATATTCCAGATAACAAATGTCTTTGTCCTTTCCAATCTCTTAACCTAGAATAGGATGTAATAAAACGGAAACACTAGTGTAACTGTATTGCATTTTGAGATGTGGGATGGTGGGTGTTAAAGTATTTTAAACAGAAAAAGAACATAATTTTCTAGAAATTGGGGAAGGAAAAGGGCAGAAAGTTTTTTTTTAATCGAATATTTTGTTTCTAGGTCATCCCAGAATTTAGGGGAAAAAAATCTAATATTTTGTTCTGTTACAGTAATTTATCACCATTTAATTGGTTTAAGTATAATTAAACAATTTTGAGTAACAAAATTTTACCATAAGTGTTTTGCAGGTTCAGGACTGTGGAGCCCTTCTATATTGGTTCCATATCCCTAAAGTGTCATTTCTTTAGACCTGATAAAGATCAGACACAGATTGAATAGTTAGTTAAGATCATGCTCGTAGGCTAGGTGCGGTGGCTCACTCCTGTATTCCCAGCACTTTGGGAGGCCAAAGCAGGTGGGTCACTTGAGTTCAGGAGTCCGAGACCAGCCTGGGCAATGTGGCGAAATCTCATCTCTACCAACAAATACAAAGATTAGCTGGGTGCGGTAGTGCTCACCTAGGCAAAAAAAAAAAAAAAAAATCATGTTTGTTTTCAAGGCCTCCACAAAGATACCTTGTAAAACAATTTGAAATTATTTCTGGACACAATAAACCTAATTTATTTATTGAGATTTAGACTATTTTGTAGTATATGTATTAAAATTAGTCATGTTGTGAAACAATTTGGTTAAATTTTAGCTATAAAACTGTGTATAAATCAAAGCAGGTTGATTTTATTTTTACATAGTGGTTATATTATCTGTCTATTTTAGATTTCCTTTCCTGGATGAAAATGTTGTCTCCTTTCTAAATTCTCTGCCGATTTGGGAAAAAGCAAACTTGACTTTACCCCGAGGAATTGGTGAAAAATTACTTTTACGCCTTGCAGCTGTGGAACTTGGTCTTACAGCCTCTGCTCTTCTGCCCAAACGGGCCATGCAGTTTGGATCAAGAATTGCAAAAATGGAAAAAATTAATGAAAAGGCATCTGATAAATGTGGACGGCTCCAAATCATGTCCTTAGAAAATCTTTCTATTGAAAAGGAGACTAAATTGTAATGTGATTCACAATGTAACAATATAAAAATAAGTTTTTATATAATTATATAAAAGTAAGATACTCTGCTGCTTTACTATTGTATAACATAGTAGTTTTAAAGTTCATTTGGTTGAATTTTCATTTTTTCCTGTCACAGAGCTTCTAAAACCATGGAATTTCCTTAGTGATAGGGAATATCTTTTGTTGTTCATAATAAGCCCCTTTTGATCACACCTGAGTTTATGCTAATGCGTTGACTTAGGGTGAGGTCTCTAAATAGCCTTTAACACCTGCAGCTTGGGAGGCCAAGGCAGAGGGATCTCTTGAGTCCAGGAGTTTGAGAACAGCCTGGGCAACATGATGAAACCTCATCTCTACCAAAAAAAAAAAAAAAGTACAGAAAATTAGCTGGGCATGGAAGCATGTGCCTCCCTACTCAAGAGTCTGAGGTGGGAGGATCACTTGAGCCCAGGAAGTTGAAGCTGCAGTGAGGCTAGGATCATACCACTGCACTCCAGCCTGGGCGACAGTGAGACCCTGTCTCTAAAAATAAAAATAAAAACAAAAATAAAAATCAAGTGATTAGAAGAGTTGGAATTTCATCCCCACCCACCAACCTCTGGGAGGGAGAGTGGTGCTGAAAATTAAGGTCTATTAAACTTTATAAAAACTCTTGAACAAGATTTGATGAGCCTCTGGTTTGCTGAACATGTGGAGGTGCTGGGAGTGTGGTATGCCCAGAGAGGACAAGGAAGCTCCCTCTCATCTTAATTTTTTTTAATACTTTGCCTTATGCATCTCTTCAATTTGGCTGTGCCTGAGATGTATCCTATATAATAAGCCAGTAAACATAAGTATTTCTATGAGTGCTGTGAGCCATTCTAGCAAATTATCGAACCTGAATAGGGGGTCATGAAAACCCCCAGTTTATGTAGCTGGTCAATCAGAAGTACCAGAGATCCAGACTTGAAATTGCCATCTAAAGCAGAGACACCTTATGGCACTGAGCCCTTAAATGGAAGGATCTGACACTCACTCCAGGTAGATAGAGGCAGGATTAAACTGTAGGATACCCAGCTGGTATTCAGAGAGCTGGAGAATTGCTTGGTAATTCTCCACACATCTGGTGGAAAAAATCCACACATCTGGTGTCAGAAGTGTTGTGTGAGAGTGAAGAGAAACAGTTTGTTTTCCCAGACTCACTCTCTTTGATCACTCCATCCAGAAATGATTCAGTTCCCTCTCTTCAGGGACCATGGTTTAGACAGGGTCCTGTTTCATGGATAAAAGAACTACAGGTTTAAAGAAGCTAAACAATTTGCTTGAGGTTCATCCTCCTGAACAGTACTTGTTACTTCTATTACATCTTTTTAGGCAGCTCATTTTCCCACCCCAGTAACTTTTAAAGACTACAGTTGACCCCTGAACAACACATTTGAACTGTGCAGTTCCACTTATATGTGGATTTTCTGCCTCTGCCACCCCGAGACAGCCCCTTCTCCTCCTCAGCCTACTCAACCTGAAGACAAGAATAATTACGTCTTCCTCTACTTACTATGTCTTGCCTCTCATCCACAGTCACTCTCTCCACCTTTTTGTCTATTTACTCCAACCTGACATCCACCCACATTACTCAACTGTTAACTGCCATACCAGTGTCACTGTGAAATCTGTCCATTAGGATCGACACCATTTCTGGATCTGGCCACCCTTTGATTCTTTAATCACAGTAGCAAATAAATTTTAGGATCCGGACAAACAGGTCAGTAACCTGGCAAAGGCTTTCACATGCCCCGAATTTATTCCCTGGAAGATGCAATGTTCAACCAAAATTTAGATACTGCCTACATAGCTTTCATCCCTCAATCTGAAAGCAGACAACTTCAAGTGTCTGTGTGGGCCTGAGCACTAAATTGACATTGCTTATATTGGGAGTAGATGAACTTAAGAGGTTTGCCCCACGGCCTAGAATTGAATATTATAACACCAATACAGTTTAATACTGAAAATAGCTATAACTTACATAATGCTATATTCCAGGTGCTACTCTACTCTATGAGATTTAAATGTATTAATCAGTCAAACTTTTATAAGGAATTTCCAGGTCATCTGCTCCACCAGAATACTGAGAGAGACAGAGAGAGGATACACATGCATGTGTGTGAACCCCAAGAGGGCCTGGGCATTTACAACCTTCTGCTATTCAATCCCATTAGCTCTGGGATGGAGTTCTGTGTTGATCCTTTAAAAAATGAGGCATCTCTTTCCGAAGATTTGAGACACATGGAACAAACCATTTGGCTACCCAGGGGGAAACAATCCTTGAAGTAGGAGAATGTACATATATGGTTCATATTTCTTAAGTGCAAACATGCAAATCTTTGTAAAAAAAAAAGCCCTGGAATAGTCCTCATAAATTTATTAATATTTATTTCCATAGTAGCTAAAATAATGACATGGTTACTGGAAGAGAAATTCTGCCCCAAACAGTCACCAAGAACTTCCAAGCTGCTGCATTCAGTGGAAGTTTGTTCTCATCTCCCCTGACCGAGCAGCAGCATCCGATAAAGTTGGCCATTCCTTTTTTTTTTTCCACACACTTCTTTGGCTTCTGTGACCAATTTTGGTTTTCCTCCTGCCTTCTTGGCTGTTCTTTTTGTCTTCTTTGCTGACTTCACTCTCTCTACCTGACGTTTAAATGTTAAATTTCTCAGGTCTCTAATCCTTGGTTCTCAACTCCTCATTCTGCACGCTCTCCCTTGGTGATTTCAACCCCACTCCTGGCTTCAATTACTATAAATCTGCCAAAATTTATACATCTAACCCCTACTGCCATTCTTAGCCCAGAACTGTTTATCTAAAGCATATCTCACATCTCAATTTCTCTCACAGGTACTTCAAGGTCAATTAGTACATAACTGAACTCTTAATCTTGCCCTGATATCCTGTTGCTCCTGACAGAAATGTGGTTCTGACTTGGACACAACCTTCTTTTTCAACATATCCCCAATCTGTCACCAACAGGCAACCTCATTATTTTTCAAATCTGTCCACAGTCCCTGAGCCCCACCTCCACTGCCACTACTGTAGGCTAATCCTTTGGGATGAAATTCAAAATCATTACTCAGCAGCCTGCATGATCTGTCCATCGCGCACCTCAGCAGCTCGGTTTGTGCCCACATCTCTCTTGTTCTCTAAGCAGGGTTTTGCGGTTTCTCAACCATTTCAACTTTGTTCTCACTTCAATTCTTTCTCTCCTGCTGTTCCCTGTTCCTGAAAAGCTACTTGTCCAGTCCTTTGCTTGGGTAGCTCTTTTCCATCTTCTAGGCTCGGAGGGGAAAAGGGCACTTCCTTAGGCAGCCTTTCCTAGCCCTGGGCTAGGTTAGCTTTCATTCGAGTGCTGTCATTCCATCTAATATTGGCACACTGTTAAATATAGCTGTGAGATGATCTGTTCAACTGTAAGCTCCTTGGGGTTTCGTGTCTGCCCTGTTTTCTAGGGTTTCCAGCTTGTAGCTGGGTGCCTGACTCATAATAGGTGTTCCATAAATGCTTGTTGAATGAAAGAATGATGATGGAGGTGGTATTCCAACTCGGGACTGCCTCAACGCCCGGCGCTGTCTCCTCTGCTACTCTGTTTCGGTGTTTTAGCAGAGGCAGATAGTGAGGGCGGCACAGTGCCCACGGCATGCCGCTGGACTAAGCGCTAAGCGGGCTTGGGATGATGCGCACGCGGGGGGTCTGAGCCAGCCAAGGGGCCGGGCGCCGCCTGGGGGCGCTGCGGCTGCTGCGGGACGCACCAGGCCTAGTCGCCCGCAGGCTCCGCCCGAGGAGCAGCCCAGCCACCCCAGGGCCCGGAGGACCAACCGCTTCGACCCGCGCCCGGGCGGCGGCAGTGTTGGCCGGCGAGGCGAGGAGGGCCGGGCCGCCACGGTGGGGCGAAAAGCCCTGAAAGTTCCTCTCAGTTCCTTCCGGTGCGCCTCCCGCTCGCCCTTGCGGAGGCCCTGAGGGCGGATTCAAGGCCCCGCGAGAAGCCATCTGAGGCGGCGACGACTGTTCTCAGCCCCACGGGAACGCCGCGGACGCAGCGTCCCTCTCCCGGACAAGAAAACAGCCATTCTAGAGTAGGTTCCTCCCCTTTCCTTGTTTTTTCCCCTTTCCCGTGCCCATGGCTGACGCGAGCTGCTTTTGGACGTGGGTCCCGGGCTTGACTGGACAGACGTGGGTTCTGTTTCTGAAAGGCGTAAAACCTCAGACTTGTCCTGCAACCTCCTGGTCTCCGTTTTTGCCTCTATAAAGTGGGCATAACAAGGTCTGACTCACTGACCTGGGGTCTCAGGTGTGGCGCCCAAACCAGCACTATCAGCATTTCCTGTAACTTTACTAAAACGCATATTTTCTGGCCCCACTACAGCTCATTGAATCAGAAACTCAGTGGTGGGATTCAGCGATTTGTATTTGAACAAGCCCCAGGTGATTTTGATACAAGCTAAATTTTGAGAACCACTATATAATAGAGACCAATCAGATGAAATAAATCAAACCATTATATAGTAAAGAACCTGGCTCAATAAATAGTAGTTGTGGTTATTATTATTTCAGGAATAGACAGGCATTCATTGGCACAGAAATTGAAGGTTAAGCAAATGCTTCTTTCCTTTTCTTTTTCTTTTTTTTTTCTTTTTTTGAAACAGTGTTTTTCACACTTGTTGCCCAGGCCACCGCAACCTCCGCCTCCTGGGTTCAGCCTCCTGTCTCAAGCCCCGCGAGTAGCTGAGATTACAGGCATGTACGACCACGTTTGGCTAATTTTGTATTTTTAGTAGAGACGGAGTTTCTCCATGTTTGTCAGGCTGTTCTCGAACTCCTGACATCAGTTGATCTGCCCGACTTGGCCTCCCAAAGTGCTGGGATTACACGCATGAGCCACTGCGCCCCACCCTTTTCTTTTCTTTCATGCAGGTCAGTATAGTCTTGCTTTAAAAAACTGAAAACAAAATAAATATCCATATGATTTGGATATTTATCCCCTCCAAATCTCATGTTAAAATAGATTCCCCAATGTTGGAGGTAGGGCTTGGTGCGAGGTGTTTGGATTATGGGGGTGGATCCCTCATGAATGGCTTGGTGCTTTCCTGGCAGAGTGAACTCTACCTCTGAGCTCATGAAAGATCTGGTTGTTTAAGAGTAGACACCTCCCCTTTCTCTCTATTGTTCCGTCTCTTACCATGTGACACACTGGCTCCCCTTCCCCTTCCGCCATGATTGTAAGCTTGGTCTCACAAGAAGCTGAGCAGATGCTGGTGCCATGCTTGTACAGCCTGCAGAATTGTGAGCCAAATAAACCTCTTTTCTTTATAAATTATGCAGTCTCAGGTATTCCTTTATAGCAACACAAACAGACTAACACGAACATATACAAAAGAATGCCTCTCCAACAACAAAATAGGTATGTAACAGTAGCTTCTCACAGATAAACTTAACGTTTCTTTTTGACATACATCTTCTTGTCTTTTGAATTCTTTGAAAAGCAGAACATGGTTAATGATAAAGGTTTTATAATTTTAATTATTTTAATTCAAATTTCAGTTTTCATATACTGCAGTTATTTTTAATTTGAAAACTATAATGGTTGACCATGAAAAATTAATCTTATGTAGGTGAAAGGTACAGATTTATTTCTAGACAAATCCAGTTTCATTGGCATGTCAGATTTTATTGATAATCTTTTCCTTCTTATTCATTGCAGAAGCTTCAAAAAGGACACACTAGATTTAATTAGAAATGTTAAGATTGCCCAAAAAAGGATTACCTAGATTTGAGCAAGTTCAGGATGAAGACACCTACCTGGAAAATTTAGCAATACAAAGAAATGCATCTGCTTTTTTTGAAAAATATGATCGGAGTGAAATACAAGAGTTACTAACTACTGCACTAGTTAGCTGGTTGTCTGCCAAAGAGGATGTGCGCTCTCAAGTAGACCTCCCATGTGGAATTATGAGTCAAATGAATAACGTAGGCTTCTCCACTGCAATCCTACTGACTCCCGTGGACCCTACTGCCCTCTTAGACTATAGAGAGGTCCATCAAATGATAAGAGAGTTGGCTATTGGAATTTATTGCCTAAATCAAATCCCTTCCATCAGTTTAGAAGCTAATTATGATCAGAGTTCTTCTTGTCAATTACCTCCAGCTTATTATGATACCAGAATTGGGCAAATTCTGATCAATATTGACTACATGCTGAAAGCACTATGGCATGGAATATATATGCCCAAAGAAAAACGAGCTAGATTCTCTGAATTGTGGCGTGCCATCATGGACATTGATCCTGATGGAAAACCTCAAACAAATAAAGACATTTTTTCAGAGTTTAGTTCAGCAGGTAAGAGAATTTAACACTTCTTAAATTTTTTTTTTTTTTTTTTGGAACAGAGTCTTACTACGTCACCCAGGGTGGTCACGAACCCCTGAGCTCAAGCCATTCACCCACCTAGGCCTCCCAAAGTGCTAGGATTACAGGCATGAGCCGCTGCACCTGGCCACTTCTTAATTATTTTTATTCAATGCCATTTTTAAAATTTTTAAATTTTATTTCGATAGTTTTTGGGGGAACAGGTGGTTTTTGGTTACATGGCTAAGTTCTTTAGTGGTGATTTCTGAGATTTTGGTGCACCCATCACCTGAGCAGTGTACACTGTACCCCATGTGTAGTCTTTTATCCCTCATTTTCTTCCTACCTTTCCTCTAGAATCCCCAAAGTCCATTATATCATTCTTATGCCTTTGCGTCCTCATAGCTTAGCTCCCACTTATAAGGGAGAACATAAAATATTTGGCTTGCCATTCCTGAGTTACTTCACTTAGAATAATGGTCTCCAACCCCATCCATGTTTCTGTGAATGCCATTATTTAATTCATTTTTATGGCTGAGTAGTATTTCATGGTATATATATTTTCTTTCTTTCTTTTTTTTTTTTTCTTTTTTGGAGATGGGGTCTCCCTGTGTTGAACAGGCTGGCCTCGAACCCCTGGCCTCATATGATCATCCCATCTTGACTTCCTAGAGTGCTAGGATTACAGACATGTGCCACTGCACCTGGCCACCACGTATTCTTTATCTACTCATTGGTTGATGGGCCTTTAGACTGGTTCCATGTTTTTGCAATTGTGAATTGTGCTGCTATAAACATGCATGTGCAAGTGTCTTTTTCATATAGTGACTTCTTTTCCTCTGGGTAGATACCTGGTAGTGGGATTGCTGGATCAAATGGTAGTTCTACATTTAGTTCTTTAAAGAATCTCTATACTGTTTTCCATAGTGGTTGTGCTAGTTTACATTACAATCCCACCAGCAGTGTAAGTATTCCCTTTTCACCACATCCATGCCGACATGTATTATTTTTTTATTTTTAAATTATGGCCATTCTTGCGGGAGTAAGATGGTATCTCAGTGTGGTTTGATTTGCATTTCTCTGATAATTAGTGATGTTGAGCATTTTTCATATGTTTGTTGGCCTTTTGTATATCTTCATTTGAAAATTGTCTATTCATGGCTTTTGCCCACTTTTTGATGGGATTGTTTGTTTTTTTCTTGCTAATTTGTTTGAGTTCCTGGTAGATTCCGGATATTAGTCCTTTGTTGGAAGCATAATTTGCAAATATTTTCTCCTACTCTGTGGGTTGTCTGTTTACTGATTGTTTCTTTTGCTGTTTAGAAGCTTTTTAGTTTAATTAGGTCACATCTATTTATGTTTGTTTTTGTTGCATTTGCTTTTGGGTTCTTGGTCATGAACTGTTTGCCTAAGCCAATGTCTAGAAGGGTTTGTCCGAGTTATCTTCTACAATTTTTATGGTTTCTGGTCTTAGATTTAGTTCTCGATCCATCTCGAGTTGATTTTTATATAAGGTGAGAGATGAGGATCCAGTTTCATGTGGCTTGCCAATTATCCCAGCACCATTTGTTGAATAAGGGTGCCCTTTCCCCACTTTACATTTGTGTTTGCTTTGTCAAAGATCAGTTGCCCATAAGTACTTGGTTTTATTTCCGCGTTCTCTATTCTGTTCCATTGGTCTCTGTGCCTATTTTTATACCAGTACCATGCTGTTTTGTTAACTATAGCCTTGTAGTATAGTTTGAAGTCAGATAATGTGATGCCTCCAGATTTGTTCTTTTTGCTTAGTCTTGCTTTAGCTATGTGGGCTCATTTTGGTTCTATATGACATTTAAGATTATTTTTTCTAGTTCTGTGAGGAATGATGATAGTATTTCTATGAGAATTGCATTGAATCTGTAGATTGCTTTTGGCAGTATGGTCATTTTCACAATATTGATTCTACCCATCCATGAGCATGGGATGTGTTTTCATTTGTTTGTGTCATCAATGATTTCTTTCAGCAGTGTTTTGTAGTTTTCCTTGTAAAAATTATTCACCTCCTTGATTAGGTATATTCCTAAGTATTTTATTTTATGTTATGTTATTTTATTTAACTTTATTTAATTTTGTTTTTTGCAGCTGTTGTAAAAGGGATTGAGTTCTTGATTTGAGTCTCATCTTGTTTGTTGTTGGTGTATAGCAGTGCTACTGATTTGTGTTCATTGATTTTGTATGCTGAAACTTTACTAAATTCCTTTATGGCATCTAAGAGGTTTTTAGATGAATCCTTAGGGTTTTCTAGGCATATGATCTTATCATTGGCAAAAAGCCACAGTTTGACTTCCTCTTTACCAAATTGGATGTCTGTTATTTATTTCTCTTGTCTGATTCCTCTGGCTAGGACTTCCAGTACTATGTTGAATAGAAGTGGTGAGAGTGGGTATCCTTGTCTTGTTCCAGTTCTTAGGGGAAGTGCTTTCAGTGTTTTCCTGTTCAGTATAATGTTGGCTGTGGGTTTGTTATAGAGGACTTTTATTACCTTAAGGTATGTCCCTTCTATGGCCATTTCGTTGAGGGTTTTAATCATAAAGCAATGCTGGATTTTGTCAAATGCTTTTTCTGCATCTATTGAGATGATTTTTGTTTTTGATTCTGTCTGTATGATGTATCACATATATTGACTTGCATATGTTAAACCATCCCTTCATCCCTGGCACGAAACCCACTTGATCATGGCGTATTATCTTTCTGATATGCTGTCAGATTCCGTTAGTATTTTCTTGAGGATTTTTGCATCCATGTTCATCATGGATATTGGTCTGTAGTTTTCTTTTTTTGTTATGTCCTTTCCTGGTTTGGATATTAGGGTGATACTGGCTTCATAGAATAATGTAGGGAGAATTCCCTCTTTATCTTTTGGAATAGTTTCAGTAAGACTGATACCAGTTCTTCTTTGAATGTCTGATAGAATGCAGCTGTGAATCCATCTGGTCCTGGACTTTTTTGTTGTTGGCAATTTTTTATTGTTTCAAGCTCTCTACTTGTTATTGGTCTGTTCAGAGTTTCTGTTTCTTCCTATTTAATCTAGGAGGGTTGTATATTTCCAGGAATTTATCCATCTCCTCTAGATTTTCTAGTTTGTGCACATAAAGGTGTTTATAGTAACCTTGAATGATCTTTTGTATTTTGTGGTATCGGTTATAATGACTCCTGTTTCATTTCTAGTTGAGCTTATTTGGATCTTCTCTCTCTTTTCTTGGTTAATCTAGTTAATGGTGAATCAATTTTATCTTTTCAAAAAACCAGCTTTTTGTTTCATTTATCTTTCACATTGTTTTCTTCTTTCAATTTCATTTAGTTCTGCTCTAATCTTTGTTATTTCTTTTCTTCTGCTTGGTTTGGGTTTGGTTTGTTCCTGTTTCTCTAGTTCCTTGAGGTGTGACCTTAGATTGTCTATTTGTGTTCTTTCAGACTTTTTAATGTAGGCATTTACTGCTATGAACTTTCCTCTTAGCTCCACTTTTGCTGTAATCCCAGAGGTTTTGATATCACTATTATCGTTTGGTTCAAAGATTTTTAAATTTCCATCTTGATTTCATTGTTGACCCAAAGATCATTCTGGAGCAGATTATTTCATTTCCGTGTGTTTATATAGTTTTGCGGGTTCCTTTTGGAGTTAATTTCCAGTTTATTCCACTGTGGTCTGAGAGGATACTTGATATAATTTTGATTTTCTTAAATTAATTGAGACTTGTTTTGTGACCTATCATATGATCTATCTTGGAGAATGTTAAGCCATTTTTTAAATTTAAAGGTAATTTATCTGGATCAAGGTGATGCCAAGAGCTTTGTGAAGATCTGAGGTCCACGGAGGTTAAGGATCAGCAAGAGTGCTTGGTAGTTTCCAACAGCGGTAGAGCCTTGACATTCTGACGAAATTGTGTTTACTTTTGTTTCCCTTTTTACAAATTTACCTGAGGCTCTCATTTGAGAGGACGTGGGACTGATGAGCCATCATTCTGAATGGGCATATGCCAAACTGGTAAAGAAACAACAAGCTCTTTTTAGATCCAGATATCTAGATGGAAACTTTCAGTATAGAAGTCAAATTCTAGAAAGTGATAAAGGTTAGATACATATTGATTAATCATCCACATGTTAAAGCCACGAGAGCCTTTGGATCATCCAGTTAGAGCACCAGTAGAGACCTGATCATGGCAGGAAGGAGCACATGTCCTGTTGTGTAACTAAGGGAAGAGGGCTCTTGCTTACTTGATGACAAAGTTAGTTACATCAAGCCACTTCATGGCCCAGGATCTGGTCTATTTCACCCATCTGTGTGTCATATCTGAGGTTGCCACCCTCTATGAGGATTCCCTTGCAATGGTGCACCTGGTAAGGGGATCAGAGACACATAGGAACATTCTAATCAAGTTGTAGGTGGAAACAGAGAGCACCAAAGGACTAATGCTGTCTGCTTTCTACACCTACATTTTCAGGGTTGATACTCAAAACACTTAACCACCAGCACAGTATTGGCACTGAGCAATCAGAATGGACGTCAGCCATAATGCTGGAGCAGGGTCTCAGAGACCTCCTGCTTGTCATATTTACCCTTTTCTGGATCATGGAGCTTTTCAGGTGATCCCTGGGGAGGGAGGTATTCAATGAGCTTGGGGCTGCAGCAATTCAGTTTGCCAATTGAGGGTTCAGTATTTTAACAATGTGGTGTTATTGTTGCATATTAGCTAAATATCAGTGCTTTCCTGATATGAAACTTATGTCTTGAGTTTTGTGATTCTACTTTTAAAATATCTCTCAAAATCATCTACTTTGGCTTATCTCTACTGCAACACTGTAGTACAGAACACCCTTTTCCACTGCAACAGCATTCTGACTGCTCTCTGCCTCAAACCTTTTAAAAATTGTTCTTAAATGAGGCTGGGAACCTTAACAAATCCAGTCACTCTACTATCATGTGCCTGGGGATAGTGCTGGGTGTGTTTACAATAGAGTGCTTAATACTGTTGGCTCCTGGCCAATCAAAGATGAGCATCAAAACCATGCATGGTGGAATGTATCTTTATTCCCAGCTACTCAGGAGGCTGAGGCAGGAGAATTACTTGAGGCCAAGAGTTTGAGGCTGTAGTGTATTATGTTTGCACCTGTGAATAACCACCACTCTGCAGCCTGGGAAACATAGTGAGACCCCCATCTTTTAGGAAAAAAAAAAGAAAAAAAGATGAGCATTACACCTAGTAGAAATATTTTTTTCTCTCTCCACTGCACATTGGGTGTCTGCTTCAGAAACTTCAACAATGTGTGGTGCAAGCAGTGGTAAATGACCACCAGCATACATACTAGACCTACTGAAGTAGTTTATAGGGGGAATCTCACGGTGGCAGTAGCAGGAATAGGCACAGGTTTCCCCATCATGCACCACACCTGGAGCACCACTGTGAAATCCTACAGGGCCAATGGTCAGACTCTAAGAAAGGGACCTGAACCATTGGGCTACAGGGCTTTTATGCTACATGATTAAAGAAGCATCAGGTCAGAGGACAGGATACAATAGCAAGATGTTTTAGCCTAGGTTACACTCCAAATTGCATCAGAAACAAGGACGTGAGTCAAGTTAGTTTTTGAGAAATGATTCCAAGGAACAGGAGTGAGGGACAGGAAAAGTGAATAGAAAAGGAGGGAGCATCAACCCAAGAATGTGCTGTCGAGCTTTTTCACCACTTGGGCAATTGGGATTTATTTTGCTGGGACACTCTGAGGAGTCATATAGAATACACTGCAGAATTGCCAGCCTAAGGGATGTGCTATGGTCTGAATGTTTATGTCTCCCCAAAATTCAAATGTTGAAACCTAATCACCAATGGCATTAGGACATGGGACCATTGGAGGGTGATTAGTTCATAAAGGCAGACCCCTCATGAATGGGATTAATGCCCTTATAAAAGAGGCCCCAGAGAGCTGCCTTGTCCCTCCCACCCTGTACGGATACAGCAAGAAGGTACCGTCTATGAACCAGGGAATGGGTCCTCATCAGACACCACATCTAACTTGATCTTGGATATCCCAGCCTTTACAGCTGTGAGAAATAATTTTCTATTCTTTATAAGCTACCCAGTCTGTGCTTTTTTCTTACAGTAGCTCTAAATGATTAAGACAGGATAGATGAGGGAAAAGTGTATCCGCTGGCTGCTGTCTCTCATTAGCCGAAGTTTGAATGGAGGGTTAACTCGCTCATGCTTTCAGATTTGTTCCTACACCAGAATGGCTGGATGGGTTCCATCAGGAGTCTAACAGCAGTGGCAGAGAAGCCTCAGGGCAAAAATAATCCTGTGGTGCACTTGAGGCAAGGTACAGTCAGGTCAAGTCTGTGTGGAGCAAAAACTACAGTTTAAAAATGTGGTCTGAAAGGATGTGAGGTAGGGAACAAAAGGTGTCTGATACACAGTGTGACTCATGGAAACTTGGCTGCAGCCCTTTCTTCCAAGCTTAGTGTTAGAGATTGAGGGAGTGTACCACCTCTCCCCTGGCATGATCAGAGAGCTGGTGTCCAAGCTTTGTAATTGCAGGTACATGGTGTCAAGCTAGCAGCAGTGTAAGTTGTTATATCACCATTCACGTTTGGGAAAACAGCAGCTCCTCTGTTGGCATGACTGGGAAACTGTGTTCACACCTTGCAACTGACCATGTGATTACCTTAAACACTGTGCTACAGTGGATTTCCAAGGAATTGTGCAGAAAGCCAACTCTTTTTCAGAGGGCAGACTGCTGGGAATCCGTCTTGGCCAAGTTAACCTTTATCTCTCACATAGCTTTGCACTCTACAAACCACCAGCAACATCATTCTTTAAAAACAGTAGCAATAGTAGAGAATAGAGCACACCAAAAATCTGGCCATGTTACCCAGTTTTCTCAGCAGGCATTTTAGTTAGGGTGGATCCCTTCATCTAATTCATAAATTCTTAGACTCTTTCCAGAAGGCTAGGAGGATGGAAGGAAAGAAGAAAACATCTCATGATAGCAAAATAGGAGAAGGGAACTTTTAATAGAAATATTGAGAAAAAATGGGAACTTATTTATTATCACAAGCGAGTAATGTGAGTTGGGTTGTTTTTTTCTCTGTTCATTCCCTGTCCTCTATCTGGAATGCCTTCTTCCTGTTCACCCCACACCACTGTCCACTTTCTTCCTAGGGTTATTGCTACTCATTTTTTGAGACTTGATTCAGATACTGCCTACTCTATTTGGACTCTTTTATCTGTGCACAGAAAAATACTTTGTATTTTGAATTGAAATTATTGGCTTCATTTCTTTCTTCCTTATTAGACATTAAGCTCATTCTTGAGAGCACAGAAAATTGTGTCTTTTTTGGTTTGATTTTAAATTCTCAGCACCTTATACAGTGCATGACTTATAGTAAACTTTCAATACATATAGAAATTAAATGGGTAATAATAGAATATAAGGGAATTGGTTGGGCACAGTGGCTCACACTTGTAATTCTAACACTTGAGGAGGCCGAGGTAGGTGGTTCGCTTTAGCTCAGGAGTTCGAGACCAGGCTCTACAAAATATACAAAAATTAGCCAGGCATGGTGGTGCACGCCTGTAGTCCCAGATGCTCGGGAGGCTGAGGTGGGAAGATCACTTGAGCCCAGGAGGTTGAGGCTGCTGCCGTGAGCCAAGATCATACCACTACACTCCAGCCTGGGTGACAGAGACCCTGTCTCAAAAAAAAAAAAAAAAAAATAGAGGTTAAAGCTGTGGAAACTTTTGTTTCCCCTCATTCCCCTCATCCTCCAAATTTCATTTGATCCAATTTTTTATTAAATTCTTTTTTATTATTTACTTTCCTATGACTGTACATATTCCTTCCAGCTAATTTACATAATGTGCACTTTGTTTTCTGAATTTTTTTTTTAAAGGGACAAGCTCTTACTCTGTCACCCAGGCTTGAATGCAGTGGCATGATCTCAGCTCATTGCAGCCTCAGACTCCTGGGCTCAAGTGATCTTCCTGCCTCAGCCTCCTGAGTAACTGGGACTACAGGAACTTGCCACCATGCCCAGCTAATTTTTTTGTTTTTTATTTTTTGTAGAATGTTGTCCCGGCTGGGACATTTCCTTTCTTTAATAACTTTCTTTTTCTTTTTTTTTTGCTTCTGGTCCTTGATTCAGGGAACATTATTTTTCATGATATGAACAATCGTGGTTTTTTTTTCCAGTAGCTAACTTCTCCATGTACTTACTACTAATTCAGTTCCAGTCTTTCAAAGGGAAATATTGAATTCTTCTTGATAAAAAAATGGGATATGAAGTTCCATTTTTTCCTTAGAGATGTCTCTCTTGATAACTTCATCCTCTTCCTTTTGTCAGAACTCATTGCTTTAAGCCCACTTCACCTTCCTTTAGCACCCCTCCCTGCCCCTGGCCCAGTAATTCCAGTGCTTCTTTCATCTGAGAGGCTCTCCTCACCTGCCTGGCGATCCTTGCTGCTTGTTTTCATTTAGGAGTGAGGCAGGAACGCTGGCAGACTTCACTGTAGAGTGATGAGCAGGAACCCCTGACATTCCACTGGGAAGCCTGTCCCCCAGATGTTGTATCTGCAGGTGTGTTTCCTCCAGTATCCTGCTTGGAGGGAGGGCTGTGAGTCAGGGGCCAAAGGAGGGGAAGTGCTGAACTGTGGATATCTTGGTTCAGCACTCAGACTCTCATTTAACTAGTTTTCAGCACAACTGCTCCTCCCAACCCTCAGCTGTGCTTTGTACCCTTTTAGTGAGGAAGAGGAGAAGGGCTGTGCTATCTGGGGAAGATGATCTAGGGATCTCACTACACCTTTTCTTTTAAAAAAATTCTTGCACCATGGCCTGTCCTTCACAGCCTCCACATAATGCTTTCAGTCTCTAAGGCTTCTTGTGGTTTTTGTTGGCTCCCAGCCACCCCAAGCCATGAGGTTTTAGTGCTATCAACAATCCCTCTGGCTTTTTAGACTTCTTTAAACTGCCAGAATCCCTTTCATTTCTTTGTAATTTATCTAACTATTTTGCAGAAAAGAGATGAATTATAGTGGCCATTTTAAAAACCCAAGAGTATTCTGGCCTTTTTAAAAAAAAGATTTGAGAAAGAAAAAAGAAAAAGAAAGGAGGGGATACATTGACATATCATTTACACTTTAGAGCATATATATTACAAACAAATGCCACATTTTCTACAGTCATGTCTTACGACTACAAGCAGTTTTCTCAAGCCTAAATTAAGGGTAACATTGTAGATATAACTATCTTAAAAAGACTATTTGACAAGAAGAAAGTCCTCAATTTCTTTGTAAATGGCAAGAAAATGTAGCACGGGAAATTTGTCATTTTTTGATAGAGTAAAATCAAGTTTTAATTCTTATTTATTAAATGATGATTACTTAGCTGGCAGTTTCTTTGTTTATTATGCATGTCTAGCTTCTTATTGGCAAAAAAAAAGAAATTTATAGTACTAGCCTGAAAAAACAAACTATGCTTTTGGCCCAAGTGAGAAGCTGATACCCTGGTTAAAGAAAAATCACGTTTTCTTGTTGTTTCATATTTTCCTTGATCAAAGCTGGGACTTATATTGTATCTGTATTCACTTTCCTTAGTAACCTACTCATCTGTCTGCTTTTATCTTACACAATTTTATTGGCATTGTTAACTTAAGAATCATGAGATTTATAAATTTGGAAACGAGACTCTTTCTTTTTTTGAATTATTTTAAATTTTGTGGGTACATAGCAGGTATATATATTTATGAGATATTTTCACACGGCATACAATGCCTAATAATCACATCAGGGTAAATGGAGTATCCTTCACCTCACAAATTTATCCTTTCTTTGTGTTACAGACAATCCAATTATACTCTTTTAGTGTTTTTAAATGTACAATAAATTATTGACTGTAGTCACCTTGTTGTGTTGTCAAATACTAGATCTTATTCATTCTATCTAACTATATTTTTGTATCCATTAATTATCCCCACTTCCCTCCTGCCCCACCATTCCCTGCCACCTTTCCCAGCTTCTGGTAACCATCTCTATTTCCATGAGGTCAATTGTTTTAATTTTTAGTTCCCACAAATAAGTGAGAATATGCAAAGTTTGTCTTTCTGTGCATGGCTTATTTCATTTAACATAATGTCCTCCAGTTTCATCAAAGTTGTTGCAAATGACGGAATCTCATGGCTGAATAGTACTCCATTGTGTATATGTACCACTTTTTCTTTATCCATTCATCTGTTGATGGACACTTAGGTTGCTTCCAAATCTTGATTATTACGAACAGTGCTGCCACAAACGTGGGAGTGCAGATACCCTTTGATATTCCGATTTCCTTTCTTTTGCATTTATACCCAGCAGTGGGATTGCTGTATCATACGGTAGCTATATTTTTAGTTTTTTGAGAAACCTCCAAACTGTTCTCCATAGTGGCTGTACTAGTTTACATTCCCACCAACAGTGTACTAGGGTTCCCTTTTCTCCACATCCTGCCAGCATTCATTTTTGCCTGTCATTTGGATAAAGGCCATTTTAACTGGGGTAAGATGATATCTTATTATAGTTTTGATTTGCATTTCTCTGATGATCAGAGATGTTGAACACCTTTTCGTATGCCTGTTTGACATGTGTATGTCTCCTTTTGAGAAAAGTCTATTCAGATCTTTTGCCTATTTTTAAATCAGATTAGAATTTTTTCCTGTAGAATTGTTTGACCTCCTTATATAGTCTGGTTATTAAGCCCTTGTTGGATAGATAGTTTGCAAATATTTTCTCCCATTCTGTGGGTTGTCTCTTCACTTTGTTGATTGTTTCCTTTGCTATGTAGAAGCTTTTTAAGTTGATGTGATCCCATTTGTCCATTTTTGCTTGGGTTGCAAAATGTGCTTGTGAGGTATTACTCAAGAAATCTTTGTCCAGACTGATATCCTGGAAAGTTTACCCAATTTTTTTTTAGTAGTTTCGTAGTTTGAGGTCTTAGATTTAAGTATTTAATCCATTTTGATTTGATGTTTGTATATGGTGAGAGATAGGGGTCTAGTTTTATTCTTCTATACATGGATATCCAGTTTTCCCAGTGCCATTTATTGAAGAGACTGTTCTTTCCCCAGCATATGTTCTTGGCACCTTTGTTGAAAATGAGTTCATTGTATAAGTATGGATTTGTTTCTGAGTTCTCTGACCTCCTTTGGTCTAGGCGTCTGTTTTTATGCCAGTACGATGCAGTTTGGGTGACTATCACTCTGCAATATACTTTGAAGTCAGGTAATGTAATTCCTCCAGTTTTGTTCTTTTTGCTCAGGATGACTGGCTATTCTGGATCTTTCGTGGTTTCATATATATATTTAGGATTATTTTTTCTATTTCTATGAAGAACAGTGACTGCTATTTTGATATGGATTGCAATGAATCTGTATATTTCTTATAAAGGGTTACAGTCTTCAAGCTGGCCATTCTGACAGGCATTTCGAGGAAGAGAGGAGCAAGACAGGAATTTAAGCTGAACTGTTTGGCCAAGTATACATATTCAGGTATAGATATGTAACAAGTTATAGGAAGAGCTACGAACATTCATGAAGTGGGTTCTAACATGCGTATTGAACAAACATGCACGTTACATATGATCCATGTTCACTTTGGGGTGGAGACTTAACATATAAATGCATTACAATTAGGCCCTTATTATACGTCAGAAAGTGAAGCAGGGACTTGAAGGCATTCACGTGTACAGCCTCTGTAAACAGGCCAGAACCACATCGTGGTCAGTAGTCTTATGAGGAGAAAGTTACTGAAATCAGTCTCTTGTCCAGTCAAAGCTCTAGTTAGGCGTAGGGGACAGGAAGATCAGTTATTCAGCATCTGTTGGTGAACGGGCCGTAATTCTTTTAAAATTGCTTATCTTGAGGACAGTGTTTGTTTAACTGTTAGAGAAAAAAGAAAAACCTTGTGGCAGTTAGAACACAGTTTATTCTTTAAGTAGAGGGGTTTGTGACTTCACCATTGCCTGGCATGGCCCTAGGTTTTCTTTATAGTTTGGTATCTTATTGCCACAAAGAGTCTGTTCTGTCAGTCTTATGATCTGTATTTTAACATTAATGCTGGTCAGTTATTGTGTCTAAACCACAAAAGGAAAGGGGTATAATGAGGTATGTCTGACCTCCCATCCCATCATGGCCAAGAACTTAGTTTTTAAGGTTTCTTTGGGGTCCCCTTGCCCAAAACGGGTCTGTTCAGTCAGTTGTAGGGAGTGCTTAGAATTATATATTTGGTTTACAGCATCTAATTTTTCCTTTACTGTCGTGATAGTAGGATTTCATGATAAAATCCTGTGTTCAATCTTCTGTATTTATCCAGAAGCCAAATATGAAATTTTCACTATCTAAAATTTTCCTTTTTTATCATGAAGGTTTGACTGATATTACAAAGGATCCAGACTTTAATGAAATCTATGATGAAGACGTGAATGAAGATCCAACATATGATCCCAACAGCCCTGAAGAAACAGCTGTATTTATGAAATATGCTGAAAATATTATGCTAAAGTTAACATTCAGTACCACACAAATTCAACAGTATGAAAATGTCTTTATATTTGAAACAGGCTATTGGCTTACTAATGCTATAAAATATAATCAGGATTATCTTGATATCTGTACCTACCAGAGACTACAGCAAAGATTATATCTTCAAAAAAAGATTATTCAAAAACACTTTGAGAAGAAAAAAGATATCAGAAGAGGGATAGGATACCTAAAGTTAATATGTTTTCTGATTCCATTTCTACTGAGTTTAAAGAAGAAAATGAAAGTTCCATATTTAAGTAGTCTGCTTCAGCCTTTTTCAGGTAAGAGTATCACCAAAAATCAAATATAAAATATAGGTATATATTAAATATATGTTTAAATGCAATTTTGTTTCTAGTATATGGGTGCAGGCAGTAACCTAGCTATAACCTGTTAGAGAAAACAAACAATTTAATGTCTCTAATGTAATTAAAAAGACTCAGTGTATGTATATAGTACTTTGTATATATTTATACCAATTATAAGGGCTACTGAAAGATTTAAAGTAAGTTAAAATAAGTTCTGTATGAATAGGGAAATATGCCATATCCATGATGGGAAAACACTGTGAATGTATCATATCTCATTCAAATTACTCTATAAATTCAGTGTACTTCTATTCAAAATCCTGATGATATTTTTCATTGAAGTATACACACTTACTCTAAAATTAATATAGAGCAGCAAGGGGTTAATAATGGTCTTTCATTTCTGAAAAATAGATGGAAACATATTAAAACTACAGTAATTAAATGAGGGCAGTATTGGCACTTTAATAAACAAATAGAGCAATGTAAGAGAATAGAGAACTGAAACAGGCCATGATTAATGGAATTTGATGGGACTTCAGTATAAACTCTTCATTCAACACTGATTAGCACACAATTTATACATTTTCATTGCTTTCCAAGCATGTAGGCTTATTATAATGGGCTTTCTATTCAGATGGCAAATTTTCAGCAGAAATTTTGCAAATCCTTTAGTGAAAGTTTGTATCATGAGAATTCAGGTGCTGTGTTTTAGTGAAAGTTTGTATCATGAGAATTCAGTATCTGTGAACTATTAGAAATGGAATTATGACAGGGCATGGCTCTTGGGTGGTGGGGAGCATGTATAGAAGTAGGAGGGACTTGCTTAAAGAGAACGTTAACTATATCTGCAATATCTTATTACTTAAACTATGGGAAGCAAATATGACTAACGTTAATAGTTAATTCTAGGTGTTGAGATCAGGGTGTATAGTGTATATTATTATTTGTACTTTTCTTTACCTTTTATATTTCTCAAAATACATTATGTCCCTTATGTTGATTAAACCATATTCTACTAACCAGTCAAAATATTGAAAAAACCTAGTCTTTGCTGGAATTTGAGAAAAGAAATTTTTTTTGAGGCAGAGTCTTGCTCTGTCACACAGGCTGGAGTGCAGTGGCACGATCTCGACTCACTGCAACCTCCACCTCCCGGGTTCAAGCGATTCTCCTGTCTCAGCCTCCCAAGTAGCTGGGATTACAGCCACCTGCCACCATGCCCAGCTAATTTTTCTGTTTTTAGTAGAGACAAGGTTTCACTATGTTGGCCAAGCTGGTCTCGGACTCCTGACCTCAGGTGATCCACCCGCCTCGGCCTCCCAGAGTGCTGGGATTACAGGCATGAGCCGCCGCGCCCGGGAGAGAAAATTATTTTTAAAAATAAGTTATCTGTGTAGTTTCATTACTTTCCAGAAATATGGGATGGTTATTTTTATATGTGAGATATACTCATCTGCTTCTTTATAATGTCTCCTTTTACCTAAACTAGCTGAGATAAGTTTTTGTATATTAAACAAAGATTCTCTTAGGCACAGAGTTTCTGGTCCTTTCTTATAATTGGGAGTAAGATACTAATCTTGAGCTCACTTACAATAAATCAAGAACTGGAACAATGTTTTGAGCATACTTTTGAAATGTCTGTACAATAAAACTACAGAAAGTGCTCAAAATATAAATATATTGTATATATACATACATATATATGTATATATTTGAGATATATATATATATAATATATAAACAGTAATTAACTGAGGGCAGTATTGGCACTGTAATATATGTATTTGAGACAGGGTGTCACTCTGTCACCCAGCCGGAGTGGAGTGGCATGATCTCAGCTCACTGCAGGTTTTACCTCCTGGGCTCAAGCGATACTCTCACCTCAGCCTCCCAAGTAACTGGGATTACATGCATGTGCCACCACATCCAGCTAGTTTTTGTGTTTTTAGTAGAGACGGGGTTTCACCATGTTGCCCAGACTGGTCTTGAACTTCTAGGCTCAAGCGATCCGCCCCCCTCAGCCTCTCAAAATGCTGGGATTATAGGCATGAGGCACTGTGCATGCTCAAAAATATATTTTAATGTTAAACTATTTATATACATTAACAGCATAAATAATTTTATGCACTATAATTGCCAAGATTTTAATTTCATCTGGAATTTTCTCACTTTGTTTACATGAATGAGAAGCTAGATCTCTTAAAATATGACTTTATGTGCTGTTCACTTTTTAAATAAAAATTTGTTTTCATTTTTGGAGATGACAAGGTCAAGACAGAGCGAGAATTGCCTCCATTTATTTATGGAAGAGATTTTAAATGCCAGAATTTTCACTACAAAGAGAATCAATATTTTCATGTTCATGGAGGAATTGAATTTGATATCAGCACCCCTTCAATTGAGAATGCCTTGGAAGATTTTCAGGTTTAAATGATCATTCCTTAGACAATTTATCATTTCACAACTCTTTTATCCTATTCTCCAACCAAAAAGAGCCTCTGTTGGTACAGGCACTCGACAGCTCTCCAAATGATTATTCTCACAACTCAATAATTTTTTCATACATTATTTTAACATCAATGAATTAAGTGCAGATATATGTAAGGTACTGTGTTGGATATCTGAGATAAAATTATAAATAAGCTAGGTACATCTATCACCCTCACAGAATTTAAAGACTTCTAATGGACTATATTTGTCCCAGAACAGGTAACCAAAGAGTGCAGTAGAAATCTCTGGACACTCAGTACACATTCTTCCATTTTCCTCAAAGAATCAGGATTAGAACAGAGATCCTTTAAAATTTTGGAACAGTAATTCTTCACCTGGAATTTAGTATAAAAATTCTACATTTCAATTGTTATTGCTTTTCTACCTTCTGTATACTATGTGTCTTTCCTTTTGTATTTTTTCCTCATTCTCAAAGTAAGGATTAGATATATTCAGCTGCTATCCGGGTCTTCTGGAATAGTAAATTTAAAATTTGTCATTTACATGTATACTCTTTCATACAAAGAATTCTTATAATTGTTTAGATGTGTCTAAGGATATGTCTTTAGTAACATAACTCATATTTTAGAAAAATTTAGAAAAAATACGAGATTGTGCTGCTAATACATTTATAGAAGATTCAGGATATAAAGAATATTACTCAATACCAGTCATGGAATTTCATGGAAAAAGGTACGGAGCTTTCACTAATTACTGACATTAACTACAATTTTTTGCACGTTAGTAGAGAACAAAGAAAATGACAAAATGCAAAGGTTAATGTAAACCTTTACAATGGCGATTCCACAATAATAACCACCATGAATGACTTATGGACTCAACAAAATATTAAATGTTATAGTTATTACTTCATGTATTTGATATAGTCTGTGTAACAATCCTTAGAGCTTGTAATTAGTTCTTATAATTAACAGAGTGGTTAAATAGGGGTAGAGATGGGGATCAAATCCCAGCCTATTTGTCTTTTATGTGTTGTGGTTCTTGGATTTTTAAATATTGGACACTGAAATTTGGAAATATGGGAAGTAGAGCTCAGAGGAAACATTTTAATTAGAGGCAAAGATTTAAAAACAAATAAGGAAGTTTTGCTTGTTGGTTCGTTTGTTTGCTTTTAAGGCATGCAAGCAGTTGGGAGGATAGGACCAAGTCTGGAACTTTGGAGAATAGTAACTGAGGTGGGAGGATTGCTTGAGCCTAGGAGTTCGAGACCAGACTGGGCACCAGAGTAAGACCCTATCTTTGTTTTTGTTTGTTTGTTTATGAGACAGAGTCTTGCTCTGTCACCCAGGCTGGAGTGCAGTGGTGCAATCTTGGCTCACTGCAACCTACACCTCCTAGGTTCAAGTGATTCCCCTGCCTCAGCCTCCTGAGTAGCTAGGATTACAGGCATGCGCCACCATGCCTGGCTAATTTTTGTATTTTTAGTAGAGAAGAGGTTTTGCCATGTTGGTCAGGCTGGTCTCGAACTCCTGACCTCAAGTGATCTGCCCACGTCAGCCTCCCAAAGTGCTGGGATTACGGGCATGAGCCACCATGCCTGTCCATAAGACCCTATCTCTACAAAAAATTTAAAAGCTAGCCAGGCTAGGTGGCACATGCCTGTAGTCACACCTACCCAGGAGGCTGAGGTGGGAGGATCACTTGAGCCTGAGAGGTCGAGGCTGAAGTGACCCGTGATTGCGCCACTGCACTCCAGCCTTGGCAACAGAGTAAGACCTTGTCTCAAGAAAAAAGAATACTGTATTTACAGCAATAAATAGTTGCATTTGGAGGAGAAACCCAGGTAATATTAAGAGGTGTCCCACTGACAGAGGTAGGTCAGCAGCTGAAGTATTCACCGCTGAAATCCGGGCATGGGAAGGGTACCTCATGGGGGGAAGGGGAGGAAGGTCGCCGTTTTCCCTCACCTGTGATGATAAGCAAACCCAGGGAACAGAGTTACTCAAAATTTTATCAATTTTCCATTCCAGAATGATAGGGATCAGGGCTGTTTCAAGCCCCACCTATGTTCCAGGGACCTGGTAGGAGGGGGGTTTCTCTAGTCCACTGCTGCAGTGAGTAAAAGCCAAGGAGCCATTGCCCAAAGCATCATTCCATATTACATTCAAGGTAAACTCTCGAGGAGCCAGATATAGACATAATTAGCTTAAAAGAATAAGAGGTAGGTAAGCAGACAGTTAGATGACATAGAACTTCAGCCAGAGTTAGGCCTTCCAGGAGCTTTTAGACATTGCCCCAGATCACTGACATGGAAAGGACAGAGTCAATACAATATGAAGAAGGTATTTTTATATAAAGACTTGATTAATAACAGTTGATAACTATCTTATTAATATACTTACAGTTGACTACAATTTAAACTACCATTTTGTATTTAATTGTTACAGAAAAATAAAAGTTTTGCCAGCATAGAAAGAGAAGTAGCAAATCACTTCAAAGTTAGAGAAACATCTTTTTTTTCTTTATTTTTTATAGCTACTATGTGATCTATTTTGAACTAGAAACTTTCTATCAGCAACTATATAAGACACAGTGGTGGGGAGCCATAAATGAAATAGTGAACAATCTGAGACTGAAAAGACTTCCACTGACAGATGCTCAATTACATGAACAATTTAAGAAAAAGCTTGGTTTCAAAAGAGCTATGAAATGCAAGGTATTTCAGTGACTACCACATAATTTAGTATATGAAGTTATGTATTATTGATAAGTATGTGTCTCAAACAGATGTTTATCCTAGGGATAATAATAGGTTAAAGTCTTCAACATGAAATAAAATGCCACATTTTAGTAGCTGAAAGGCTATACAATTCTGGATTATAAATTTCTGGCAGAGTACCTGTTAATGCACTGGATTGTGATTAATCTCAATAACGGCTTATACGTATTGATTGCTTATTTTGTATGTTAGGCAATATTATAAATCAATGAACTCTTTTAAGGTACGACTAGTTCTATTATTATCATTCCTGTTATACAAATGAGAAATTTGAGGTGTAGAGAGGGATCTTTCACAAATCATATAGTAAATGGCAGAGCCAGGCTTCAGTCCTGGGAACTAAAACCTAAAGAGCAGACCTAGCATCATCAAATCTCCACATCTGTTTCAACAAGCCTTGAAGTACAGCTTCTGGAACTGAGCAAAGAAGCTCACCAGCTTCAAAGGTTAGACTGGTATTTACTTTCCATTTATTTGTTTTCACGTCCACAAATTAAAACCTCAAAAATTTGTTAGTTGAATTTTTAAATATTAGTCAGAATGTCTAAAGAGGGTGACATTTTTACCTTTGGATGACAAACTGTATTTCTACAGCTATATATTTCAAATTTCTAGACTTCTGAATTAGGTTTTTCTTAAATCAGAGAAGGAACCCAATGATCTCCATTTGCTTTTAAAATATTTTAGAAAAAAATTAATAATAAAAAATTCCCCAAAATATTTTTTAAATTCTTAATATTTGCTTATAGCTCTAACTACTTTAATCATTATCCAGTAAGAAACTTTCCATGCATGGATCTTGTGAAAATTCTACTTAATTTTAACAGCATTCATGTGATTCTGTTAATACACTTCATGTATTTTTTTCCTTAAACCAAACTTTAGGTGCATTTTGATAAACTGATTCTGGCCTTCTTAATTTTAGAGTATTCCATTTGGTATGAAGTCCGCTGTTGAAAGAGGGTTGTCTGCAGTTTTCCACACATTTAGCCGTAAAACCTCAAGCTCAACAATCAATGTTTCAGATGAAGCAGGTTATACTATTTTTCATCATGCTGCCCTGCACAACAGAGTTTCTATTATATGTCAACTGTGCAATGCTAACTTCAAGGTCAACCAGAGGCGCTTTGTTACGTTCAGCCAAGGTACCATAAAGTTTTTTAACCTAAAATGTTGTTATTTTATTTACCCTTACTCAGCATTAGGAATGCACGTTGATTTTAGAGCAGGTTAAAATTTGGTATTAACTAGAGCAAAGTTGAGGTTTTTGTTTCATTTATCTAAGAAAGGCTTCTTTTAGTTTTCTAAGTATCACTTATAGCTAGCTTATATGGTTTTATATTTGCTCATTGTGTCTCCTTCATTTGAGTATAAGCTCTATAAGAGGGCAAAGATTTAGCCTACTTTATTTGCCGTGGTATACTAATGTCCAGATGAAAGTGTGGCTTAATGGTTGCTCAGAAAATATTTGTTGAGTTAATGCATGGATGGGTGAAGGCAGGATATCATTTGATAAGCACTGGCAAAATTAATATACACTGATATACTATAGAAATTCAGAGAACAGCAATAGATATGACTGTCAGGTCCCAGTAGAACAATCATTCTTTATTCCAGGATCCTCAAACAGGGAATAGTTTCTTTATATTACATATATTTAAATTACATTTAATAACAAAAAATTTCTTTATCATAATAATGTTTAGCATTAATAGCCCCTTTAAGGTTAACCTCATTTAAACTTTAAAAGCTATTTTTGTGATTATTAAATATGCATGGATATTTTATAATCATTGAAATAAATTTAGCTAGAATAAAAACAGAGTTGAAAATGAAATTGGTGGCCCTCCATAACTGGAAAGGAAAATATAGATAAATTGTCAGGGGCAGGTGTAGTGGCTCACTACTGTCTTGCCAACACTTTGGGAGGCTGAGGCTGGAGGATCACTTTAGACTAGGAGTTCAAGATGAGCCCGGGCAGCATAACGAGACCCCCTGCCCATAAAATTAAAAAAAAAAAAAACTTAGCCAGGCTTGGTGGTACACGCCTGTAGTCCTAGCTACTCTGAGAGGCTGAAGCAGGAAGATTGCTTGAGCCCAGGAGTTTGAGGTTACACATATATATGTACATATATATGTAAATTGTCAGGAATGGCCAATGCAACAATATTGGCAATAAGAAGTGGTGATTTTATATTTAATGAAGTCAGCTATCTTAATAAGCTATGTTAAATTTTTACAGACGCCAAAACAAAATGTTTTGCTTTAACCGTATTGAATATCCATAAATTCTGTACTCTATCAGTATGATTAAAATGTTTTGATATTCAGATTCTTCTGTTACTGAAAATATTCAATACATAATACATAATGAACCTAATTAAAATAAGACACAATTCAATCACATTTAAATGCAATAGGTAACACTATTTAAAGATGTATTACTTTAAGCCTTTTTTAGTGTGGAAAAAGTCTTTGATAAATTAAAAGTTTCTCATGCGCCCTCTGACTGCTTGAGTTTCCATTTGCTGAGAATTAGGTAGATTTTGAAGTGTGGAAAACATAGTACTCTACTTCCAATATTATTGCTTAACCAACACAAAATTGTCCCACCTGTGAGTTTTAAGCAGCCATTTGGGGGGCAGAGTTTCCAGGTCTGCTTTTAATGCGTTGTCAGGTTGCATATGACATGCCTGGATGACTTGACCAAAAGTTATTCTCAACACTGTTCGATGTAATCTTGCCAGATACATCTACATAGTCATTTTGTTCTTATTCATATGAGTCTTCTTGAACAACTTAGGAAACTGCTGTATATTAATGATCATACTTCTATGTGCATTCCCTTTTAAAACAGAGTCATCCAAAGTAGAGGTAAAAAAGGAAAGAAATGGTAAGACATAAATAAAGTATTTGGTGCATTTAAAAAGGCTATTGCATATATTAGAACTTTTCTTATAGTATATAATCTCTAAAATACTGTTGCATCAGAATGTTGCATAATGATGTTTTGTATTCATTTTGAAGCATAAATTACTTTCTACTCATAGTTATTTATTGGTATTCCTCTTCAGTTTGGGGAGTTTTCTCTTTTTTTCCTGTGGAATTTGCTGTCACCTTTATTTTTTATAAATTCAGGCCCACAAGTGGTTTCTACAACTTAAAAAAAAAAAAGTTATTATAATATAAATTAGATAGGCTGCCATCTAGTGGCAGTAACAATCTGTGAGGTCTGAGGAATGAGTCGTTTTTGACTGAGGTAGTAGACTTAACCTCAATGTTGGATATGGAGAAAAACAAAATGTTAAGAGGTTATACTTTCTTTGTCTATATTTAAGAGGCTATACCTTCATACTCTGTATAAGAGAATTCAGAAAGGCTTTTGTTTTAAAGAAATTACGTACAACGAACTGAATTGTCAAGGGGGAGGGGATAGTTACTCAAATTGGCCATCTTCCGTTAGAGGAGGAGCACAGCAAACCTGAGATGACCTCAGAGAGGGAGCCCGACCTCATTCTTCCTCCTCCAATCTCCTGCCAGAGCTATCCATTGGCAGATACTGACAAGGAGCCAGAGGACACAGGTTGCTTTTTCTGCAGGTGCAGGAGAGCCAGGGTGGTAAAGGAGGTGAGTGGAACTGGAGCGGGAAAAAAGGAAGCTTACCTGTCCCATCCGCCCTGTAGAAATTTCCAGTTGAGTAACAATAGTGTGCCTCCTACATTATTGCTCTCTCTTTTTCTTTTCTAAGTATCACTTATGGCTACCTTATATAAATTTATTTAGTTAGTTAGTCTCCCTCACTTGAATATAAAGCTCCATAAAGGACAAGGATTTGGTCTGTTTTGTTAGCCACAGTTTCCTAACACCCAGAAAAACGCTTGGCCTTCATAGGTGCTCAGGAAATTTTTCTTGAGGGGTGTACATTTTATTGGAAACCTTAAATACTCTTCAAACAGAACATGTCTTCAATTAAGGCTCTAAGGTATTCTACACAGAAAACCAAAGTTTTTCAGATTAGAGGCAAGGAGAGGGACAGTATAGAGGACAAGTGCTTAGTTTGCCACAAGGACCCCTCATGATTAATGCTCCTCAGCCAGCTTATCAGCTTCCTTCTCCTTTTTAGGGTTTTTTCTCCTATCTTAGCATATTCATTATATTTCTTTTTACATTTTTATTAGTGATTGCCCTAGAGTTTACCACATTCATTTACAATTATTCCAAGTCTACTTTCAGATAACACTAAGCCACTTCACCTGTAGTGTAAGTACCTTATAATAACAACATATTCCTAAGTCTTCCCACCTATCATTCATTTACTCATTTCACTTGTGCATAAGCATATATATGTCATTCATTTCATAAATGTCATTCATTTCACTTATGCATAAGCACATATAAGTATCTATATATTCAAACCCTTTGTTGATAATGTTATTATTTATTTACTTATTTTGAGATGGAATCTTGCTCTGCTGCCGAGGCTGGAGTGCAGTGGTGAGATTTTGGCTCACTGCAACTTCCGCCTCCCGG
The DNA here is from genome assembly GCF_000001405.40 of Homo sapiens. Classification (NCBI taxonomy): domain Eukaryota; kingdom Metazoa; phylum Chordata; class Mammalia; order Primates; family Hominidae; genus Homo; species Homo sapiens. The sequence goes on from NC_000002.12 coordinate 189,699,755, forward strand.
CCCCTGGGTTCAAGCGATTCTCCCACCTCAGCCTCCCATGTAGCTGGGATTACAGATGTGCACCACTACACCGTATATGTTTTGTATTTTTAGTAGAGACAGGGTTTCACCATGTTGGCCAGGCTGGTCTCGAACTCCTAACCTCAAGTGATCCACCCACCTCGGCCTCCCAAAGTGCTGAGATTACAGGCGTGAGCCACTGCACCGGGCCTGATAATGTTATTTTGAACAAACTGTTCTCTGTTAGCTCAATTAAGACAAAGAAACATTTTACTTGACCTTCATTTTTTTTTTTTTATTCTCTGATGCTCGTCCTTCCTTTATGTTATGTAAGTTTCTAACCTATATCATTTTTCTTCTCTTTGGACAACTTCTTTTAACATGCCTTGCAGGGCAGGTCTACTGGTGGCAAACTCCCTCAATTTTTGTTTGAGAAAGTCTTTATTCCTCATTCACTTTTGAAGGATAATCTTACAGGTTACAGAATTCTAGATTAGTGGTTCCATTATCTCAACACTTTATTTTCCTCCGCACACTTCCTGCTTGCATAGTTTCTGAGGAGAACTTGGGTATAATTCTTATTTTTGCTTCTCTATTAGTAATGTGTTTTCCTCTGGCTTCTTTTAGGATTGTTTTCTTTTTAAAATAATTTTTAATTTCTGTGTGTACATAGTAGGCATATATACTTGGAGTACATGAGATTTTTTGATACAGGCATGCAATGCATAATAATCACATCAGAGTAGAGTATCCATCACCTCAAGCATTTATCCTTTATTTGTGTTACATATAATCCAGTTATACTCTTTTAGTTATGTTAAAATATACAATTAATTTTTTTTACTATAGTCACCTTGTTGCGCTAGCAAATACTAGGTCTTATCTATTCTTTCTATTTTGTACCCATTAACTATCCCCACTTCCCCCCACTACCCTTCCCAGCCTCTGGTAACCATCATTATACTCTGTATCTCCATGAGTTCAATTGTTTTAATTTTTAGCTCCCACAAATAAGTGAGAACAGGCAAAGTTTGTCTTTCTTTGCCTGACTTATTTCACTTAACATAATGACCTCCAATTCCATCCATGTTGTTGCAAATGATAGGATCTCATTCTTTTTCATGGCTGAATACTACTCCATTGTGTATCCATCTGAATGGATAAATTTTCTCTATCCACTCATCTATTGATGGACACTTAGGTTGCTTCCAAATCTTTGTTATTGTGAATAGTGCTGCAGTAAATAGGATTATTTTCTTTATCTTTGTTTTTCTGTAATTTGAAAACGATATGCCTCGGTGTAGTTTTTTGTTTGCTTTGACATTTATTTGGCTTGGTGTTCTCTGAGCTTACCAAATCTGTGGTTTGATATGTCACATTAATGTGGAAAAATTATCAATCATTATTGTTTTAAATATTTCTTCTTTTCCTTTCTCTCTTTCTTCTCTTTCTGTTCTTTTTTCCCCCTAGACTTTTTAATTTATTTTTATTTTTATTTTTGAGACAGGGTATTTATTGCCCAGGCTGGAGTGCAGTGGCATGATCTTAGCTTACTCCAGCTTCTACCTCCTGCACTCAAGTGACCCTCTCACCTCAGCCTCCCTAGTAGCTGGGACTACAGGCCCATGCCACCATGGCTGGCTAATTTTGTTTATTTTTTTGTAGAGATGAGGTCTCACTATGTTGCCCAGGCTGGTTTCAGACTCTTGGGCTCAAGGAATCCTCCCACCTTGGCTTCCCAAAGTGCTGGAATTACAGGAGTGAGCCACTGTGCCTTGGCCTGGAGGTTTCTACTGATATATCTTCAGGATTAGAGATTTCTTCCTCTGCTGCGTCTAATCTCTTTATAAGCTCATTAATGGCATTCTTCATTTCTTTTACAGTGTTTTTTATCTGTAGCATGTCATTTTGGTTCTTTCTTAGGATTTCCATCTCTCTGTTTATATTGCCCATCTGTTCTTGCAGGCTACTTTATCCATTAGAACCCTTAGCATATTAATCATAGTTTTAAATTCCCTGTCTGATCATTCCAACATCCCTGCCATGTCTGGTTCCGATGCTTGCTCTGTCTCTTTAAACTGTGTTTTTTGCTTTTTAAATATGCCTTCTAAATTTTTCTTGATAGCTGAACTTGATGTATTGGGTAAAAGAAACTATATTAAATAGGCCTTTAATAATGTGATGGTAAGGTATGGGGGGAGAAGCATTCTATCATCCTATGATTATATCTCAGTCTCTTGGTGAGCCTGCGTCCCTGTACTTTGAACTTCACCAGTGCTTCTCAGTCCTCTCCCCCTGTCCCTTAGGCCAGCCAGGATGGTTAGAGGGGACTGGAGTTGGGCATTTCCCTTGCCTAGGTAGGTTAGGTTCTGATAAAACCCCAGCAGGTTAGGGTCTGATAAAAGCCCAATAGGTTAGGCTCTGGTAAAGTAGTTTCTCTTGAGAGCAGGTCTTGTTAAGAACAGAATGCCCTGGAGTATTTCAAAATGGTTCCTTTTCTCCCTCCCCCTGCTGGAAGTATGAGGGGATTTTTCTTCAATATTCACTGTGAGGACTTGATAAAACTCCTAGAGGTAAAACACATGAAAGCATGGGGCCCCACTATGATGGATCCTTCTAGAGTTTTTAACTCTCATACTTGTCCACATTGAGCTTCTAGCAATTGTGAATTAATGTTAAGGTTTTCTTACTCCAGTAATGATTCCTTAGGAAGTTCCTGCTTGTGAGTTTCTGCTCTACTGAGTTATGATTCTCTGAATCCATTTGTCTCTCCAATTTTGAGGGTATCAGTTTGCCCATTACCTCACTTCTCTGACAAACTTAAGGGCTGTTGATTTCTTTAGGGTTGGTTCAGCTTTTTACTTGTTGTTAGGATGAAATGGTAACTTCTAAGCTCCTTAAATGCCGGACCAGAAACTGGAAGACTAAACAATAATTTTAAATAAATAGATTTGGGTCAGATTTTATAGACTATTAAGGCTATAATATCAAGCTCCCACTATGAAGGCAGGTAGGAGGACACTGGAAGTTTCTGATGGGAGAGATGTAATGAAAACAGTGGTTCACTGAGGAAATATCTTTTAAACTGAGAAATGATTAGGAGTTAGCTAGATCGGTAAGGGAGGAATTGTTTGGGAGAAGGAAGGTGTCAGAGAGCAGGAATAGTCCAGGGTGGACAGATAATTCATCATTCAAATCAAGGAGACTTGAAAGTGAAAGTGCACTATTAATAATTATGCTAGTGCAACAGACATTGACCAGTACTTTCCTGGGTAACCTGGGGCGTGTGATTATGCTACATTTGGGGAGCTACAAGAAAGCCAGAATGAGGAGAACAAGGTATGAATGGTTTTATTGGGAGGTAGATGAAGAAGGTAGTTGTAGCTGGTGCTTCAAGTTAAGTTGGAGCCAGTGGATCCTGTCACTGTTCCTCATAATCAGATGGCCTTGAGAAGCCATTGAACAAGGAGATGAAAAGATCAGATTTATGTTTTGAAAAACTGGGTTGGATAAGGGCAAAACAAGATGGGGATAGCAGTTGGGAGATGATTATGGCTTGGATTAGGATGGTGGTGGTGGTAGAGATGGGTTCTAGAGATTTTTAGACTTGGTGATGGGCTGGTTATGGAGAAGGAAATAAGAGGGAGGTGCCAAAGAGTCTTCCAGATTTGTGGTCTGTACAACTGGCTGGATCATCATATCTCTCACTGATTTAGGAAGCAATAAAAGAGAACCAGGTTTGGAGGGAAGGATAGTAGTTCAATTTTGAATACATTAAGTTTGAGGGGATGTGTGAAGATGCTTTACAAGATGTCAAAGATATAGATCTGCAAATCAGAAGAAATCAGATCTAGAGACATAATCCTTGGAGTCATCAAGTTGTATATGGTAAGCAAAGCCACTAAGAAGAGAAAAAGGCCCAAGATTGAGCCTTAAAGTTCATTTGGATATTAGGACAATGAGAAGGTTCCAAAGGAGACTGCCAAGGTGTAACCAGTAGGGTTGGACAAAAATTGGGAGTGTGATATCACAAAAGCCAAGGGAAGAAATTATTTTAAATAGGAAGAAGTGGTCAATGGTGTAAAATACTACTGAGAAATAAGTAAGATGAGAATTGAAAAATGACAGTTGGACTTTAGTGAGAATTCACTCACTATCATGAGAACAGCATAGGGGAACTGCCCTCATGATCCAGTTACCTCTCTCCCTCAACACTTGGGGATTACAATTCGAGATGAGATTTGGGTGGGGACACAGAGCCAAACCATATCAGGTAGTAAAGGTATGAATTGCTATTATGCTTTGGGAGAATAATTTGGCAATATATATTACCAGTAATAATGATGCTGTTGATAATTATACAGTTTTACCCAGTAACTCTCATTATTGGGAATTTTTTTTTTTTGAGATGGAGTCTCGCTCTATTGCCCAGGCTGGAGTGCAGTGGCATGATCTCTGCTCACTACAACCTCCGCCTCCCAGGCTCAAGCGATTCTCCTGCCTCAGCCTTCCAAATAGTTAGGACTACAGGCACGCACCACCATGACCAGTTAAATTTTTTTTGTATTTTTAGTAGACCCCAGTTTCACCATGTTGGCCAGGCTGGTCTCAAACTCGTGACCTCAGGTGATCCACCCACCTCAGCTTCCCAAAGTGCTGGGATTACAGGCATGAGCCACTGCGCCCAGCCCATTTTTGGGACTCTACCCACATAATAAATATCTATATACAATGGAAAAAATAAAAGAAAAATGCCCATTGGATTTAGTGACATTGAGGCCTTTGTTAACATATATATATATATATATATATATATATATATATATATATATATATATATATAATTTTAATTTCAAAGGATCTTATCTTCAACTAAAAAACATGAGTAAAATGGAAAATAAACAAGAAATAGTTTACCATAAGACTATTTTACACATTGACTTAAATTTTCAAATACTTAACATTTTATTTTATTTTTTTAAATATTTAATATTTTAAATGTTACTCATTTTTCTTTGCTTATAAAAAAATATGGATTTTTAAAAATTTTTGTTTTTTGTTTCCAAGTATGGATTTTTAGTGGTTGGGATTTTTAATCCTGAGTTAAATAAAGGAATATAGGGTTGTCTAAATTTTTTTTTAATGCTTACTTTGGAGATTTTATATCATACAATACTAAGCTCTGTGGCTGGATATCAATAAGGCATTTAGGTTTTTTTTAGGAATGGTAGTGCTGTGATCACTGAAGTAATTGTCCATCCATTCTAGGTCCAACACCTCTACACCTTGCTGCACAGGCTTGCTCATTAGAAACAACAGTTTGTCTACTGTGTTCCAAAGCTGATTACACGCTTTCTGAAAAAAGAGGCTGGATGCCGATTCACTTTGCCGCTTTCTATGACAACGTTTGCATCATTATTGCTCTCTGTAGGAAGGATCCTAGTTTGCTAGAAGCTGAGGCAACAGCTGAGTAAGTCATTAAGCATTTATATCAGGTTGAGGTTGATGTCTAGGCAATAATAAAAAAAAAAGAAGAAAGAAAATTAAATAGAATATAAATTTCTGCTTTTCATGGCTTGCCACACACACTGCCACTAAAAGGTGATAGGTGTGGGTGATCTGAAAGGTATGTAAGGCTTACTCTGCTATCCTTTCTACTCACTGTCTCGTCCTAACCACTTATCATTAGAATTTATAAAGGCGAGAGCTTCTATTAACCTATGCATGTTTTCTGGAAGAATAAGGACTAATCCCCAGGGAGTTTTTCCTAACCTTGTTCCAGTAGTATGGTTCTGCAGATTAACTTTTCATGTTAAATGCTTTGCTTAGTGCCCTGGAAGAAGCCTGAGACTAGGGAGGAGAGGGTTGCTCCAAACTGGATCCTACACAACCAGGAGGCAGCCCTAGGACTTCAGATCAAAGCGGATGGACTTTGGATTACAGGAGAAATATTTAGTGGTATCTGGAAAAGAAATACATTAAAAAGAATAAAATAACTTTGAAATTAAAAAATCCCAACAATCTTTTGTTTCACATTTTAGCTGCGGATCAGTATTTAGGGTAAAGGTGTAACTTCTCCTGAAGGTACATCCTTGGCTAGAAATCTAAAGGCCAGGTCATTACTTTGGATCTCTGAACCTGATTTAGGCATAGTTTCATTCAAGTTTTTCTAGGTCTTTGAGTAACCTTTCCACTATTATTCAGTGGTCTAGGGCTAGTATAATGATGGCTTGACAGTATGAGGGACACCAGCTTCCTCTTGTTGCTCTTAACATGTGGAAGCCACCAGAGGAAGCTGGTGTCCCTCAGATGGCAACTCCTGCTTTCACCATCATGTCTAGCCATGAGAAGAAAGAAGAGGCCAGGTGCGGTGGCTCAAACCTGTAATTCCAGCACTTTGGGAGGCCAAGGCAGGCAGATCACTTGAGGTCAGGAGTTCGAGACCAGCCTGGGCAAAACCCCGTCTCTACTAAAAATACAAAAATTAACGGGTATGGTGGTCCATGCCTGTAATACTAGCTACTCAAGAGGCTGAGGCATGAGAATCACTTGAACCGAGAGGCAGAGCCTGCAATGAGCTGAGGTCACACCACTGCACTACAGCCTGGGTGACAGAGTGAGACTCCATCTCAACAACAACAACAACAACAACAACAACAAAAGAAGCTGGGAAATGTAATATTGCACTGGATAGCCAAACAAAATATCTTTACTATCTAAAAATCAGATAATGGGTTTTCGAGCAAAACTGTTAGTTTCTGCCACAATGAGGAAGCTGGGATTTGAAAACTGGACATGAAGTAATGGGTGTAATTAATTCCTGAGCCTCAGTTACATGATTTGCAAAATGGCTGATGATATTTGCCTTGCTTTTTCCTTCACTTACGGAGTAGTTGTAAGGCTTAGATAGGATAGTGTATTGTAAGAACTTTGTGCGTTATCATCCTCCAAACAAATTATAAGGCATGATAATTAAGTTGGGGAGGTGGGTAGGGTCCCATAGTAAGGATGGCATGGCAAAGGAGGCAAATCCATTTACATGTAGAATACGGAAGATGAGAATTCCTAAGAATAGAAGGTGGTGGTGTAAGTCAGACTACCTCCAATTGCAGCTTGAATAGTTTTACAAAAAGTAAATTTGACACTCTATGCGTGTTTAATTGTTATGTTTCTTAATTTTTAGGAATCAGTGCACTCCACTGTTACTTGCTGCCACTTCAGGAGCACTGGACACTATTCAATACCTGTTTTCTATCGGTGCTAACTGGAGAAAAACAGATATTAAAGGAAATAATATAATCCATTTATCAGTGTTAACCTTTCATACAGAGGTTCTCAAATATATAATAAAATTAAATATTCCTGAACTCCCAGTGTGGAAAACTTTGGTAGGTGAGTATAATCTCTTTATAAATACATGTTCTGATTATTATTCAGTTTAGTTATTGATACTCTGAAAGAGAGAAAATAAAATAATACATGCATTATATTTTAAATATTTAAAAATCATGAAATAAACATTTTATTAAGACCAGAAATAAAAATATGAATAATAAAGAGCTGCATTTTTGTGTGTGCAAACGTAGTTTTATTTCCATGTTAAAATCAAAGATCTGTGACCCAGACTATATTTTACACAATTATATTTATTTTTATTTTCCAACTTTCTCCAGAAGTTCAAACATCCTCTCCTTCATCAAAAAAAAAAAAAAAAAAAAAAAGGAAAGAGGAAATTTTAAGTGAAAAATATTCCCTCCAACTTATTCCTTGCCTCCTAATTTTAGAGACAAATTTAGCAAAATCTTTTGTTATATTTTGATGAATGTTTTGTGAAGAATTCTGCTGGAGATTTTATTTTCTTTCTTTTTTTTTTTTTTCAAATTTGCATTCAGTCTAGCCAAAATAAGGGTAAGGGTCACTAGGCCAATTATATGGACATGTCTAATTTTACTCCCTTTCAAGGCCCTCACTAAAATTACATGGAGATTAAACATTATTAATACCACCAGCAGAAGACAAGCATTCAAGGGAAAACAAGAAAGGATACAACAGCAATAAACTATTGGAAGATGGAAACAGATAGGCAAGACTTAGGACTTAGCCAGCCAGAGAAAATCATTCCAAGCCAACAGTGGGAAAGCTGAGAACCCCTTGGACTCATACCATAAATCCTCAAAAGGCTTGAGAACTGACAGTGCCCGTTAGGAGTGCTCTCCTCAAAGCCTAACTAGGAAAGACCTAAAGATGCCAAGGCTAGAATTCTCCTTCAGAAATAGAAAGGAGAGGGACCCGGGAAACTGGGAGCCTTACCCAAGCGTAAAGCATAGGGAATTTCAAGGAAGACAGCAAGGGGAAGTTCCAGAATGGAACTGTGCATCCAGTCTAGAGGAAAAAAATGGGAGGAATTATCAGTAGGTACAAGGAAAACTAAGCAGATGAAATACAGCAGTCTTCCCTTCTCAGCAGTTTATCTTTCTGTGGTTTTGGTTACCTGCAGTACAGTACAAAAAGATATTTTGAGAGAGAGGCATAGAGCACATTCACATAACTTCTATTATTATATATTGTTGTAATCTATTATTAGTTATTGTTAAGCTATTACTATGCCTACAGACTTTATTATAGATATGTATGTTCAGACAGTCTGGTTTGACTTAAGGTTTTTGATTTTACAATTGTGCAAAAGTGATACACATTCGGAAGAAACTGTACTTACAGTCCTCATACAACCATTTCTGTTTTTCACTTTTAGTACAGTATTCAATAAATTACATGAGTTATTAAACACTCTATTATAAAATGGGCTTTGTGTTAGATCATTTTGCCAAACTGTGGGCTAATGTAGTTATTCCAAGCACATTTAAGTTAAGCTAGGCTAAGCTATGCTGTTTGGCAGATTAGGTTTACAAATGCATTTTCAATTTACAATATTTCAACTTACAATGGGTTTATCAGGAAATAACCAAATCGTAAGTTGAGAAGCATCTGTCTAGGAAAAAAAATAGTATATACAGGGTTCAGTACTATCCTCCGTTTCAGGCATCCACTGGGGGTTTTGGAATGTATCCTCTGCAGATAAGGGGAGACTATTGTAAAATAAGGAAATTATTAGGCCAAGGCGGGCAGATCACGAGGTCAAGAGATAGAGACCATCCTGGCCAACATGGTGAAAACCTGTCTCTACTAAAAATACAAAAATCAGCTGGGCGTGGTGGCACGTGCCTGTAGTCCTAGCTCCTCGGGAGGCTGAGGCAGGAGAATCACTTGAACCTGGGAGGCAAAGTTGCAGTGAACCGAGATCGTGCCACTACAGTCCATCCTGTGACAGAGCGAGACTTCGTCTCAAAATAAATAAATAAATAAATAAATAAGGAAATTACCTGTTTAAAAAAAAAGAGACACGACCATAGTACATTACAGTGCTCAGCTGTGAATAATAATTGTATAGACATCATCATGTATTTAACTAAAAGCTATAAATATGGAGAAAGGGAAGTAAGAGGAAAGAGCAACGTTGAAAGAGTTAATTTCCCATTTTTCATAACATGAAGTCAATGAAGTCTAAATCAATGTAGCAAAACACAGCAGTGTATATAAATATGTAGAAATAAGGAGATTTATAAATCATAGAAGGTTATAGGGAAGAGTCCAAACCGATTGTATATGGAGTGATGAACACAGAAAAGTGGGGAGGGTGGGGCCCAGGAACCACTAGGTTTTGTTATAGGCCATTTAATAACATTTAACTCTGAATCATGCACATGCATTACTTTGATAAAAATAAAAAACTAAAGCCAAAAAAGAGAAATGAATTGGAGAATGAGAATGATTTTTTTCCAACAACTCATTTTAGGATGGGATAAAATATGTTTAAGATTTTCAACCCCATTCTACTGATTCAAGAAGTCTGGCTCAATACCTGACGTTGGAATTTACTAGGTACTGGGAACATATCCCAGATACTGGATATGAGCCCCAAGAGATATTGGAAAGTGTTTTCAGTGTTTATTTGCATGCATTTGTATCATTTCGTTGTCTTGTTAGGAGGAAGTGAGAGGACCATCCTGTTACTTTTACTAAACTAAATCATTGTAAAAACCTACCTTAATAGTAGGAAGCTCTGCCCCCTAACAGGAATGGCCTAAAAGCGCATAAAAATTCACCAGGGCTGCTGCTTCCTACAGCCATTGTGGGGGAAGTCCTGACAATGACACAAACAGAACAAACAACAGTGAGCATCTGGCTACTGCTGTTTTGCCTTGGGCCCTGCAATAGCTCTCCCTCCTCACACTGCCCATTTCCACTACGCATAAAAGAAAAATCAGTTTATTAGAGGTCTCAGGATTAGTTCTTGGAGTAGAAGCTGAATTTTAAAAGAGGATGTCACGGAATGATATAGCCAAGCTAGATTCAGGACAGATTTGGTAATAGAGTGGCTGGCTAAAGAGATGAGGAAAAGATAGTCTGTGTGTTTTTTCCTGTGTGTATATTTGTAATATCCTCTGTCTGTAGTACAAGTTCATCCAAGATTTTATTTAAAGTATCTTTTTTATACTCGGGAAATGTATAAAGCCTCATACCTAATTTAATGGATATGAAATTTTTATTGACAATACTGTGGATTACTTTGCTATTCTTGAAAACCCACATTCAAATTTTATTTAACAATTAATTTTAGCCGAGGGAGTTGTATTATTTTCCAACGGAATTTGAAGTATGTGACCAGCCAATCTAAGTCATTCAGACCAAAGATTAAAAATTTCAGCCAGGCACAGTGGCTCATGCCTGTAATCCTACCACTTTGGGAGGCCAAGGCAAGTGGATTGCTTGAACCCAAGAGTTTGAGACCAGCCTGGGCCACATGGCAAAATGCTGTCTCTGCAAAAAAAATACAAAAATTAGCCAGGTGTGGTGGTGCATACCTGTAGTCTCAGCTACTAGGAAGGCTGAGATGGTAGATTACCTGAGCCCAGGGAGATCCAGGCTGCAGTGAGCTGTGATCATGCCATTGCACTCCAGCCTGGGCAACAGACTGAGACCCCATTTCAAAAAAAGAAATTTCAGGATTTTTTCACTAATTATATAGACTATAAACCTCAAAGATCACGGGCTGATGGAATTTGTCAGTACTTCATAGGGAGCTGTGCACAGAGGGGAATTTAATGCATGCAGTTGGTGGTAATAGTGGTGACCTCAACTGTTGGTTTTATTTAGCTGGTACAAAAAACAGAATCAAGCATTTCATTGCCTTTTGTGCAAATTACAGCTGTGTTTTTCTGTTGAACACTTAACAGAAATGTTACAGTGTGAAAGCTATAAACGAAGGATGATGGCCGTCATGTCCTTGGAAGTAATTTGCTTAGCAAATGATCAATACTGGAGATGTATTTTGGATGCAGGTGATGCAAACTCTATTAATAACTTTTTATGCTATTTTATGTAGAGCTATATTTTATTCATCAGTCATTTTTAAATATATTTTTAATTGTAAAGGAAAAATTTTAGTTGATTTTCAGTTTCTTTTGCTAAGATCACTTCATTTACCTGTCAACCATATATTTTATTTTCCACATGGAAGCTGCACAGGATCAAAAAACTTTATCAATTCTATTTGTCTAAAAGCTCGAAAAATTAAAAAATAATGTTAAGTGTTAATTTAAATGTTAAATTACTTTACCACACTACTTTTATACTTACTTTCATTTAGAAATTATTCCTATTCTGTAATTTGCACAATTTACTTTTGAAATTAAAAATAGCAGATTTAGTGTCAGGTCTGGTTTGTAACTACCTCTGCATTTAGAACTTAAGAAAATTGCTTAACCTCTCTTAGTTTACTTTACTCACTAATAAAATGGCTCTACTGGGGTCCGTTCCAAGATGGCCAAATAGGAACAGCTCCGGTCTGCAGCTCCCAGCATGATCGGCGCAGAAGACAGGTGATTTCTGCATTTCCAACTGAGGTACCTGCTTCATCTCCCTGGGACTGATTGGACAGTGGGTACAGCCCATGGGTGAGCTGAAGCAGTGCAGGGCATCGCCTCACCTGGGAAGCACAAGGGGTTGGGGGATTTCCCTTTCCTTGCCAAGGGAAGCTGTGACAGACTGTACCTGAAAAAACGGGGCATTCATGCCCAAACACTGTGCTTTTCCAATGATCTTAGCAAATGGCACACCAGGAGATTATATCTCGTGCCTGGCTCGGCAGGTCCCACACTGATGGAGCCTTGCTCACTGCTAGCGCGGCAGTCTGAGATTGACCTGCGAGGCAGCAGCCTGGCAGGGGGAGGGGCATTCGCCACTGCTGAGGCTTGAGTAGGTAAACAAAGCGGCCGGGAAGCTTGAACTGGGCAGAGCCCACTGCAGCTCACCAAGGCCTGCTGTCTCTGTAGACCCCACATCTGGGGGGGCAGGGCATAGCTGAACAAAAGGCAGCAGAAAATTCTGCAGACTTAAATGTCCCTGTCTGACAGCTCTGAAGAGAGCAGTGGTTCTCCCAGCATGGTGTTTGAGTTCTGAGAATGGACAGACTGCCTCCTCAAGTGGGTCCCTCACCCCCTTGTAGCCTAACTGGGAGACACCTCCCAGTAGGGGCCGACTGACACCTCATACAGGCGGGTGCCCCTCTGGGACGAAGCTTCCAAAGGAATGATCAGGCAGCAATATTTGCTGTTCTGCAATTTTTGCTGTTCTGCAGCCACTGCTGGTGATTTCTAGGCAAACAGGGTCTGGAGTGGACCTCCAGCAAACTCCGACAGACCTGCAGCTGAGGGACCTGACTGTTAGAAGGAAAACTAACAAACAGAAAGGAATAGCATCAACATCAACAAAAAGGACATCTACACCAAAACCCCATTTGTAGGTCACCAACATCAAAGACCAAAGGTAGATAAAACCACAAAGATGGGGAGAAACCAGAGCAGAAAAGCTGAAAATTCTAAAAACCAGAGCACCTCTTCTCCTCCAAAGGATTACAGCTCCTTGCCAGCAACAGAACAAAGCTGGACAGAGAATGACTTTGATGAGTTGACAGAAGTAGGCTTCAGAAGGTCGGTAATAACAAACTTCTCTGAGCTAAAGCAGGATATTCGAACCCATCACAAGGAAGCTAAAACCCTTGAAAAAAGATTAAATGAATGGCTAACTAGAATAAACAGTGTAGAGAAGACCTTAAATGACCAGATGGAGCTGAAAACCATGGCACGAGAACCATGTGAGGCATGCAAAATCTTCAATAGCCGATTCGATCAAGTGGAAGAAAGGGTATCAGTGATTGAAGATCAAATTAATGAAATAAAGCGAGAAGTTTAGAGAAAAAAGAGTAAGAAGAAATGAACAAAGCCTCCAAGAAATATGGGACTATATGAAAAGACCAAATCTACGTCTGATTAGTGTACCTGAAAGTGAAGGGGAGAATGGAACCAAGTTGGAAAACATTCTTCAGGATATTATCCAGGAGAACTTCCCCAACCTAGCAAGGAAGGCCAACATTCAATTCAGGAAATACAGAGAACACCACAAAGATACTCCTCGAGAAGAGCAACCCCAAGACACATAATTGTCAGATTCACCAAGGTTGAAATGAAAGAAAAAATGTTAAGGGCAGCCAGAGAGAAAGGTCAGGTTACCCACAAAGGGAAGCTTATCAGACTAACAGTGGATCTCTTGGTAGAAAATCTACAAGCCAGAAGAGAGTGGGGGCCAATATTCAGCATTCTTAAAGAATTTTCAACCCAGAATTTCATATCCAGCCAAACTAAGCTTCATAAGTGAAGGAGAAATAAAATCCTTTACAGACAAGCAAATCCTGAGAGATTTTGTCTCCACCAGGCCTGCCTTACAAGAGCTCCTGAAGAAAGCACTAAACATGCAAAGGAACAACCAGTACCAGCCACTGCAAAAACATGCTGAATTGTAAAGACCATCGATGCTAGGAAGAAACTGCATCAACTAATGGGCAAAATAACCAGCTAACATCATATGACAGGATAAAATTCACACACAACAATATTAACTTTAAATGTAAATGGGCTAAATGCCCCAATTAAAAGACACGGACTGGCAAATTGGATAAAGAGTCAAGACCCATCAGTATGCTGTATTCAGGAGACCCATCTCATGTGCAGAGACACACATAGGCTCAAAATAAAGGGATGGAGGAAGATCTACCAAGCAAATGGAAAGCAAAAAAATAGCAGGGGTTGCCATCCTAGTCTCTGATAAAACAGACTTTCAACTAACAAATATTAAAAAGGAGACAAGGGCATTATATAATGGTAAAGGGATCAATGCAACAAGAAGAACTAACTATCCTAAATATATATGCACCCAATACTGGAGCACCTAGATTCATAAAGCAAGTTCTTAGAGACTTACAAAGAGACTTAGACTCCCACACAATAATAGTGGGAGACTTTAACACCCCACTGTCAATATTAGATAGATCAACAAGACAGAAAATTAACAAGGATATTCAGGACCTGAACTCAGCTCTGGACCAAACAGACCTAATAGACATCCACAGAACTCTCCACCCAAATCAACAGAATATACATTCTTCTCAGCACCACATCACACTTACTCCAAACCTGACCACATAGTTGGAAGTAAAGCACTCCTCAGCAAATGTAAAAGAAAAGAAATCACAACAAACTGTCTCTCAGACCACAGTGCAATCAAAATAGAACTCAGGATTAAGAAACTCACTCAAAACCACACAACTACATGGAAACTGAACAACCTGCTCCTGAATGACTACTGGGTAAATAACGAAATGAAGGCAGAAATAAAGATGTTCTTTGAAACCGATGAGAACAAAGACACAATGTACCAGAATCTCTGGGACACATTTAAAGCACTGCGTAGAGGGAAATTTATAGCACTAAATGCCCACAAGACAAAGCAGGAATTGGCCAGGCATGGTGGCTCATGCCTGTAATCCCAGAACCTTGGGAGGCTGAGGCGGGCGGATCACGAGGTCAGGAGATGGAGACAATCCTGGCTAACACAGTGAAACCCTGTCTCTACTAAAAGTACAAAAAATTAGCCAGGCGTGGTGGTGGGTACCTGTAGTCCCGGCTACTTGGGAGGCTGAGACAGGACAATGGCATGAACCCCGGAGGCGGAGCTTGCAGTGAGCCAAAATCATGCCACTGCACTCCAGCCTGGGCGACAGAGTGAGACTCCATCTCACAAAAAAAAAAAAAAAAAAAAGAGAGAGAGAGAGAAACCAGGAAAGATCTAAAATTGACACCCTAACATCACAATTAAAAGAACTAGAGAAGCAAGAGCAAACACATTCAAAAGCTAACAGAAGGTGAGAAATAACTAAGATCAGAGCAGAACTGAAGGAGATAGAGACACAAAAAACCTTCAAAATATCAATGAATCCAGGAGCTGGTTTGTTGAAAAGATCAACAAAACTGATAGACCACTAGCAAGACTAATAAAGAAGAAAAGAGAGAAGAATCACATAGACACAAGAAAAAATGATAAAGGGGATATCACTACCAACCCCACAGAAATACATACTACCATCAGAGAATACTATAAACACCCCTACACAAATAAACCAGAAAATCTAGAAGAAATGGATAAATTCCTGGACACATACAACCTCCCAAGAGTAAACCAGGAAAAAGTTGAATCTCTGAATAGACCATTAACAGGCTCTGAAATTGAGGCAATACTTAATAGCCTACCAACCAAAAGAAGTTCAGGACCAGACGGATTCACAGCCGAATTCTACCAGAGATACAAAGAGGAGCTGGTACCATTCCTTCTGAAACTATTTCAGTCAATAGAAAAAGAGGGAATCCTTCCTAACTCATTTTATGAGGCCAGCATCATCCTGATACCAAAGCCTGGCAGAGACAAAACAAAAAAGAGAATTTTAGACCAATATCCCTGATGAACATCGATGCAAAAATCCTCAGTAAAAAACTGGCAAACTGAATCCAGCAGCACATTAAAAATCTTATCCACCATGATCAAGTCGGTTTCATCCCTGGGATGCAAGGCTGGTTCAACATACGCAAATCAATAAATGTAATCCATCACATAAACAGAACCAACGACAAAAACCACATGATTATCTCAATAGATGCAGAAAAGGCCTTTGACAAAATTCAACAGCCCTTCATGCTAAAAACTCTCAATAAACTAGGTATTGATGGAATGTATCTCAAAATAATAAGAGCTATTTATGACAAAGCCACAGCCAATATCGTACTGAATGGGCAAAAATTGGAAGCATTCCCTCTGAAAACTGGCACAAGACAGGGATGCCCTCTCTCACCACTCCTATTCAACATAGTGTTGGAAGTTCTGGCCAGGGCAATCAGGCAAGAGAAAGAAATAAAGGGTATTCAATTAGGAAAAGAGGAAGTCAAATTGTCCCTGTTTGCAGATGACATGATTGTATATTTAGAAAACCCCACTGTCTCAGTCCAAAATCTCCTTAAGCTGATAAGCAACTTCAGCAAACTCTCAGGATACAAAATCAATGTGCAAAAATCACAAGCATTCTTATACACCAATAATAGACAAACAGAGAGCCAAATCATGAGTGAACTCCCATTCACAATTGCTACAAAGAGAGTAAAATACCTAGGAATCCAACTTACAGGGGATGTGAAGGACCTCTTCAAGGAGAACTACAAACCACTGCTCAATGAAATAAAAGAGGACACAAACAAATGGAAGAACATTCCATGCTCATGGATAGGAAGAATCAATATTGTGAAAATGGCCATACTGCCCAAGGTAATTTATAGATTCAGTGCCATCCCCATCAAGCTACCAATGACTTTCTTCACAGAATTGGTAAAAACTACTTTAAAGTTCATATGGAACCAAAAAAGAGCCCACATTGCCAAGACAATCCTAGGCAAAAAGAACAAAGCTGGAGCAATCACGCTACCTGACTCCAAACTATACTACAAAGCTACAGTAACCAAAACAACATGGTACTGGTACCAAAACAGAGATATAGACCAATGGAACAGAACAGAGCCCTCAGAAATAACACCACACATCTACAACCATCTGATCTTTGACAAACCTGACAAAAACAAGCAATGGGGAAAGGATTCCCTATTTAATAAATGGTGCTGGGAAAACTGGCTAGCCATATGTAGAAAGCTGAAACTGGATCCCTTCCTTATACCTTATATAAAAATTAATTCAAGATGGATTAAAGACTTAAATGTTAGACCTGAAACCATAAAAACCCTAGAAGAAAACCTAGGCAATACCATTCAGGACATAGGCATGGGCAAGGACTTCATGACTAAAACACCAAAAGCAATGGCAACAAAAGCCAAAATAGACAAATGGGATCTAATTAACCTAAAGAGCTTCTGCACAGCAAAAGAAACTACCATCAGATTGAACAGGCAGCCTACAGAATGGGAGAAAATTTTTGCAATCTACCCATCTGACAAAGGGCTAATATCCAGAATCTACGGAGAACTTAAACAAATTTACAAGAAAAAAACAACCCCATCAAAAAGCGGGCAAAGGATATGAACAGACACTTCTCAAAAGAAGACATTTATGTAGACAACAGACACATGAAAAAACGCTCATCATCACTGGCCATCAGAGAAATGCAAATCAAAACAACAATGATATACCATCTCACACCAGTTAGAATGGAGATCATTAAAAAGTCAGGAAACAACAGATGCTGGAGAGGATGTGGAGAAATAGGAATGCTTTTACACTATTGGTGGGAGTGTAAACTAGTTCAACCATTGTGGAAGACAGTGTGGCGATTCCTCAAGGATCTAGAACTAGAAATACCATTTGACCCAGCAATCCCATTACTGGGTATATACCCAAAGCATTATAAATCATGCTGCTATAAAGACACATGCACACATAGGTTTACTGTGGCACTATTCACAATAGCAAAAACTTGGAACCAACCCAAATGTCCATCAATGATAGACTGGATTAAGAAAATGTGGCACAGATACACCATGGAATACTATGCAGCCATAAAAAAGGATGAGTTCATGTCCTTTGCAGGGACATGGATGACGCTGGAAACCATCATTCTGAGCAAACTATCACAAGGACAGAAAAGCAAACACCACATGTTCTCACTCATAGGTGGGAATTGAACAATGAGAACACTTGGACACAGGGTGGGAAACATCACATACCAGGGCCTGTTCTGGGGTGGGAGGCAGGGGGAGGGACAGCATTAGGAGAAACACCTAGTGTACATGACAAGTTAATGGGTGCAGCAAACCAACATAGCACATGTATACCTATGTAACAAACCTGCACATTGTGCACGTGTACCCTAGAACTTAAAGTATAATAAAAAAATAAAATAGTTCTACCCCATAGGATTGTTTTGAGAATAGCACTGTCCAGAATAACTTTCTGAAATGATGAAAATGTTCAGTTGGGCATGGTGGCCCATGCCTGTAATGCCAGCACTTTGGGAGGCCAAGGCAGGAGGATAGCTTGAGCCCAGGAGTTTGAGACCAGTCTGGGCAGCATAGTGAGACCCTGTCTTTGTCTTTATCTATATCTATCTATATATCTATCTGTCTGTCTATCTGTCTGTCTAGCTATCTATCTACACACAGACACACACACACACACACACACACACACACACACAAAGAAAATGTTCTATTTGAAAATGTCCAATATGGTAGCCACTACCCTAATGTGGTTATTGAACTCACGTGAGATGCTCCAGAAATATTAAATGAATAAATTAAAATTTGATTGATCATAGATAGTCCCCTGATATGTTCCTGAAAACCTGTACAAAAAGCTCTGTATCCAAAAGGTGAACTTAAAGAAGTCATGAGGGATGTTTCATTTCAGACAGCTAAATAAATAAGGTCTTTATTATATCTATTATATTTTCTGTCATTTTGTGCATGTCCTATAAGGTGCTTTCTATTTATCATTAAATTGATGTAAGTATAACAGGCATCCACCTGAAGCCAGATTTTCTATTTTCTTTTTTTTTTTTTTTGAGACGGAGTCTCGCTCTGTCGCCCAGGCCGGACTGCGGACTGCAGTGGCGCAATCTCGGCTCACTGCAAGCTCCGCTTCCCGGGTTCACGCCATTCTCCTGCCTCAGCCTCCCGAGTAGCTGGGACTACAGGCGCCCGCCACCGCGCCCGGCTAATTTTTTGTATTTTTAGTAGAGACGGGGTTTCACCTTGTTAGCCAGGATGGTCTCGATCTCCTGACCTCATGATCCACCCGCCTCGGCCTCCCAAAGTGCTGGGATTACAGGCGTGAGCCACCGCGCCCGGCCTATTTTCACTATGGCTAATTTCTATCTTTGAGCCTATTGTAATTAATGAGACTAATGTTGCATTTTACTAGATTCAGCACTTTTTGTTTTTCACATCCTTGTATAAAATAAGGATAAAATATAATAAAATACTCAAATAATTGCATAAGCAGTGCCATGCGAAGTTGATGCAATAACCAAAACTGACCTGTACCATATGGTAGCACAAAGAATTTATTTATCAATAATCTGAAGCCAGAATTCAGTGTTTCAATGGTGGCTTAAGGTTACTAATATAAAATGTTTGATCATGCTCTGTGAAAATCAAATGTATGAACAATGAGAGCTGCCCATACCAAAGACAAGATGGAAGGTTTCTTCATGTAGTTTCAAATGATAATTTTATAAATATTTTATAGAATTATTTCATAATTATTTATATTGCAATGCCCATAAATATTATTTAAATATTGCCATGATAAATTGACTACAAATGGTTACCAATAATTCATGCTTTTTAATTTTTTTGCTCTTGTCATTACAGGCACCATTCCTGCCTTAATCAATCTATTAAAAAGTTCCAAAATAAAACTGCAGTGCAAAACTGTTGGGTTATTGAGTAATATCTCAACCCACAAAAGTGCAGTGCATGCTTTGGTAGAAGCGGGAGGCATTCCATCTCTAATCAACCTACTGGTTTGTGATGAGCCTGAAGTACACTCTCGCTGTGCTGTCATTCTATATGATATTGCTCAATGTGAAAACAAGGATGTTATTGCCAAATATGTAAGTTCCTTTCATATACAATTATTTTTGACTGACAATAACTCCCTCATATAGAAGTTACAAAAATAGAAACCCACGTTACTATTCAGTGACAAAACTCTCAGGGAAGAATACAGCAGGGAAAAGGGAGAGAGGGTGCCTGATGAAAACTCCACCGAAAAGTTGGCATTTGAGTACGGTCCAGAAGTAGATGAGGGAGTATTTTCATAAGTTAGTGTATGTTGATTGCTTCTTGCTGTTTACCAATTACAGTGCAGTGTCTACAATGGCAAATATTTCCTAATGGGGCAATATATTCAATTAATCTCATTTGCTTCACTTAGATAGCTATATTAACTGTCACATAATGTATCTTATCAGTAGACACATTTGTTTGTGGCACTCATTCTCTCCCAAATAGTTATTTACAGCAAGAAAGATTACAGACTTGTGTTTCTTTTTTTCTTTTTTTTTTTGAAACAGTCTTGCTCTGTCACCAGGCTGGGGTGCAATGGTGCAATCTTGGCTCACTGCAACCTCTGCCTCGTGGGTTCAAGTGATTCTCCTGCCTCATCCTCCCGAGTAGCTGGAACTACAGGCACGTGCCACCACGCCTGGCTAATTTTTGTATTTTTAGTAGAGATGGGGTTTCACCATGTTGGCCAGGATGGTCTTGATCTCTTGACCTTGTGATCCGCCTGCCTCGGCCTCCCAAAGTGCTGGGATTACAGGCGTGAGCCACCACTTCCGGCCAACTTGTATTTCTAAATAAAGATTACATTTATCTTAAACAAATTCAAATGTAATTTTTTTTGTTTATTTTTAGAATGGAATCCCAAGCCTGATAAATCTATTGAACTTAAACATAGAAAATGTGCTAGTAAATGTAATGAACTGTATACGGGTATTGTGTATAGGAAATGAAAACAATCAAAGAGCTGTGAGAGAACATAAAGGCCTCCCATATCTTATCAGATTTCTGAGTTCTGATTCAGGTGAGCTTCTATCTCTGTATTATTTTATAATGACCAGATATATTAAGTGAAGCAAACATGGGATTGGACTTGTCCTATATGAATAGATGTCCCGAATCTGTGTTTGAATAGATCTAAACGTGTAATATAACCTTAATATCCAAAACACAATTTATTTATTTTTCCTAACTGCTAAACTATGTAGATACAGTTAAATTTATTTATATTTTATTTTTCTCAAGACAGAGTCTCAGTCTGTCGCCCAGGCTGGAGTGCAGTGGTGTGATGTCAGCTCACTGCAAACTCCGCCTCCCGGGTTCAAGAAATTCTTCTGTCTTAGCCTCCTGAGTAGCTGGGATTACAGGCATGCACCACCACGTCCGGCTAATTTTTGTATTTTTAGTAGAGACAGGGTTTCACCATGTTGGCCAGGCTGGTCTCAAACTCCTGACCTTGTGATCTACCCGACTCAGCCTCCCAAAGTGTTGGGATTACAAGTATGAGCCACCATGCCTGGCAGATAATGATTAAATTTAAACTGCTGGGCTTATAAAAATAATTGACTCTCAAAGGCATATTCTTTAAAAAAGTTTAATTAGACATGTTTATCAATGGAAATATTGGCATGGATGATTTTAAAAATACATATAATATGCCTAGGAGAGTATATGCTACCTTGGGTGAATAGTACATATTGATAGTAACATATTGATCATGGGTAGCTATTTTGCAAGTGACAACAAGGGCTTCAGATTTGTTAGATATTTGACGTCAAAATTCAAGGTTATCAGGAAGCATTAGGCCAATTATCAGTTCCTAAAGTGCGTCTCAGTACCAAGAACATCAAAAGCCATGAGGCAGTTTCAGCAGCTACTGCAAATGGTCTCCTGGGTTCTGTAAGAATAATTTCATTCCAGTTAGCACATTTAACAGGTAAGTTCCAAATATACGGTTTTCCCCAAATTTGGGGGAAGAGAAAATTGAGAAGAACTTGCTCATTTTCTTCCTGCTCAGTATATCATTTGGCTTCCTCTTCCAGTTCACCAGGAATAAATACAAAATAAATATATTGGTTAAATGTAAGTCAAGATTAAGAATAAGGGGAATGTAGAAGCGATCTTTCCTTTACTTTAAAACTTCAAATTTAAGCAAGTGTCACTTTCTAAGAACCTCTATCGTGTGGTGACATCATTTGAAAGCCCTCTTCCTTCATAACAAATTCCTTATGCTCTCTCTGTTCAAGTGTTCTTCCATCGCTTACTATGCTCTACTTTATCCTTTAAGAATAGCATCAGAGGCCAGGCGTGGTGGCTCACACCTATAATCCCAGTATTTTGGGAGGCTGAGGCAGATCACCTGAGGTCAGGAGTTCGAGACTGCCTGGCCAACATGGTGAAACCCTATCTCTACTAAAATACAAAAATCAGCTGGGTGTGGTGGTGCACGCCTGTAATCCCAGCTACTTGGGAGGCTGAGGCAGGAGAATTGCCTGAACCCGAGAGGCGGAGGTTGCAGTGGGCTGAGATTGTACCACTGCACTCTAGCCTGGGCAACAGAGCGAGACTCCATCTCAAAAAAAAAAAGGAAAAAAGAATAGCATTAGAGAGGGTCAGCTTTTATGTATATTTTAAACATATAATTTTTACTCATTTATAGTCATTCTTTATCTCTTTTTTTGTTTGTGTTTTATCTAACTAATTAAAATTTAAAGATAGGGACTAGGTCTTCTCTTTCTGTTTTCCTTTTCTCAATCCCAGATGCTGTAACAAAGTACAAATTGTAGCAACAATTTGAATAAATAAATAATAAATGAGTTCATGAAAGAAAACTATAGCACCGGGTGTGGTAGCTCACGCCTGTAATCCCAGCACTTTGGGAGGCCAAGGCGGGTGGATCACAAGGTCAGGAGATCAAGACCATCCTGGCCAACATGGTGAAAACCTGTCTCTACTAAAAATACAAAAAAATTATCTGGGTGTGGTGGCGCGTGCCTGTAATCCCAGTTACTTGAGAGGCTGAGCAGGATAATCGCTTGAAGCTGGGAGGCAGAGGTTGCAGTGAGCCGAGATCATGCCACTGCACTCCAGCCTGGCAACAGAGAGAGACACTGTCTAAAAAAAAAAAAAAGAAAAGAAAACTATAGTATGAAATAAATTATTGAAATAAAAGTATTTTTTCCTACACCATAATCTACATTATGTCCTCACTCCAAGGAAGATAACTTAATTTTGAAATAAATTTTAATTATTTTTTCCTTTTAGGTAAGCCTCCCTATATAACTTCAGTGCTTTAGCAAATAGTCCTCTTGGATGTTAGCTGGGTTGTTAAGGTATAGGAGATCACAAAGGCATATTATTAATTCCAGTGTCTTCTTTACCATGTGAGCTACTCTAAGATTTCATGTATTAAAATGGCCCCAAAGTAGATTCACATACAGTTTCTTGAAAAGATGGATTTGTTAACATCTCCTTGGTCTGAGTCTCTATGTCCAGAGCAAGGCTACCCTTGCTAAGTTTGGTTTGTTTTAGGCCTTTCCTTCACCCATTTAGCTGCTTGTATGCACATTCTTATATACATATATTCATGTATGCATGCTTTCATTCCTACAATGCTTCTGATTTCATATGGTACCCTACTTTCCTGTTCTGTGTTAATAACAAAAGTTTATATGACACCACCACAGAAACTCAAATATGTAACAAAAGCATACAAAATGCTTTTTCAGTTTCAAACTGAGAAAAACTTAAAAGATCACCTCATTTTTTTTCTTGGAATGATTATTCACATATTTCTGCAGAAATTGATTTTCTCCAGACCCTTTGTGATGTTATACAATATGTAGTATTATGTACTCCTTACATTCTAAAATCTGAAAACTTTGGAATTATGACCCCAAAAGTTGTAAAGTCTGCCTTCACCATTAGTCCTCCTTTAGCCAACTCTTAAAAGTTGGAGTTCCTTAAGCTTCCATTCTTGTCATACTGCTGCTTTCATCCAGCATACTCTTCTTTACCTCTTATTCACTCCAAAGGAACTCTACTAGGTTTACAATCTATTCTTCCCAGTTCTTTATCCACATCCCTGACGTCTTCCCTGAGCTTTAGAGCTACTTTGGATTACTGAATAGCTTAGTAAAGACACTTCCATTCCTTTCAGAATTTGGGTCCAAATGAGAAATAGACAGGAATCAAATAAAGATCAAAACTTCAGCATTATTGTTGGAAAGCTTGCTTTGAGAAAACAACAAAAAGTGCCAAAAAGAACGTAAACCATGCATTTGCAATGACTCATTCTTCAAATTAAAAAATTATGTAACTCACTATTCTTCTCATGGGGAAGAATGAGTAAGGGGTAAATTTTTATTCTTAACATTTCTGAGTTGGCCATGGGTAGAGGAATTTCTACTTTTTGTACTGATTCAGGAATAGTGGGTAAGGGAAAGAATGGTTTCCCCCACACTCTCTTAATTTTATTAATCTTTCAGGGTTAACATTCCAAGTGTTACTTGAGTGATCTAACTAAAATGTAAAGTTGATCATATCTTCTTCTTTAAATTATTCAGTGACTCTCTATCACCTAGGATATGATCCATGTTTCCAGCATGGCCTATAGCCCTTTTTACTTCCCTACTTCAAGAGGAAATGACCTTCCTGTCACTCCCTTTTTCTCTGATATTACTCTCAAGTAATATTGAACTTATTGCTTTGTTCTTTACTCTGGCCTTTCCTTTTGTTCGACAAGGTCAAGGACCTTGTTTTGTTGGTTCACCTTTATTTCCCTAGTGCCTGGGACAGTGTCTAGCACATAGCTATTCAATAAATATGCATTAAATAAATGATTAGATGATTAAATGAATAACATACTCATAACAATAAAAATAGTTAATATTTTTGACATAAATTGATATAAAGTGGGTATAGAAGTTGGTATGAACAATAAGGCCTTAATAGAGAGATAATTAACCTTGATAGTATATGAAAAAACAAATGCTGGATTATAGAGCATCTAAAGGATATAGTTAGCTACATGAATGCACAAACACTTTTCTATTTAGTTTTGCTTTTGGAAATATATTGATATTCTACATAATAAAAAAATTAAATCTACAAGGCTGGGGGAAATGAAAACTGAAATAAATTGTATAACTAGATTTAAAAAGAAAAGAAAAAATGAATACAAATAATTTTAAACACAGTGCATTATATACCATCTTTCTAAGGGTAAACACAAAACAAACTACACACAGATTTTGAGTTCTTTTTAGTGAGCTTGTATGTCATAATGATATGGGTAGAACAATTCTGAACCCATATGATAAGTACCATAGGACTAAAGAAATGAATAAATGTGTTGATATTATTGGGTTCTTACTGTGCAAAGAAATGTGCAGAATGTAGGAAAACAATAAACCCTGTGGGGTTGGATTGGAACTGGAAATGTATGTGTGTATGTATGAGTGTGTGTGTATACACATACATATATATGTATACATATTTTATATATATGGATTTATACACACACACACACACACACACACACACACACACACATATATATGATCCAGAAGCAATGATATTCCAGTAGCAATGAGCATACCGAGCACCCAAATCTTGGTTTCTAAATATCATCCCTCATTAAAAGGAACCAGAGCTTCTTGGAGAAATAGTTGATTCTGGGGCAGGGGCAGAGAAGGTATATGGTGAGTCAGGAACATCATCATATGGTGACAGAAAGTAATAAAATCCTTTTTTTTACTATCTATATCTATAGGCATATCTATAGGACACAAGGACAACCTGAAGGGGCTCCCACTGGCCAAATCTTAGACAATTTTGGGTACCAACATAAGTAAGAAAATACACCGGGCACAGTGGCTCATGCCTATAATCCCAGCACTTTGCGGGGCCAAGACGGGCAAATAGCTTGAGCTCATGAGTTCAACACCAGCCTGGGCAACATGGCAAAACCTCATCTCTACTAAAAATGCAAAAATTAGCTGGGCATGGTGGCACATGCCTGTATTCCCAGCTACTTGGGAGGCTGAGGTGGGAGGATCGCTTGAGCCTGGGAGGCAGAGGTTGCAGTGAGCTGAGTTCATGTCATTGCATTCCAGCCTGGGTGACAGAGCGAGACCTTGTCTCAAAAAAGAAAAGAAAAGAAAAGAAAAGTAAAGGGTTGAATAAAATAGGAGCCTGTGCCCTCATCCTGATAACAACTGGATAAACAAGGAAACAAATAAATAGAGAATAAGGTAGGGCTCTTCCTTATAGCAGAATGTCAATTGACAAATGTGAAGGGGTGGTAGATTTGGAAAATTAGTATTTTGCAAACAGCATAGTAAAGATTGGTTCAGGCAAAAATTATAAATGGTTGCTAAATCTTGGGGGCAAATTTTGATATTTACATGGTCTTAAAGTGTTTTGCTCCTTATTAGTTGCAAGAGGGAAAATAGCAACTATACAGTAGAGAAACTGGGTGATCAAAATTAACATCACCAATGAGGAATAGATGGACATTATATAACTCCACAGAGGATATCCCCAGAACCTAATGTCACTTTTTTTTTGAAATGAGGTTGCTATGTTGCCCGGGCTGATCTTGAACCCCTGGGCTCAAGCAGTCCTCCCACCTTAGCCTACTGCATAGCTGGGATTACAGGCATGCACCACTGCACCCAAGCCATAATGTCACTTTAAAAATATTCTGGATGGAGGTGCATATCTTGAGTCATGAGGACACATCAAACAAACCCAAACTGAGGAAAATTCTCTAAACTAAATGACCCATATTCATTAAAAATGTCTATGTCATAAGAGACCAAAAAACCCCTGAGAAAAGGTTCCAGATAATAGAACACTAAAGAGACATAACTAAGTGCAATACATGGTCCTGGTCTGGATCCTGTACTGGAAGAAAGTAAATGTGATAAAGGACATTACTAGGAAAATCAACACAATATGATTAAAGTATTGCATCTACTAATTGCCTTGTAGTTACATAAAAGGATAGGCTTGTTTTTAGTAAATACACACTAGACTATTAAAGAGATAAAAGGCCACGATGTATGCACGCAACATACCCTCAAATTTAGAAAAGTAAATTATATAGATAAATGGATAGAAAAACCAATATGGCAATATATTAAAAATTTATAAATCCAGGTAAAGGTATACAGGAATTCTCTGACTTATTCTTACAACTTTTCTATAAGTTAAAAAAATGCAACTTGTTAAAATATAGGAAAATGTTTAGACTCACTAATACCAAAAATGCAAAACAAGATGAGACAGCATTTTTTCTATCAAATTTGAGCAAAGTTGATGTATTTATTTTTAATGATAATACCCATATTGAAAAAAACACAGTGTAAGTGGTTAAAAGAATATAGGAGAATGTTTAGAATCACCAGTACCAAAAATACAAAACAAAATGAGACAGCTATCAAATTAGCAAAGTTTACATATTTATTTTTAATGATAATACTCATACTCAAACACAGTAACATTGATACTTTTGAACTCTGATTATGGAAGGCTAAGATGCTATTATCATTTTTGATAAGCAGTTTACTCAGATGTACTGAGTTATTCTGGTAATTCCTCTACAAAAAACACAAAAATTAGCCGGGTGTGGTGGTGCACACCTGTAGTCCCAGCTACTCAGGAGGCTGAGGTGGGAGGATGGTGGAGGTTGTAGTGAGCTGAGATCACACACACCACTGCACTCCAGCCTGGGTGATAGAGCCAAACCTTGTCTCAAAAAAAAAAAAAAAAAAAAAAAGGGTGGTGGGGAGGGAATGTTTTAATTGTAAGTAAAAATGCAGGCTGTTGTTTTAAAATACAACTATATCAAATACATCTATAACTATCTAAATCTATCTTCATAAGAAATAGTACATGAGATTATGCCAAATGTTTGATTGTGTTTAGGTGGTAAATCTAGCCAGTTTTGTTTATTTCTATTTTTCTTTATTTTCTCTAAGCTTTTTATAAATTTGATTTTATAATATGGGAAACTAATGATATGCTGCACTTTGATATTCTTATTTTTCATAAGGTTTATTTAACTTGTTCTTAAATTCATTTGAAGATGTGTTGAAGGCTGTATCTTCTGCTGCAATTGCTGAGGTTGGGCGTGACAATAAGGAAATTCAGGATGCTATAGCTATGGAGGGAGCGATTCCTCCTCTGGTGGCTCTTTTTAAAGGGAAACAAATTAGTGTCCAAATGAAAGGTGCAATGGCTGTGGAATCACTGGCAAGTCACAACGCTCTTATACAGAAAGCATTTCTGGAAAAATCGTTAACTAAATATCTTTTAAAACTCCTAAAGGTAGGAATTTTATGATTACTGGTCATTTTTCTTAGATGATGTTTTCTATTTTGAATTGTTAAGTGAATAGAAAAACTAAACCAATTCTAGAATAAACATTTTATAAAATATGCATTCCTAAAATGTTCAATAAATGTTCACTGAATTAATGAAATATTTTTAAAAATAGGCATTTCAAATAGATGTTAAGGAACAAGGAGCTGTTGCACTTTGGGCCTTGGCAGGACAAACACTAAAACAACAAAAATATATGGCAGAACAAATTGGATACAGCTTTATAATAAATATGCTTTTGTCACCATCAGCTAAAATGCAGTATGTTGGTAAGTTATTTTCCTTATTTTATTTTTATTTTTTAGAGACAGGATCTTGCTCTGTTGCCCAGCCTGGTGTGCAGTGGCACAATTATAGCTCACTGCAGCCTCAAACCCCTGGGCTCAAGTGATCCTCTTGCCTCAGCCTCCCAAGTAGCTGGGATTACAAGTGTCAGCCACCGTGTCCTCTGCATAATGTAGAACAGGGCACTGGAGTATCATACATGTATCTTGCTTTTCTTTATCAGGAGGTGAAGCTGTCATAGCTCTAAGTAAGGACAGCAGGATGCATCAAAATCAAATATGTGAAGGGAATGGAATTGCACCATTGGTTCGCTTACTAAGAATTAGTACGATTGCTGAAGGCACACTTCTCAGTGTCATCAGAGCAGTGGGATCCATTTGTATTGGTTTGTATACTTATTCTCAATTTCTTAAATATCTGTAAGAACAAGAACAGATTGCGCAGAGAAGTGGAAATTAATCTCTCTTCCTCTCTATCCCCACTGTTTGAGCCCTAAATGGTATTTAATGTATGAAAGACTATTATAACTTTTAAAGTTTGTCTAAGAACTTGGTCAGTAAAAGTGGTATAATTAAGAATCTTATATCAGTCTTGCTCTTGAACAATGGCTAGAAAGGAAAATTAAGACAATAAGCCTTGACTATTTTGACTGAAAGCAATCTCTTTTTTAAGTTTAAGAGAAAAATAGTTCTTTTGAATCTCAAGAACGATATGTTTTTGAAGATATAGAAGAGTTTCTAATGCTGGAGCACATTCTTGAATGTCTCTGTAATGATCATTTGTTTATATAACATAGAATTCATTGCAAAGGAATTGACATTTTGGGGTACCTGAGAAAATGTGGAACTGTCAGTTGTGACCCACCAAAAGTTAAAATTTGGGTTCTTGCTGACCTTGATGAATGCAGGGTGCTGATTGTAGACTGCTTCTTGCAAACAAGAGGAAAAATCTTTATTTCCAGATCACTGAATTTCCTCAAAAATAGTCCAGCTGAATGAAGTATAATAGGAATTGATTCTCACATTTTTTTCTCTTTGCTTGCCAAAAGTTTCTTGCAGAAACTCATTCACAATTCCAAGATAATCAGCCAGAGAAGATGTTTCTTTTTTTTTGGCCAGAGACTCTGACATAAATTACAGTTATTTCTAAAGTTCTAGTAAATGATAATATATATGCAAGGTTGCCTGATATACATACACATGCACATAATCAAATTTCTTCGCATTAGTTCATTTCAAATCTGTCCACATCAGCTGTGCGTGTGTGTGTGTGTGTGTGTGGTGCGGGTGGGGGGTTTGTGGGGACAAAGGTGTTCTTTTTTCCTTCAAACTTCCCTAGATACAATATGTAGGTGACTTCTCTTCATTGTTCACTGAGAGGCTCAATCTTATATTTAACCCATTTATTTAGGGTTAACCCATTTACATAAACCCACTGTATATTTATTGTGACATTTAATATTAGCAAAAGAACAGAGTTAAAATTCTTTGTCCATGTTCACTAGAAAGAAATGAGTTTCTCAACAGGAAATTGCAAGGAGTGGAAAAAAAAAAAGAGAGAGTTGAGTCTCTCTGGTGAGTTTAGGCCTGCAATTTAAAGTAGTATGTTATAAAGAGACATAGTAAGATTATCTTGTTAGCGTGTATAATTTAAGAAACCAAGAAATTTTAACTTGGTGATTTACTCTATTCATTTTTGTAGAAGTAAACTTTTTATGGAAAACAACAGAATTATGAACTTAAGTACCTCGCACATAATATTTCTTCAATAAATGATAGCTATTAGTATTCCTTGGTAGTATAATATTTCTAATTTCCTTTGCTTTGTGACTTTTAGGAAGCCACTCACAATTCTAATAAAGTCTCCATGTTTATTCACTTTGTCTTTTAAAAAATTAATTCAGGACTATTAAAATAGTGTCAATATAGCATACCCCTTTGTAACTTACTAACTGTATTACCTTAGAATGCTTTGTCAACCCAAAATATCAAGCTATGTTTGACTTTACCATTTGTAAGATGGAAAAAAATATTACCTCACTGGCGTGGACTCTTACAGGTGTAGCCCATACAAGCAATCCTGTCAGTCAACAATTGGTTGTAGATGAAAATGCCTTTCCAGTACTTATCCAACTACTAAGAAATCACCCTTCTCCTAACATTAAGGTATAAAGGTTTACATTGTTTTCTGATATGGTAAAAATTAACAAATATAATTTTAAGAAAATTTTGTATCTTTATTCAAGTTCATAAACATAAAAATATTTAATCTTTTAAACTAAATCCTATTTTTCTTGGAGAAATAAGCCAAAAATAAAAATAAAAATAAACAAAATCCTAGAAGTTTTAAAAAGGTTGCTGCAAACCATAAGATACTAGTAAATTTTATTAAAATAGGGTTTCTTCAAATATGACAAGAAAATCTTATGTTTTTACTCTTCAAATAAGATTTTCCTCAGATATTTGATTATTTATTCACAAAAGTTCTTTTCTACCTCCCCAGACATCAGTTGCTAAAACTGGGCGGCGATAGTGGGAATGTGTGACTTATATGGGAATATTTCTCAAATATTAGTGAATCTTGTCAGTACTACACTTCAGACCAGCCCTGCCTTCTGTCAAGCAGCCTCTGTTGGCTGGAGGTAATAGTTTTCTCAAGGCTGGACATTACAAAGAATTATTGTGAGTTGTTGAAGAGTCATTCAGTCTTCCATTTACTTCTACTAAAATGCCTTTAATAAAATGACATTTACATCTATTCAAATACTCTTACCCAGGCTTTAGAAATTCAGGACATCTATAGATGGCCAGGCAAGAAATTATAACATCAAAAAAAATTTTATTTTCAAAATTTGGTATGCATGCTACTGGAGATGAGAAAATAGAAATAACATAGGAGGACAATATCTAAGTAAATAGCATTGTTTCTTTTTCTTTTTTCTTTTTTTTTTTTTTTGAGACAGAATCTCGCTCTGTTGCCCAGGCTGGAGTGCAATGGTGCCATCTCAGCTCACTGCAACCTCCACCTCCTGGGTTCAAGTGATTCTCCTGCCTCGGCCTCCTGAATAGCTGGGATTACAGGTGTGCATCACAACGCTTGGCTAATTTTTGTATTTTTGTAGAGACGGGGTTTCACCATGTGGCCAGGCTGGTCTTGAATTCCTGACCTCAAGTGATCTTCCCACCTCGGCCTCCCAAAGTGCTGGGATTAAGGTATGAGCCACTGCACCCAGGCTGTTTCTTTTTTAATCTGTATTTATTTATTTAATTTTTTTTAAATATTGAGATGGGGTCTCTCACTGTCAGCCAGGCTAGAGTGCAGTAGTGCAATCTTGGCTCACTGCAGCCTCTGCCTCCCAGGCTACAGTGATCCTCCCACCTCAGCCTCCTGAGTAGCTGTGACTACAGGAGTGCACCACCATGCCTGGCTAATTTTTTGTATTTTTGTTGGAGATGGAGTTTCACTATTTTGCCCAGGCTGTTCTCGAATGCCTGGGCTCAAGAGATCCTCCACCTTGGCTTCCAAAGTGATGGGATTACAGGCATTAGCCACCACATCTGGTGCATTCTTTTAACAAATGTGTGTCTTATCATAAAAAATGTATCCATCTATATTTCAGTACATATTTTCAATGAGTTTTGAAACTTGTTTAAATAGAACATAAATACATTTCAATACTTTTTCTCAAAAGATTCTATAATGGATAAAACATTTTGCAATAATTCAATAATCATACTTTTCAAATTCATAATGTTTTTCATAGAAATGCATAGTACAACACTTTAAAAACTTATCTACTGAGTCCCAATAATATGCAAAGTTCATTTTCCTAATGGGCTTCAGAATGTACATTAAATGGTTCCAGAACTAGAGGAGGAAAAATTAGTAGTACTATTTCTTAGTACTACTCCCCAAAGTTTTGCTTAAATTAATAGGTGCTGCAGGCCAGGTGCTTTGGCTCACGCCTGTAATCCCAGCACTTTAGGAGGACAAAGCAGGCGGATCATGAGGTCAGGAGTTCGAGGCCAACCTGGCCAACATGGTGAAGCCCTGTCTCTGCTAAAGATACAAAAAATTAGCTGGGCGTGGTAGTGCGCACCTGTAATCCCAGCTACTCGGGAGGCTGGAGCAGGAGAATCGCTTGAACCCAGGAGGTGGAGGTTGCAGTGAGCTAAGATCATGCCATTGTACTCCAGCCTGGGCAACAGAGCAAGACTCCATCTAAAAAAAAAAAAAAAAAAAAAAAAAGGTGCTGCATTAAAGCCTTACAACTCAATGGTCAGTAGTTAACAAGCAGTTCAAAATAGCTTTTTAATCCATGTCAAAAAATTAAAAGAACTTTTTTTTAATATGGAAGGGATACAACTATGTACTTAGGATAATACCTCCTTACATGCTCTGCTCGCCCTTGTTCCTTTCTCCAGTGCCCTCAAATGGAGCTCTGTGGTTGGTCCCTGAACACAGAAAGGATATTTTCTCAGCTATTAAAAATTATGAGGGAGTTGTAAGTGCAGTTCTTTCGCTAGTAAGATAACTGGAATCAATGGATTATATTTTAGCAGATTTTATAGTATCTTTCCACAATGTATTCTATATAAATGCCTGCACAATGAAATGTGTAATTTCATAAAGCATAATTGAAAAGTAATTTCTGAAAACCACATGTTTAGGTTGAAGTGGCATTTTCCTTGGCATGCATTGTCCTAGGGAATGATGTGTTACAGAAAGACTTACATGAAAATGAAGGATTTGAATATGCTGATGTCCTTTATCTTCTTCACTCAACAGAAAAGGTAATACCTTTACAAAATATTGAGGTTCATTTTGAAAAAAATGGTTTTTATACCACATCTTCAAATTATCAAGTCTTCTTCATGGCAATATTCAATGTATTGTTTAAGAAAAGACATGTAAAAGATCTCTTTGTAGGTCATTAGTTTGTAATGATGTAATAATACAGCTCCATATTTTTCTGAGTTGTCCCACTTCATCGTTGAAATGCAGTAATTTTAATGTTTGGTGATGAGTCAAAAAACAAATCTCTTATGTCCCAAATCAAACCTTTACAATAATTTTATGCCCTTTCAGCCCTCAGTCATTCACTTATCCAATATGCTAAAGGGGTGCTTCTCAAACTATTTATGATGAAGAAATAGCTTTTTCCCAGCAATCTATTATGGAAGGATAATTTTTTTTAACTTTAAAAATTTTGAAATAATCTTAGACTTTCCAAAATTCTGGTATATCCTTCATCTAGTTTTCCCAAATGTCAACTAGAACATTAACATTGATACAATACTATTAACTAATTTGCACGCCTTATTTAAATTTTGCCAGTTTTCTCAGCAATGTCCCTTTTTTGTTTTTTTTATTTAATTTAAAAAATTATTTTTATTTTTTTCAATGTCTACTTTTGTTCCAGAATCTAATCGGGGTCTCACATTACATCTAAATGTCTTGTCTCTTTAGCCTCCAGTTTGTGAAGCTCAGCCCTTCTTTGTTTTTCATGATTTCATGTCTTTCATGATTTTGACATTTTTGATGAATTCAGGCCAGTTATTTTATAGAATATCCCTCAATTTGACCTTGATGTTTTCCCCTAATTAAATTGAAGTTACACCTTTTGGCAAGAATATCACAGAAGTGATGTGGTCTTCTTCACTCACCTTCCCAGTACATCATAGCATGAGGTATATAACGTTGATGTATTTTACTGGTAATCTTAATTTTGATTACTCGGTTAAAATGGGGTCTGCCATAGTTCTTCGCTGTTTTTCCTTTTGTAGTTAATAAGTATCTTAAGGTGAGACACTTTGAGATTATGCAAATATTTTGTCTTGCATCACACTTTTGCTCACCAATCTTAGCATCCATTGATGCAACAATAATAAATGTAACATTTGCCTAAGGGCAATTAAAAAAATTCCCTTCTTCCTTCTACGTTTATTAGTTGGTATTCAACTATAAAGAAGATTTGTTTCTTTTCAATGTTTATTCTCAGTTTTGTTATCCCACTGTTAATGATTTTGTGGACTGTCACTGGTCCACGGGCCACACTTTCAACAGCACTACCCTAAGGAAATGAGAGCTATTTTCTACAGGGCATTTCACAACCAGGAAGAAAATTGCCAGCGACGTTTCTCTCAGTTCTGTAAGGTTTTAGAGGGATCAAGGAGGGTCAGGAGGTGGGTGGGAATTAAGTCATGTTATTTTTTTAATACAAAATTTTATTCTACTGTGGTACACAAAAGAGAAGTGCTGCTATAAAAATATGGGAAATATTTTGGGAGGTCGAGGTGGGCAGATCGCTTGAGATCAGGAGTTCGAGACCAGCCTTGCCAATATGGTGAAACCCCATCTCTACTAAAGAGATAAAAATTGGCCGGGCGTGGTGGCACATGCCTGTAGTCCTAGCTACTTGGGAGGCTGAGGCAGGAAAATCACTTGAACCTGGGAGGTGAAGATTGCAGTGAGCCGAGATTGCATCACTGCACTCCAGCCTGGGTGACAGAGCTAGACTCCATCTCAAAAAAGAGAATATATATATATATATATTTACAGTAGAGTAAAAAAAAATATATATATAAAATATATATATATGTGGAAACTAATAGGGTGAGGAGACTAAATGAATGTCTACCTGACTCTCTAAGCCACCTTTTGCCCCTCTACTCTGTTCCTTCTAGCTTTTACTCCCATTACCTTACTCCTCATGTGCACCCTTCTTCTCCCTTTTGTTACACATTCCACTCTCAAGTATTCTGCCTTCCTTCCCAGTTTGTTACCACCTGCTTCACTCTCTGGACCCTGCATTTGGCT
The DNA here is from genome assembly GCF_000001405.40 of Homo sapiens. Taxonomy (NCBI): domain Eukaryota; kingdom Metazoa; phylum Chordata; class Mammalia; order Primates; family Hominidae; genus Homo; species Homo sapiens. The sequence continues at coordinate 189,735,256 of NC_000002.12, forward strand.
TATAATAGATTTATTCTTGTGCATCAGTTCTACAAATGGTAGGGAATCTTAGAGAACTAGAAGGTTTAACCAAAGGATTTATCCGGCCTTGGCTGAAATTTTTAATTCTAACACTCATCACAAGGCAAGTTAAAAGTCCTCCAGGGTTTCTTGTACTATATTTTGCCTCAAACTACCTGCCCTGCAGAGGCACATTAGTGCTCTTAGGGCTTTAGAGACAGTACTGAACAACTATCCTTCATTAAACCTATAGTGGGAGACTTCAGATTACACAGGTGTGTTGTAGAAGTTAGAGGGGAGGGAGGGATGTTCAGCAACATTAAATATGTCACTGAATGAATAGCTATCTTATGGATAATGACAGGAATGCAATAAAAATTAAGTCAGGAACCCAGGTTCTTGTAACTCCTAGCCACATTGATACTGTCTACATGGAGATGCAATAGGTTATGTGTTGTTTTTAAATTATAATTTAACTATTTTCATGCTACCAAACTAGAATAATATATGAAATGGACCATTGAGATTGATTTTCACAAGCCACATAAAATTAGTTGCATTAATTTAGTTACTGTTATTCTACTCTTTTTAATTAACTCAAATATGTGGGCTAATTAATTATGAATATACTTTTGAAGAGAGGTTAGTGAGCATAATTAACAGGCACTCTTTTCCCATTTATAAATCAGTGGGTATAAAGTAACAATAAGTAACCAGTGGGTATAACCACCCTGGTAGATAGGTAAATGAAAATATATATGAAGTAAAGAGTTTAAGACAGTTGACATTGGGGAAGAAAAGTATGGAAACACATGTCTTTCCTCAAGCATTAATTTTTAGCCTTCTGAACTGGGAATAGCCAACTTGGTTCTTGTCCTGTATCTGATACTACCTGGCATGGTGGGAGCAGTCAAACTATGGGATTCATTTTGAAACATTAATAGCCACTTTATAATCTAAACTATTTACTGTAGACTTCCACAGTGATACCGCAGGAGTGAACCCTACATGGAAAAGAAATGGAAATCAGTCAAGTCTTAGCATATTTCTCTCACTTCGCTCTATCTGACCTTGATACACAAAGCATGCCCCTTTGGTTCATTTCCCATTGCCACTCTTTCCTACTTGGCTCTAGGTTCTATTTTGCTGTCTGTTAATCCACGCTTTGACTATGAATGAGACCTAGTTTCTCAAGCCTTTGACTGTACCTAATACCTTTCTTTTTGCCTATTTAGGTGACTGGGTTTTGTGTGTGTGTGTGTGTGTGTGTGTGTGTGTGTGTGTATGTGATTTTTATTATGGAAAATTTCAAATATATATAAAATGACAGGGTAGCATAATGAACCTAAATGTTCCCACCCAGCTTCAGCAGTCATCATCTCATGGCCAATCTTATTTCATCTATACATCTACTCATTTCTACTAAATTATTTTTGATGCAAATTTCAAGCATCATATAATTTTATCTATAAATATTTCAGTATGTACATGCAGCATTTTAATATTATGATTAACAGTGGCAGAAGAAAATTCAGGGCCAGGTGTGGTGGTTCATGTCTGTAATCCCAGCACTTTGGGAGGCCAAGGCGAGCAGACACCTTGAGCTCAGGAGTTCAAGACCAGCCTGGGCAACATAGCAAAACCCTGTCTCTACAAAAAATACAGAAAATTAGCCAGGTGTGGTGGCACACGCCTTTGGTCTTAGCTACTTGGGAGGCTGAAGTGGGAGCATTGCTTGAGCCTGGGAGGTGGAAATTGCAGTGAGCCAAGATCACGCCACTGCACTCTAGCCTGGGTGACAGAGGGAGACTTTGTCTCAAAAAAAAAAAGAAAAAGAAAAAAAAAGAAAAGAAAATTCACCAAGATGAATGAGTTCTTTCTGTTGTAATACATTGTTCAAATAACATACTAATAATACAATATATTGAATTATTTTTAATATTAAAAATAAGATTTAGTAATAAGATTTTATCTTTTGAATCTTTCTGGAAGGTCTGCCATACTTATATATCTCTGGCAAGCAGACTAATTCTACAGAAGAAACTAGCTTTTGCTGTTTGCCCAGCCTCAGAATGTTAAAATGTGATTCTTCAGAATACATTATTTTTCTCCTATTCTTCCTTAAAATATAGTACAATGGAATTTTACAAATGAATTTAAGAGATTGATATGGAATACCCAACAATGTATGGAATGCAATAGATAACATGTTATATACAAGGGTAGTTTTGATTTATCAACTCTACTTTGAAATGTTGAAAGTTACAACATTCTAGAGTAACTATTATCTCTTTTCCCTAGTAATGTCATATTTTACTCCCAGTGATAAGAATGCAATATATTTTAATGAGCAAGAACTTAAAGTCTATTATGTTGAGTAACATGATAAATGAAGTTCACCATAATGCCTGTTTCTCCTATTTTTAGGATATTTGCTTAAGAGCAGGCTATGCATTAACACTTTTTGCCTTCAATAATCGCTTTCAACAATACTTAATATTGGAAAGTGGAATAATGACCATATCTATTTTTGAACGTTTTCTTGAATCAACAGTTGAAACTGAGAAGGCAATGGCAGCATTTCAGGTATAAAATTGAGATTAACACCTCAAATTAATAAATATGTCATTTTGTGAAAACTTGAAAATTACAACAATTTGGAGGCCCAGAAAAACGTTTACTTATTTGTAAAAACTTAGTACTTTGCACATAAGCCCCTTCTACCTCATAAAAACTCCATTATCTATGAGGATTTCTTCATTAATACAGAATTTTACAAGTTATAAGACACTTGCTTATGCCTTTATACCTCATCTGATGTTTATAACAAGCCTGTAAGGTTGACAATCAGGTAGTATTATTTTCATCACCCCCATATTAAAAGTAAATAGGTAGAAAAACATGTTAGCATCCAAGACAGGTTTTCTAACTGCAAATCTTTAGTTGATCACACTGATCCTTCAACCTAGTAACAACTGTATGTATCTGGGAAGTCTTATTCTCTCTCTTCATTTTCTATCCTGTGCCCTTTAAGAGAAGTAATTTCTATGAACCCATATTGAAAGGGTGCAAAAGTTGCAAACATTGTAGGAAGAATAATAGTACCCCCTATGATCACTGCTATGACCAGACAGGGACAAATACTCTAACTCTCCCCACCACCACATGCTGCTTCTATTGAATCCTCTAAACACTCCCTTTAAGAAGTATCAAAAGAATTAAAAAAAAAACATAAAAAATGACAAACGTGTAATTAGAGAAGCTGAGTAGAAAATGTTCAAAGACTCTCTGCTTCTTTTCTGTTTTCAGATTGTTGTACTGGCTAAAGTCATTAGAGATATGGACCATATTACTTTGTCTGCAAGAGGTGTTACTATTTTAGTTGATAGTCTGTATTCAGTTCAGACTTCTACTATTGTCTTGACAGGTAAGAAATGACTAGAAGTTAATTTTAGCCACATAAAACTATTTTCAAAAACAGTTTATTGTAATCTGAATAATAATAAAATAATACGCCTGATACACTGCCACAAGTTTAAAGAACGAACTTATGTTTATATCTACATGGAACTCCACAGCAAGTCTACACGAAACAATGGGTGTCTACTCTGTACCCCAAACAGAAGCTGAGTAACTCTGAATACAGACTTTTTGCTTTCCTAATTACTTTTTCAAACCCTTAACTTTTTTTTCCAAGATATAAATGAGAATTCACCTATGACCTACAAACAGCAAAATAAAAAAACTGATTTATAATAGTGGTGGCAGATTTACACAGATGTACCTCTGTCTGGTTTCCTTTTGTCCAGTTGTGCACATTTTGCTAACACTGAAAAGTTCTTTACATCGCTGTGCAACAAAGCAAAGCAAGATGGTCCCATAGCGTTCTCAACACATTTATTGCTATTGTATAACTGTGTCTACTGCAGACCTAACCCAACAGCTCACACATAATAGGTGATCAGTAATATTTAATTGACTTGTTATGCCACTCTTAAAGTAACATAAGGCAGGGTCAGAATGAGTAATATGCAGTGACTACTACCAATATAAACAAATAAGTATTTGTTTTTTAATTAAAATGTATCACTAAAGGAAACTTTACTTGATGCCATAGAATTACATGTTTATGAAGTATATGTGCATGGCAAGGAAGGAAAAATGAAGCAATGAAAACTTTCTGATGGAAACTAGCTAGAAAAAAAGTTTAAAGAAGTTATTAAATATGTTTTAATCTAAATAACATTATTAATTCAATGTTATAGTAATTCTGTGACTCTGAAAAACAACTGTAGTGGGTTTAGACTCCACAGTTTTTTTTTTTTTTGAGATGGAGTCTCACTCTATTGCCAGGCTGGAGTGCAGTGGTGCGATCTTAGCTCACTGTAACCTCCGCCTCCCAGGTTCAAGCGATTCTCCTGCCTCAGCCTCCCGAGTAGCTGGGACTACAAGCATGCACCACCAAGGCCAGCTAGTTTTTGTATTTTTAGTAGAGATGGGGTTTCACCATGTTGGCCAGGATGGTCTCGATCTCTTGACCTCATGATCCGCCCGCCTCGGCCTCTCAAAGTGCTGGGATTACAGGTATGAGCCACCACACCTGGCCTCCACAAACTCTTATAGGAAAGAAATGCCATATTACATTGGCTTTCAAATATTAAATTAATTCCTCCAGGATGAGGAGAAATGAATCTCAGAAATTACTGGACTTTCTCTGCACTCCACAACCAGTCATATGCATGTCCAGGGTATCTCAGGCAAAGCTTGATATTCAGGCCTCAGGTATAGTGTAAAATAACTGATGTGCTTGGTGTCAAGTTGACATGGTTTCCAGAAGATGCTCCAAAGGCACAGAAGTTTTTAGGAAACTGATTTCTGTTACCAAGAATTCAGTTTTCCTATTTATACCACTTAGCTATTCTCTACTCGGAGTTCCTCCTTCTACTCCTTTGAGAACTATAAACTTTAGTTCTCTTTCTTAGCTGCTCCCTTGGTCTGTTTCCATTTCTAACTTCCCATCTTTAAAGGGTCTTTTTAACTTTAAATAGAGCTTACCTTTAGACAATTTTTGCTTTAGATGATACAACCAATTTTCCCCATTCGGAGGCAATAAACACAAGGAATTTCTTGGCTTATAATAGAGGCCAGACAAAAATATAAGGAGAACAAAAACTCACGTCATATCTCAATAAAGTATCCACATACTCCACACAGAAATATGAAAATACATTTTTATCTTCAAACAAATATAAATGAAATAATATTCAGTTGCTAGCTGCACATTTAATTATTGGGACACTTTATTATTTTAAATCTGAAAACATTTACTTTTATGTAAAAACTTCAGTGATTTTTAAACCTCAATAAGCAATACATTGATTGATTTTAAAGTATTAATAAGGCTTAACTCAAAGCCATTTCAACCGCAAAAAGGACATATTAATTTTTTTTTTTTGAGACGGAGTTTCGCTCTTGTTGCCCAGGCTGTAGTGCAATGGCACGATCTCTGCTCACTGCAACCTCTGCCTCCCAGGTACAAGCGATTCTCCTGCCTCAGCCTCCCGAGTAGCTGGGATTACAGGCATGTACCACCACGCCCGGCTAATTTTTGTATTTTTAGTAGAGATGGGGTTTCTCCATGTTGGTCAGGCTGGTCACGAACTCCCGAAGTCAGGTGATCTGCCCACCTCGGTCTCCCAAAGGGCTGGAATTACAGGTGTGGGCCACCACGCCCGGCCTAAATTTTCTTATGATAATTAAATCATTATGTTCATAGTTATTTTTAAAACCCTAAAAACTTCAAAACAAAATATATTCTGAAGATATGGGAGAAAGAAAACCTCTAATTTTCAAATTTTTCACCCTTACATAAACCTATTTAATTTACACTATTTGTGACAGAAAACCAAACTGTAATTTTGGGGAGTTTATTCTATATTTACATATGCATGCTTTTTCTCAGTGCTGCTTCATTGACAGAGATGTCTTGTGACACAAACTTTTTTCAGTGCTATGTGCAATTAATGAAAGTATTATAAGTTTATATCAATTAAATAACACAAGCATTTTTCTTGTTTAATTTATAGGGAATTTAATAGCAAGCCTGGCTCATTCTAGAGCTGGTATCCCAGAAGCATTTACCACATTAGGAACAATCCAACGGCTCTGCTATCATTTGTACTCGGGAATAGAAGAGGTAAAAACAAGCAAAAACTAATTCTAAAATTAAATATGCTAAAAATATAATTTACCTCTCCCTCTGTGGACTAATTTTTCCACTGATTGACTGTGTTATAGATATAATATAATTCTTATTACTAACTCAAAATTACATGACTGTGTTATATATATAATATAGTTCTTGTTACTAACTCAAAATTACATGACTTTTCTAATACTAATTAGTCATACATATCTGCCATCCACAATTTTAATTCCTATAAAAATATACATTTGTTTTAACCCTAAGACTTAAAATTAGGATTTTAATCACAAAAGCAGTATAAAACGACTACAATTAAAGATTTAAAAAGAACTACCTGTTCAAATTAGTTTCTGATTTAAAAAACAAAAACAAAACCCTACAAAATAAGTCATCTTAATCCTGGAATTAAGAGTCAATCTATAAGTACGTTGATGACAAAGAAACTTATAATTGTTTACTAAGTATCTAATGAAAACCGGTGACTCTGATCTAAGTTATTTCTATGATTTGAAATGAATGAAAATGGAATTCATAGGATAGCTTTCCTTATGTGTCAAGCAGGGTTAGATGTAAGGGTGTGTGAAAGAGGCCGTGCTGGTCACAGCAGTGGCTTGCCTCTGAGTGTTCCCCTACTCTCTTCCACTAAGGTCTAAAGCAGTGTTACTCCACCTTTAGGGTATATCAGAATCACCTGGAGGGCCTGTTATATTGCTTGGCCCCATTCCTAGAGTTTCTGAGCCAATACATTTGAGGTGGGCCCTAGAATTTGCATTTCGAACAAGTTCCCAGCAGCTGAACTACAGGTCCAGGGTTCAAGGTTTAGAAGACATATGAGCATACAGAGCAACCGGATGCCAACATAAAGACCAATATGTTCATTCTATGAAACTTTTTATGCTACTATCATATTCCCTACAACTGGCCAGGAACATACTTTAATTAATCATATGACCAATCTATGGGTCATAGACAGAGGGTATTTTCTTCAAAGAACTATTTTTTCTAGAGTCCTGTGGCCTGACACTTGTGCTTCTTTCTGTTTTTGCCAGTGGAAAAGTGAGTTGCTCTTGTAACGTCTGAATGTTAAAAAAAAATTTTTTTAAAGTAATAAATAAATAAATAAGTTGCTTTCTCTAAGATTTCTGTTACCAAGAGTTCAGCTTTCCTATGTGTACCACTTAGCTATTCTCCAAAGTGTCTGTTCCTACTCCTTTGAGAATGATAAACAAAATAATTAAATAAGAGTTTCTAGGGATGGAACCCAGGCATAATTGTCAAAGTTATATGGGTGATGCTAATGCATTGTCAGGGTTGCATCCACTACCTTAGTTCAAACTCAAGTTCTTTCTTTGGTGGCACATTAGAATTACCTGACACACACACACACACACATTAGAATTACCTGACACACACACACACACACACACACACACTAGAATTACCTGACACACACACACACACACACACACACACACACACACACACACACACACACACACACACACACACACACACACACACCCCTGAAAGGATTCTGATTTAGTTGGTGGGCTTTTTTTTTTTTAAACACTCCAGGTGGTTCTAAAATGCAGTTAAGACTGAGAACAACCACTAGAAATCAATGGCAGTTGACAGCTCTCTGTAAAAATATGGCAGTTAAGCTTCCGTCTATACACTGCCATTTGTTTGCATACATATTTGCTTACACTTGCTCCCTCCCTTACAGAGACTTTCCTATGAAATAGCTAATTAGAACATTAAGATATTTTAAGAACAAAGCCCACTGGTTAAGAAAGAATTGTTTCTTCATTTAGGTTCGTGCAGCTTGTTCCTCTGCTCTTGGCTACTTAACATACAATGCAAATGCTTTCCGCATCCTATTAAAAGAATGCAGGAATAAACCTAATCAGTTCATTCGTATAAAAAATAATATCAGCAGAGATGCAAGTATTAACCCAGCATTTTTAAAGGAATTTCAAATGCAACAAACACTGGTGGGACTTCCTTCCTTAAGGTATGGTCCTATGTTAGAAGTTGCAGTAGTGAAATCATCGATAGAGGAGACTTTAATGAGGTTTAGTAAGATCCAACAAGAGGAACTATTCTTGATATGAACATATCTCCTGTATAGCAGAGGATAAACTTTATTCTAAATGACCACTGCCACAACCTGTTTTAATTCCAACTCAGCACCAGAGTTGTGGGTGCAGACAAGAACACATCTAGATCTTAGAGATCCTCTCTGGCCAGGATTATTCACATTTTAGAAAGTTTTGGGGAGACTGGTTACCACAACATCTGATTCAAGAAGTCACTTTTTAGCAGACTAGGGATACATTTGAGAGTTCTGAGACAAGACCACCACCTGACCTTAGCATCAAATGGGTTTTCCGGACCAGATCCAAAGCTAGGCCAAATTCCCAGGGTGGAAACAGGGCTAAATTAGACTTAGTGGTTAGTTACAGTGAAGTTTGCCAGGTATTCAGAGGATTTTGACTCAATGTTGTGGTTTCATCACAAACTTAACTCCCCCCAAAAAGGGAGGAGAAGAGAATCTCTACTATGGGTATATTTTCTCTTCTGTAAATGTAGCTGAATTACAAGTCTTCTCTCCAAGTAGTGATATTCATACATAGGAAATAGAACTACTCAAGATACGTTAACTCTATGATAACGGAAGAGAATAGGATCCAATAGTGCATCCGAATAGGACCCATGTACAAACATAGATTCTACATCAATTTTAAGTACAGAGAATGATGAGTACATCTTTGGAGCCACTTTAATTCTTTGAAAAGCCGAAAGTCTAAAATGGGTGACCTAATTTTATAAGCCAGGGAAGCTAAATTGTAACATTATAATTGATAATTCTAAATAATTTTCATTGGTTCAAGGAATTAAGATAAATAATGTAAGTAGTATTTTACACAGTCACTCCCACAGCTAGCCCATGTGACGACTTTGTAGGAATTAGAAAAATATACCCCTTTCTCAGACCTATCTTCTTCAAAACCCAGCTGAAGTGTCTCTTCTGTAACACCTTCCCTCATCACTTCAAGCAGATTTAATGTTCCAAATGTTTGGAGTAAATAAGTGAGTAAATGAGTGACTGAATATAAAATACTTACAGATAACATGCAGAGTTAGTGGAGGTAACATGTATGAATTAGGCCATTAGGCATTAAACCTGGTACTGTAAGTCTTCATATACTTCTTCATATATTTTTTCTGGGTGCATTATGTCTTCATTTATTTTAATGACAAAAATGTTTTCCTTTTAGTCTGGAGAAGAATGGAGGACCATCCATAATTCCTATCTTTAAAAGAGGTAATTGATTTTTCTTTTATCTATGAAGTACCTTCTAGCCCAGACACTTTATAATTCTGTATTCCATCTCTAAAAATTCAAAATGTAGGCCGGGCACAGTGGCTCATGCCTGTAATCCCAGCACTTTGGGAGGCCGAGGTGGGCAGATCACTTGAGGTCAGGAGTTCAACATCAGCCTAGCCAATATGGTGAAACCCCATCTCTACTACTACTACTACTACTACTACTACTACTACTACTAATAATACAAAAATTAGCCAGGCATGGTGGCGCGTGCCTGTAATCCCAGCTACTTGGGAGGCTGAGGCAGGAGAATCGCTTGAACCTGGGAGGCAGAGGCTGCAGTCAGCTGAGATCGCACCACTGCACTCTGGCCTGGGTGACAGAGTGAGACTCTGTCTCAAAAAAAAAAGTAGAGGGTACCCCCACAAAAAAGTTTACCTGCATACTTCTCTTTTGTAATTCTGTCTACCTAAAATATCTTCCTAATTACAAGCCCATATTGATCATTTTCTGTAAGGCCTTCCCTATTATATCACTTGAAAGTGACTCCTGTCTTATTTTGCTTTTCTCAAACCATGCATAGAAGTAAGTCATTATTTAAACAACCTGTAAATATGACTTTGCTGTTTTATATCTGAAACAACTTACCTATCTGAATTCTCAGGGCAGAGACCACATTTTTTCCATTGATACTCTATATAGTTTTGTACATAGTTGGTACATTACACTTGAATGGACTAGATCTGCAGAGATCAGAGTCCAGATCTCATATTATTTATCCCTTCCTATTAGATATGTAATAGGGAATATAAATTACTTGTTAATTTCACATATCTGCTTAGTGCTTGTTCGTGTAGGACCAAAATCAGTCTTGATACGTTGTCCTATCACGAAAATCAAGGATAGAAACATTCAGAAGTCAAGATCAGTTTGCTAGAGTCACAAACAGAAAGGAAGAGAATTTAAAAAGACAGTAAAAGGAGAGGAAACAATTTCATGTATTCAGCCAGTATATGAGGGAAGCTAGGTATGTGGGGAGGCTATATAGAAATATATATAGAATATCATGGGTAGAAAAGCATCCATTTTTTATATAGCTTCTTGAATGTTAGAGTAATTTACATAAAAGAATAGTCAGTTCACTCTTCACTTTAACACTGGTTTCTAAACAACAACCTGTTTATCAGTCATGATCTGATGAAGTTTTCACAGGTTTGTAGTAACATAAGAAAAAATAAGGGCAAGGTAGCACGTTTCTGATAAAATTAATTTCATTCAATATCAAGTCCATCATTTTGAGATAATGCCTTTTACACTTTTTTTAGTATTAAAATATTCTTTATTTTACATAATGATATTTAAAGTAGTATTCGTTCTCTTATTGGTGCTAACTTGACATAACAAGCTAGCAAACCATATAGTGGTCCCCACAAATTTTTGGCCCCTGACATCTAAATGTCTGGAAGTACTGATCTGTTCTCTTAGTATGTTTTAGTTATGTAAAGAAAATAGAACTACATAGAAGTAGAAGTAATGAGACTATACCTAGGGCTCTCAGGAGAGACATTTAATTGTGGCTAATTTTTAGGGAAGGAGCACCGAAGAAAATTAAAACCTAAAATTCAACCAAAAGATTCTTTGACTTTATTACCTCCTGTAACTAACTTCATGGGACTCTTCAAAGCAACAAAAAAGACCAAGGATTCCCATAATATTTTTTCTTTTTCATCTACAATTACATCAGATATCACAAATGTATCAAGACCAAGAATAGTGTGTTTGAACCAACTTGGGAAACATGTCCAGAAAGCCAACCCAGAGCCTGCAGAAGGCTAATAAAACATTTTAGAATGAAAGGATTCCTGAGCCATCTTTTAAAAATTTTTTTATTTTTAATAATGGTAATATGCAAATAACATAACTGAATAATCTTTTTGAATGAAAGTTCTTGATCTCGATACTAAGCAGATTTTCCTTAGCATGTCTACAGGAATTTAGTGTCAGGTCAGAGTTATGGTTTCAAAAAATTAGGATTTCTGTAAACAAAGGCCTGCACTTAAACCTTAAAATTTATTGACTGACATGAGTGGTATAACTAGTGTATATATCAAGAGTTAACATTTTTAAATTGGTGTGCAAGAAGCCTGATTCAAAGTAGCTCACATGGTAACATTTATTGTAATACTTTGAGATATTTAGTAATAAATATTACAAATGTATAAGTCTTCTAAGACCCAAAATGTATACCTTAAGAAACATTTTGGCTAGGCATGGTGGCTCACACCCATAATCCCAGCACTTCTGGAGGCCAAGGTGGGAGGATCACTTGAATTCAGCAGTTCAGGACCAGCCCGGGCAACATGGCAAGAGCCTGTCTCTACAAAAAATAGAAATAAAGTTGGCTGGGCATGGACATGCACACCTGTAGTCCCGGCTATTCAAGAGGCTAAGGCAGGAGGATTGCTTGAGTTCAGGAAGTCAGGGTTGCAGTGAGTTGTGATCTGGCTACTGTACTCCAGCTGAGGTCAGAGAGTGAGACCCTGTCTCAAAAAAAAAAAAAAAAAAAAAGTCTGAGAGTCAGTGGATGAAGCAGAAAAGAAAAATTAAAAAAGAAAATAAAACAAAAATTTTTTAAAAGGGAAAAAAAGTTTTATTTAAAAATAAAATCTGAAATCATTGCCCATCAAGTACATGAGTATGGCTTTTGTGGCTAACAGTGTTGCTCATTCTCCATATTTATAGTGTCTTTGGTTTGCAACTGGAAAGGGTAATAGTCTTTGTGGCTTAGAACCATATGATGTCTTTGCTCAAATAGCAATGTCTGCTTCTCCTATTTTATAGCTGCAGATAGATATGATACAAACACCTGGCTTCACTGTGTACTTTATTTTACTTACTTACTTATTTATTTATTTATTCGAGATGGAGTCTTGCTCTGTCACCCAGGCTGGAGTGCAGTGGCAGGATCTTGGCTCACTCCGCCTCCTGGGTTCAGGCAATTCTCCTGCCTCAGCCTCTTGAGTAGCTGCGGTTACAGGCGCCTGCCACCACACCTGGCTAATTTTTGTATTTTTAGTAGAGATGAGGTTTCACCATGTTGGCCAGGCTGGTCTTGAACTCCTGACATCAGGTGATCCGCCTACCTTGGCCTCCCAAAGTGCTGGGATTACAGGTATGAGCCACTGCGCCTGGCTTCACTGTGTACTTTAAAGCTCCCCTTTTCTCCATCCACTTGCTGAATTGCCTCCATACAGTCTGAGGGTCTTGCTATAATCCATTCTCTACCTGGGCTGCAGTAAGCATTGAAAGTATATATTAATTAGCGGTTATTTTCCCCGATATGTACTTAGGGCTTTCTATGTGCTAGAGTCCAAAGTCAGTGGGTGAGTGAGTGGGTGAATGAATTATTATTTATTTATTTGTCTGTTTAAGACAGGGTCTTGCTCTGTTACCCAGGTTGGACGGCAATAGTGCAATCATAGCTCACTGTAGCCTATAACTCCTGGGTTCAAAGCAATCATCCCACCTCAGCCTCCTGAGTGGCTAGGGCTACAGGTTCTCAGTCTTTGTTATGCTGAGTGTGGTGGTACAGGCGTGTAGCCCTAGCTACTCAGGAAGCTGAGGTCTCTGCTATGTTGCCCAGGCTGGTCCCGAATTCCTGGCCTCAAGTGATCCTCCTCCCTTGGCCTCCCAAAGCATTAGGATGAGCTACCATGCAAAGTTTGTGTTCTTAACCACTAAAAAATAAGAGACCTCTTTAATCTTCATATTTACTTCTAAATTATCTTAATGGTGCTGAGTCACAACTTTCTGGTGGATTGACTGAAATATAGGAAATGCGGAGGGAAATGGTCTATTTTATACTAGAAAGGGATACATATTCAAGTGATGAATTGTGTTATCCAGCACCATTAAGGATAAGAATTTATAACAATGGAAATATTAAGTTTCTGTAGATATTTTTAAAAGCCTTTAGAGAGCAACTTTTGAGCTCTGAAACTGGTTTCAGGTAGGCTCAAGACTATACTTTAGGACTATTTTCAGGTTATCAGAGTTTCTTTGCATTCAATGCCAGATATTTCCTGAGTATCTTGGCCTAGCCAGACCATCCTACCACTCCTAAAATTTATACTACTTCTCCTATAAATCTCCCCTATAAAGATTATTTTTATTGGCTGGGCATGATGGCTCACACCTGTAATCCCAGCACTTTGGGAGGCCAAGGCGGGTGGATCACATGGTCAGGAGTTCGAGACCAGCCTAGCCAGCATGGTGAAACCCCATCTCTACTAAAAATACAAAAAATGAGCTGGGCATGGTGGTGCTTGCCTGTAGTCCCAGCTACTCGGGAGGCTGAGACAGGAGAATTGCTTGAACCTGGCAGACGGAGGTTGCAGTGAGCCGAGATCGAGCCATTGCACTCCAGTCTGGACAACAGAGCGAGACTCTGTCTAAAAAAAAAAAAAAAAAAAAAAAGATTATTTTTATTACTCCACGGTTTTTTTTTTTTTAAACAATGTGTGAAAAGTCAGGCCCTGGAGGCTGAAGTTGGAGGATTACATGAGCCTAGGAGTTCTACTCCAGCCTGGGCAACATAGCAAGATGCTGTCTATAAAAATCGAAATAAAAAATTATGTATGAGAAAGGCCTCCAGATATAGAGGGTTACATTCAAAGAATTGTACATTTAGTTACTTTAATCAAGGCAGAAAAACAGTGATAAGCTTATAATATTTGCAGTACAAAGTTTGGATTAAAAAAAAATCCAAAAAAACTCCCTCATTTATTTCCATCTGATTATATACAATTTCTCAAATAACTGATGTGAAAGTATGTGGACAACTAAAGCGTACAATACATACTTGAGGGATTACTTATATGTTAAAATTGTAAAACCTCAAATTATATAGATTTTAAAAAATGCATAGACATCCTATTTACTCCAGAGATGATACCTAATAACGAACTCTTAAAATTAATAACATATTATGTTAGAGAAAGTCAGCTTTTGTCTTGATTTGGAAATGTCTGCTTTGACATGACTGATCTAAAATTGCTCTCTTGAGCACATCTGTAATCCCAGCATTTTGGGAGGCTGAGGCAGGCAGATTGCCTGAGCTCAGGAGTTCAAGACCACCCTGGGCAACATGGTGAAACCCCATCTCTACTAAAAAAACAAAAAATTAGCCAGACGTGGTGGTGGGCTCCTGTAGTCCCAGCTACTCAGGAGGCTGAAGCAGGAGAATCGCTTGAACCCAGAAGGTAGAGGTTGCATGCAGTAAGCTGAGATCACGCCACTGCAATCCAGCCTGGGTGACAGAGGGAGATTATCTCCAAAAAATAATAATGATAAAAAAAAATTAAACTGCTCTCTCATTATAAAGTCAGGTTCTTGTTTCAGTAGGAGTTAAAAAATAGCTTCTCCTATCCTGATTTGAGGAAGTGGGGGAAAGTCCTAGGCCTGTATGATACAGGGCCAGAATTCAGCAAAATTACTGTGCTTCTTTCAAAGCTTCCTTTCTACCTGCCAGCATCAATACATTCCTTTCTCAAAAGATGTTTTATTTTGGTTTTTAATAATTAAAAGAAAAAAACTATCTTCCCTTGTAAGACTTTTAACACATTATAGTATCTCAGAAGAGCAGGTAAAACATCAAATAGAAAAAAAAAAATAAAATCTTGATGAATAATTAATATTATATATCTTCTACAATTTGATACACAAAACAATAAAAACTTAATTTTAACCTTAATACTACCTTTAGGGACTTTTTTGAACAGCAGAAATCATATCTCCATTTTTAATTGTGGTACTTTTATGGAAGCTTCTCCAACTTCTTTTGATATGTCTACTCCAAGAGGACATCTACATCATAAGCAGACAAATCGTATTATTTATTTGCTTCATGATCCATCACTAGTTCTGCAGACTATTTGCTTAGAATTCTGATGGTATAAATATCAAATATTTAATTCATCATATGTGGTGATGATTCTTAAATACTTACAAATATACTGGGACCTCAAGTCAGGATAATGAAAGCTAGTCTCATTAATAAGAAATCTAAATTTTGAGATATTTTTGAAAGAAACAGTTTTGCTGTTCTCAAATACTGTAAATAAGTTAAAAACATAAAATGAAATATAAAAATAATGAAAAATATCTTATAATTCTCTACAAAGCTAAAAAGGTAAAAACATTTTTGCCACACAGCTAAAGTCAAACCTGTATCCATTCACATTTTAGAAATGTCCTAGGTTTCTATAGGTTCTTCTCTGAAGTTTCAAAAGCTGCCTTGCCCCTTTTCTACCATCCTTTGCCATTACTAGCCAAAGAGGTCTTAGTTCCTGCTGTCTTTTTCTGTTCCTCCTCAGTAACTAATTTTTGCTTCAGATTTCTGCTTTTCTACCATGGTGTCCAAGATAAGGCTTTGCTTTGACTGAATCCCAACCTGGAAAAAGCCATTATCTCCAGCCTCAACACTGCCACAAGGGGGCATAACTGAATCAGAGGATATACTCTATCTGAGACAAGGTATCAAAGGGATGCCTTCCGGTACTACTAACTCAATTCAGTTCATTCATCATCAGCATACATGTAATTCATATATAGCACAACTGTCAAGTTACGGAATATAATGCTGACAAGTTGTGTTTTTTTTTTTTTTTTTTGAGATGGAGTCTCACTCTGTCACCCGGGCTGGAGTGCAGTGGCGTGATCTCGGCTTACTGTAACCTCCACCTCGAGGATTCAGGCAATTCTCCTGCCTCAGCCTCCCGAGTAGCTGCGATTACAGGTGCCTGCCACTACGCCTGGCTAATTTTTGTATTTTCAGTAGAGACGGGGTTTCACCATGTTGGCCAGGCTGGTCTCGAACTCCTAACCTCAGATGATCTGCCCACCTCAGCCTCCCAAAGTGCTGGGATTACAGGCATGAGCCACCATGCCTGGCCAATGCTGACAAGTTTTAAAACATCAGATGAAACAGTGTTCAAAATATAATTATTTATGAAAATAATTGTCTTTTACTATTCCAGAATTAAAACAGAATTTGATAGTAATTTGAAAAACCAGCCAGGTGTGGTGGCTCACACCTGTCATCCCAGCATTTTGGGAGGCCGAGGTGGGTGGATCACTTGAGGCCTGGAGTTCGAGACCAGCCTGGCCAATGTGGCAAAACCCAAAAACTAAAAATACAAAAAATGAGCTGGGCACAGCTGTGTGAACCTGTAATTCCAGCTACTCAGGAGGCTGAGGCATGACAATCACTTGAATATGGGAAGCAGAGGTTGCAGTGAGCCGAGAATGCGCCACTGCACTCTAGCCTGGGTGACACTAAGACTCTAAAAAAAAAAAGAAAAAAAGTAAAGAAAAAACTGTGCTATTCACTGGAACTTTGATTTGGGAGAGGAAATAAGGCTTGCAGGAAACAGCTATCTTTCGGCCAATTCTCAACTGCCTGTGTAAGAGCATAATCACAACCCACTCTCACACCTGAATGCTTTCTGCATGTTTTCCTTAAATTTCCCAGCATACTTGCTGGTTCTGAGATGTTCTTGACATTGCAAAAGTCCAGGTCATGGACATAGTTTACATTCTAGTTCCAAAGGAGGGAATTCATCACCCTTACTCATGACCTGTTTCTAACTCACCTAAACTTGCCAAGATTTTTATAATTTGATACTGTAGCAAAAATATTTCTCATATGGTATCAACCTTAACTAGGTTCATGAAAGAAATTTATGTAACTTTCCTTCAAGTACCACCAGAATGTCAATGAAAACCTCATATATAAAGGCAAAATCCAGGCTTTGTCTTAAGTAATGTAACTTGCATAAAGATCATGAATGATACCACATACTTTGGTTCATAGCGGATGCCTTCTATGTCATGTAAAATGCCCAAGCCAGCACGTAGTCTTTCAATACCATTCCTAAATAAGAAGCATTAAAATAAAATCAATAGCTCCAAGATCTGAAGGAAGAAGGCTTAGTATGATAAAATGGCAATTAATATTTACATAGTTATGAGTGAAGCACGTATATCCTGTGGCTTACCATGCAATCATAATGCCATTATCAGTGCATAGTCTGGGAGGAGGACACAACAAAGTGCACTGTGTTGCATTTGTTAAAATTTCCAGAGCTCTGCGGATATAGAAGTTACTTGCGACACCACCAGATGCAACCTGAAGGAATTGAGAAAACCAAAATAACTATCATATATGGATATGAACCAAGCTGCTAATTAAACCTGGAGAAAAATATCAGCATTAAACAATAATAAACTATCCCATTTTGAGATGGGTAATGGGCAGATGACATATCTATGTAATAAAAATTTGGAAAGAAAAAAATTACTAATAATTCTAATAGCATACAAACATTACTAGCATTTTTGTATATTTTCTTCCAACCTTTCATCTAAATATTTATTTAATATAATTTCAATCATAGTACACTATTTTAGACCCTGAAATTTTTATTATTTTGTGCATTTTACTACATAACTCTGAAAAAATTATTCTTTGATATCCATGTAAAATTCCATCTATGAATTACTACCATTTAAACATTTTCCCACTTTAGTTTATAATTTTTAAATGAATAAAGTTTAAGATACAGTTAAACAGGATGTTTGTCAAGGCTTTTAAGCACAATTAAAGGGATTTTGGCTGGTACAATATAGTGGATTATCAGAACTTTATCAACATTAGTGTCACGAAAGTTGGTATACCACCTCCCACTGCTAAATTTGACTGGCTTATTAAAAAAACAAACAAACAAAGGGATTTCATCAAAGGATGAAGGAAATCCACCTATTTTTCTAAAAATAGTGATAGCAGTTACTGCATTTACTTTCTTTATTGTAAGCCCTCTTTTAAATCCAACAAGAAGATGCAAAATTAGACTTATGTGCCATAGAAGCTATACAGCTGTCCCATAAAGCTACCAAACTAGTACAAGAAATGGCTGTTAGTCTTTCCTATCCTGCATAATTTCATACTGTCAGGGCTAGCATAAGGCATAAAGATCTGTTCATCCTAAACACAAGGTCAAGGTCTTGGGAAAAAAGTAACATATTGCAAAGTGTAACTATTACTATAAAATGAGATAAAACTTACCAGTACTGCATTATTTTGAGGTAACAAGTCTCTCTGCTTACAAAACAGAATAGCCCGATGTGTTCTTTTCACAAGATGACATGCCATTGTGTGCTGTACTGTGGCAGCAATGTCTGCTGCTGAAGACAGGATTTGCCCCTTCTCAATACCTGCAGAAATGAGCAGCTATTTTTAGGCACAATCCAGGAATATTTATCTGTTCAACTTTACTAATTAGAAATATACCTTCCTCTTTTTCCTTTTTCATTATTATTTTATCAGTAACGTGTTGAAGTCCAGTAAAAGAAAAATCACAATTTTTAGCATGATGCAAGGGAGGTTTGATGTCAAAATGAAATCTATTTCCTTGTTTGGCCAAATGTTCTATGGCTTTCCCACCACTCATGGTGGAGCACTCTGGATGTTTTATTAAAGAAAGTCTTCTTGCCACCTATCAAAGAAACATATTTTTTAGAGTCATAAAATTAAATACTGTGAAACGAAAAGATGCAAAGGAAATAAATTGAAAATTACTAACAAAACAAAAAACCCCTGAATGAATAAAACATGCTATACTTTGGCAAATATAGACTATAGCTGATATTCAGGTAAGCAGACAACCCTGTTCCTTATGATGACCCGAACAATAAGAGGCCAATCACTGCCCCTGTCTATGTTTGCTCTTCTATTGGTTGGAAAATGGGCTTGAAGTTGACAATAACTGCTTAATGATGAACGTCAATAATAAGAACTTGTCCTATACTTCCTATTATTTCACTGTGGGAAGCAGTGTTTTGTTTGTTTGTTTGTTTGTTTTCCTATATATGGCAGTAGCCTCTGTAGTATTCTAAAACAAAGGGGGGTGGGGGGGGACCCTGTCTGTGGTGTAAGTAATTGTGTGATTTAATTCTGTGCATTGCATCTTTAATGTCCTTATGTTAATCTATATATATTCTCTTATTTTACCTTTTTTGCAGTATGTTAGTTTACGAAGCACGTTCTTTCACATACATTATTTGGCAAAATACATAACTGTATCTGCAAACTATTTCAGCCTTTATGTACAGATATGAACCTCTTACCATTTTATTAAGAAAGGCTAAGAATTATAAAATTGTGTACTACTCTTTCTATTTTTTCTCACCATATGTGAATTTTTTTCAGTTTACTAAGATAAAATTCAGAAATATTTAGGTGAATGGTGGTAGCACATCTATTGCTACTTAGTTGAAATGGACAACATAACAAAAAAGAATGGAGAAATTAATTCTTAATTACCTTGTCAAGCATGTCACCTGGTGCTATGTCCAAAGACTTTCCAAGAAGCAGAAAATCTGAAACTCCTTGAACTAATGCCAACAGACAGTGACCTCCAGAAATCAAAAGAACTAAAAAAGGAAATTCTACTTTATTGGTCAACCTAATAGTAAGTGCATGAGCCTCCATATGATGAATGGGAATGAATGGCTTTTTTAACTGTCCTACCAGCTGTAAGCTAAATGATAAGCCCACTCCCAGGCTTAAAGCAAGTCCTGGTTTTATGGTAGTTGCAATTGCTGAGAGGTCACTTGGAGAGACTCCACTGGCAGAAAGAGCTTCTTGTACTATTCGTTGAATATTTTCTCTGTGAAGCTGTTGAGCTGCTGGAGGAACAATCCCACCTGTTCTGAAAGAAAGAAAGACAGCATTTTGTAGTTTTAAGATTGTAAAAATGAAGAAAAATGATATTACAGCTAAAAGCATGTCTTCAAGTTAATCATTATATAGCTGAGTAAGTCAAGTATTTTCTAATTGTGTGCCTTCTAACATAGCACACTATGGTTAAAACTCAGTAAGCAGTAATTAAGGGGATAATGTTTCTGACTTTTTCAGTTTATGCACAACAGACTCCCATGGATTTGTTTGTTGACAAATGAAATCACCAAAATAATCTTGTAAAGCATTCCATACAAGTTTTGAGCATGGGAAGGACAGGAAAAAATTGTATTTAAGGAAAATTAATTTCCTTGCTGACAGAAGATTTTAAGAGAGATTACTGCGAAAGTATTTGTGTAAAATGATTATATCTTAAACTGGGCGATTGTGGGAATGGAAAGAAAGGGACAGAGAACCTTAAGAACTATAATAACTAACTGAATATAAAGGGACAGGGGGACTAAGGCATCAAAGTTTGTTCAGCTATTCAGCTGGAATGACCGGGAGAAAAGAAATTCTAAAAGAGAAACATGAAGACAGTTTTATAAAGACGACGAGTTTATTTTAAAACACATTCCACTTGAGGTCACAGCAGGATAGCAGATAGCTTGCAATCCTGAAATACAGTTTGGGAATCTGGTGCTCAGAGTTTGTAATTTGGATTTTTGGTCCATGTAGGATGGTGGATGGCCACTCCAAATATCAAGTGTAAAGAACTAAGAGACAAATTTGCTAGCAACAAATTTGCTACCATGTGATTGATTTACAATATGAGAACTGGAGCAATAAAATAGAGTCTGCAAAACGCACTGCTAGTTTCAAAAAAAAATCATCTTCCAATATTTGATGTTGCAAGATCTACTAGTTCTATGTGTAGAAATGAAAATCCTCAGTAAGTGCATTCAATGAATATTTGCTGAGTAATTAAAATATTGTTTCAGGCAATGAGGGGGATATAAATGAAATGATCTGATTTCAACACATCCACATTGTAATATAATTTTCCTTAATTCTTCAAAGCTACTTTTTCTCTTATATTCCTCATCTTTGTTAGTGGCATCAAATAACCCTTGGGTTTCAAAGTTCATCTTTACTTCCTTTCTCTCCCTCACTCTCCGCATTTAAGTTTATCACCACTCCCACTGCCAAGTCTCAAAAGCCCTCATCTCAGTCTGTTCAACAGTCTTCTAATTGTACTTTCCTAACTCTGTCCTTTGATCCTTAGAGCCCATCCTATATTGCTGCCAGAGAATACTCTAAAGCACATGCTACCAGTTATTCCCCTACTCAAAACCTTTAGTTTCATGGAATTTGGGAGACATCAAATCCAAATTCTCTCCCTGCAACTCATTTCTTCCTTCTCTGTCTTGCCTCCCTCCTTTCCTTTCTATGCCTTTTCTGTGTATTTTATCTTCCAGGGATTATGCTAAACACTAGGGCCAAATAAGAACATGGCTTTATTCTCAAAGAATTAATAATAACAATGTATTTTTGTCTATGATTTGTAGACAGTATGGAGTGTGGATTATGGAACAAAGCTAACAAAGAGGCAGGGAAACCACTGAGGCTTGAAGCTATAGCCAAGAGTCTGTGCAAAAGACAATAAGGGATTGAACTCAGTCAGTGAGAAGGGAGAGGAAAGTTGCAAAAAATATTTGGGAGATGGATTTACTATGAATGGATGACTGATTTGGATGTGGAATGGTGAGGGAGAAGTCAAGGGTGTCCTTCAGGTTTCTGGCTTGGAAGAAGGGACTCCTCCTGCCAAGTAATCCTCTATTATTGCATTTTCCATGCTGTTTCACAATGATCTGCTTACTGTCTTCTTCATTTTTACTGATGGTAGTAGTAGAACTACTATTGTTACTAAGAGCTAGCTTGTATTCAGCCCTTGCTATTCAAGAAGAATGCCCTAAAAGCTTTAAAGGAATTCACACTTAATATTCACAACATTAATTTGAGTTAGTGGTCATTATTATCATTTTACAGATAAGGAAACTGAGGCACAAAAAACTGTGCACAGTATCAAATGTAGTAAATGGTTGAACCAGAATATAAGCCTAGTAAATGGCTGAACCAGAATATAAGCCTACACTCTAACCCACTTATATGGTGAGCTGTTCAAAGGCAAGAGTCATATGTCTCATTTATATTTGTATCCCAAATGCCCTAAGTATTGCCTGGCAGCTATAGGTATTCAAAAAATGCTGAGATGAGCCAGGTGGATGGTATCACTGAAGCCTGTTTGCCCAGTAGTCTCCTCAAGTGACCTATGCTCTAGCTAAACTGAATGTCTAGTACTTTCTCACTTCTTTGTCTTTGCTGACAATGCTCACTTAGTGATATGGTTTGGATCTGTGTCCCTGCCCAAATCTCATGTAGAATGGTAATTCCCAATGTTGAAGATGGGGCCTGGTGGGAGATGACTACATCATGGGGGCGTATTTTCCCCTTGGTACTGTGTCGCGATAGTCAATGAGTTCTCATGAGATCTTGTTGTTTAAAAGTGTGGGCCGGGAGTGGTGGTTCACGCCTGTAATCCCATCACTTTGGGAGGCCGAGGTGGGTGGATCACTTGAGGTCGGGAGTTCGAGACAGCCTGACCAACATGGAGAAACCCCATCTCTACTAAAAATACAAAATTAGCTGGGCATGGTGGCGCATGCCTATAATCCCAGCTATTCTGAAGGCTGAGGGGGGAGAATCGCTTGAACCCGGGAGGCGGAGGTTGTGATGAGCCAAGATTGCACCATTGCACTCTGGTCTGGGCAACAAGAGCAAAACTCCATCTCAAAAGAAAAAAAAAAGTGTGTAGCACCTCACCCCCCCTCTCTCGGTCCTGCTCCTGCCATGTAAGACGCCTACTCCCAATTTGCCTTCCGCCATGAGTAAAAGCTCCCTGGGCCTCCCCAGAAGCAGATGCTGCCACGCTTCCTACACAGCCTGTGGAAACACGAACCAATTAAACCTCTTTTCTTTATAAATTACCCAGTCTCAGGTATTTCGTTATAGCAGTGCAAGAATGAACTAACACAGGTTATAATATTCTTTCCATCTCCATTCACTGAAGGCCTAACGAAAGGCCACTGAACACCTGTGATGTGTCAAACATTGTGTTAGGCACTAGGCATAGCATAGTGATTAATATAGACATGGCCCCTGTCACCTTGGCACTTAGACTCTACTGAGAGAGATTATACATACACAAGCAAATGTATAAATTGTGAAAGTATTACAAAGAAAATATGCAGGGTATGATGATACAGAATAAATAGGATGGGAGTACCTAATTTAGATAAAGTGGTCAGGGTAGTCCTTTCTGTGCCATTAACTTTTACATGTTCAAAAGTTCAGTGCACTCAGGAAAAACTGAAAGGACTGTGAAGCTGAGGCACGGTAATAATAGTTACTGTCTGCACCACTTGTTTTTCCTTATGCTATGCTGCCTTGCACTATTAATTCTCCTTGTAGGTCTAGACATCATGTCTCCATAATCAAGTTAAGCTTCCTTAAACCAAGGACTTTGCAGTACTTCACAGTGCCTTACTAATATCCAACACAGTCCCTTTCACATAGTTATTGTTTGAGGCTCAATCTGCCTCTTTACATACATTATTTCTAATGCCACCCTCCCGTAATTCTATGAGGCAGATGTTAATTTTCCTTTTTTTTTTTTTGAGACAGACTCTCACTCTGTCGCCCGGGCTGGAGTCCAATGGCGCGATCTCTGCTCACTGCAAGCTCCGCCTCCCGGGTTCACGCCATTCTCCTGCCTCAGCCTCCCAAGTAGCTGCGACTACAGGCGTCCGCCACCACGCCTGGCTAATTTTTTTTGTATTTTTAGTAGAGATGGGGTTTCACCATGTTAGCCAGGATGGTCTCAATCTCCTGACCTCATGGTCCACTTGCCTCGGCCTCCCAAAGTGATGCGATTACAGGCGTGAGCCACAGCGCCCAGCCAATTTTCCTATTTTACTGATGTGAAAACAGAATCAGAGAGGATATGGAACTTGCCTACAGTTACAGAGCCAATACCAAGTGCTTAATTCAGGATTCAAATACAGGACTGTGATTCCAAAATACCAGGCTTTTTCACTATTCAGATGTTGTAAATTGATAGCTTAAAGGTATACTCATCTGTAGAGTATTTTATTCTTATTTATTTATTTATTTATTTTTTTAGTATTTATTGATCATTCTTGGGTGTTTCTCGGAGAGGGGGATTTGGCAGGGCCATAGGACAATAGTGGAGAGAAGGTCAGCAGATAAACATGTGAACAAAGGTCTCTGGTTTTCCTAGGCAGAGGACTCTGCGGCCTTCTGCAGTGTTTATGTCCCTGGGTACTTGAGATTAGGGAGTGGTGATGACTCTTAACGAGTATGCTGCCTTCAAGCATCTGTCTAACAAAGCACATCTTGCACCGCCCTTAATCCATTTAACCCTGAGTTGACACAGCACATGTTTCAGAGAGCACGGGGTTGGGGGTAAGGTTATAGATCAACAGCATCCCAAGGCAGAAGGATTTTTCTTAGTATAGAACAAAATGGAGTCTCCTATGTCTACTTCTTTCTACACAGACATATTAACAATCTGATCTCTCTTTCTTTTCCCCACATTTCCCCCTTTTCTATTCGACAAAACCGCCATTGTCATCATGGCCCGTTCTCAATGAACTGTTGGGTACACCTCCCAGACGGGGTGGCAGCCGGGCAGAGGGGCTCCTCACTTCCCAGAGGTGGCGGCCAGGCGGAGGGGCCCCCACCCCTAAGACGGGGCGGCTGCCGGGCAGAGGCGCCCCCACCTCCCAGACGGGGCGGCTGCTGGGCGGGGGCGCCCCCCACCTCCCAAGAGTATTTTAATATATTCTAAATTAGCTACTAATGTAAAAAATCTGCAAATACATTAACAATCTGGATTTCCAGCCCGGCGCGGTGTCTCACGCCTGTAATCCCTGCACTTTGGGAGGCCGAGGTAGGTGGATCAAGAGGTCAGGAGATTGAGACCATCCTGGCCAACATGGTGAAACCCCGTCTCTACTAAAATGCAAAAAATCAGCTGGGCGTGGTGGCACGTGCCTGTAATCCCAGCTACTTGGGAGGCTGAGACAGGGGAATCGTTTGAACTCGAGAGGCGGAGATTGCAGTGAGCCGAGATCATGCCACTGCACTCCAGCCTGGTGACAGAGTGAGACTCTGTCTCACCAAAAAAAAAGAAAAAAAAAATCTGGATTTCCATTTTCCCTTGAAAATTATAATAATCTAATAACACAGGTCCTGCATTCCCACATGACAACTGGCTAGAGCTGAGTAGTGACCTCCTCCAGACATTTTCCACTTTTTATCTTGTCCATTTATTTAGGTAACCTGCCTGGTAGTCCTCTATAAACATCACAGTTTATAATCCTTGCACCATTCTATGCTTTAATACAACAGTGTATTATTATTTAAGTACTAATACAAGTTATATGTATAAATATGAATAGGATTTTTTTTTTCAATGACTAACAGTTTTCCTAGGACTTCAGCTGAGACCATGAAACATAGAAGTGGAGAAAAGAAGGAATGCATTACTGAAGGAAAATCAATAAATACGGAAGCTGGGAATGAGCTCAGTTTCTTTTGGCAACAGGATTAGTTAAGGTTGGGACCTTATTGTGAAGACCCTTAAAAGCCAGGATGAAGTGTTTGAGGTTTTCTATAGCAGTTATTAAAAGTGTTTGCAAAAAGGAATAAGACAGTAGCTCCTGAAAACTTTTATATATGACAAATACAAAAGAATGATTTTACTTTTTCCAAAAAAGTGGAAATGACTAAGATAATGTCTACTTACTTTAAATGAACTTCAGTTTGGGAATGTATTGCTTCTCCCAACACATTTCCAGTTTCATCCACCACAGCAGCTGCTGTATCATCACAACTAGTTTCAATTCCCAATACTATTTTATGAAGAAATAGTGTTCCAGGATGAAAATTAAAACTTCTTAAAAATTCATAAACTTTCCTTTTTGATGGTTTAAAAAAAACTCCTGCAGTCTTAGTCAAGATTAGCATACTTACTCTATAGATAATTCCTGAAAAAGAATTACAGAAACAACTTATTATTTGCAACTGACATTAGCCAGCTTATTTTTCAATATATAGTTTTACAGAATTACAGGAAAGTTTGTAAAAGTCACCAAAAGTTTGTAAAGGCTATAGCAACATGGGAATATAAATAATATTATGAATGAATATAATGTTCTCCAAGGGGGAAAACAGGGGTCAGATATAAAATTTTTTAGTATTATTATTACTTGCATGCTGTTCCTACCAAAAGACTTACTATTAAGACAGCTAATATAAAGTACAATAATTGATAGAGTCCTCTGAAAAGTGCTATTTATTTTTTGACAGCTAAAATTAAGACAAAATGTGGATTTTCTAAAAAGAATCAAACAACAAAGGCAGATGGAACAGATAAAAATACTGTTAATGTATTCCATCTCCTAAAAACATCTTTCAAAATAAAACTGGATCATTTGGTTCAAAAACAAGAGTTAACATAAACACACACACGCCAACTGCAACCTAACACCTATTTTATCCTTAATTGCAATCTTTGGAATTAAATCTCCACTTTTTGCTACAGGTTTTGTCATAACAAGGATCTTCCCAAATCCTTTTCCCCCAAAATAATAGCAGCCCATCACTAAAGCACACTAGTATTTTCACACTGCGAAGCACCTAATTTTATGCCCCCAGATCATCCGTTCTAAAACTTTCTGGGTGTTAAAGCAGGGCCTTTCTCCACCACACTAAAGGGACACGGCATCCCAGGGATTAGAGATGAGCGACCTATTTGCAGAAGGCAGTTGCGGGCAGTGCAGCCCAGACAGACACAACCTAGAGGAATTAGATTTGCATTAACAAAATCTGGACAAGGAGGATTGTACGAAGCACTACCCTTTCGGGCCAAGAAAGCTGCAGGCTGAACCCACGTGACTTGGGTAGCGCTGGTCTCCTGTCGGCTGTAAGGCGGCGACGGGCGCAAACTGGAACCGCTTTTCCAGGTGCGCAAAAGCGTCAGTGGGGTGAAGAGTGAGCAATTTCACCCACCTTCCACTTGGGCGGCAGTAGCTAGCACTTGTCTCCTTTCCCTACTAAAGACTGTCGACTGCCCTTATCGCTGCAGGAGAAAGCCCGAACCTGGCGCCCGGAAGTGATGTCATCGGAACTGTGCAAGGTCCCGTCCAGAGCTGGCTGCTGTTCCGCTAGCGAGCGGCATGCTTAGTGAAGAAAAGCTTAAAGGCCGTCTTTGCCCAAAACGCTCTCTGTGCGCACCTGCATTTCCCCCAGATTTGCAGGTGATGAGAGTTCTGTAAAATTACACAGCTAGTGACTGATCCAGCGGAGGCCGAATACAGGTTTGTCTGACTACACAACATCAAGTTCCAAACACTAAGCTACATTAAAAAGAAATTTTTTTTTTGCCCTTGGCTGGAATTTGGTTGCTACTGTGAGAAAAGGATGGGGTAGATTATTCGTCATTCATTTTTAAGGGAACTATCATCAAATCTAAACTTAGGGGTGAGGTACCTGATACTTTCATCGGAGAAATAGGATGGAATCTAGCGGCGCCCCCTAGCAGGGTTACCAAAGAACGGAAGTGTTTCTCATCGGACAGTGTAAACCGTTTCTCCCACTTCACTAGGAAGAAAGGGGCTGGCTTATTTTTACAATTAAAAAAAAAAAAAATCGGGAGACTGAGGCAGGAGAACTGCTTGAACTGGGACCCGGGAGGCGGAGGTAGCAGTGAGCCGAGATCGCGCCACTGCACTCCAGCCTGAGCTACAGAGCGAGACTCTGTCTCAAAAAAAAAAAAAAAAAAAAAAAAAAGGCTGTGGTAAATATTCAGTTGCCTTAAACCATCCTATTTTCATAATGCATTATGTTGTCCTTCCTTACTATGTACATGAAATTCAGCATGGTATGTTTTCAAAGTCTTGCACCTGCTTTTTTTTTTTTTTTTCTTTTATTGGTTTGTGAACTTTGTTTTGAACATTGGACAGATTTATTCCAAGAGTCAGGCTTTTCCCCTGCTGGTATTTAAGATTTTAGTAAGCAAGGACCTTAGAATCCACTGTTGTACAGGGCTGGCATATATACCTGCACTTTGCACGTTGTGAAGCTCTGGGTATAAAAGATGAGTAAATCCCATAACAACATGTTGGGAAGCCACAGAGTACAGTCTAGAGGTGGATACAGATAAATAAGTAAATAATTACCAGAATATGGTTGAGGTTTTTTATTTGGAACTTATGTTTTTCAAAAATTTCATTTATGTGTAACAATAATGATAAAGTGGCACTATGTACCAGGCACCTGCTGTAGATTAATTTCTTTCAAAATCCCATGAAATAGTTTCTGTCCTCATTTTACAGGCAACTGGGCCACAGAGTTTGGGTGCTTTGGAGGTCACACAACTAGGAAAAGCAAAGCTAGGATTAGAAGTCAGGACATCTGGCACTGGAGTCTGTTTTCTTAACTGCTAGAAGAGAAAATAACTCACATTTTCTCTAGGGTGCACTGTTGGCCTAAACAAGGGAAAAAAGAAAAATTAAAACCTAAAAGTTAAGAAAAATTAGTCATACGGTTAGAGAGGTCAGAGCTTATTTCTGTTATACACTGGAATCCAGTTTGAACATAAAACCTTTCACATCAGGTATTATTTTTCTTACAATTCCAATTATGTTCAGCAAGTATATCCCAATGCTCTTCTGTGCTGTCAAGACAAGCAAGATCCTATTGTGTGTGCTATCATTGGTAGATTCCTCGTCTAGGCACTCTTGGCCAGTGTTGAGTCCGAATGCTGTTATTATGTGAAACAGGAGAACTCTAGGGCACATTAGTATGGAATTTTATCTTTCCCTTGACCGAATATATGTAAAGTGGCACTTATACAAGTCCCATGTATTTAGCAAAGATATACATTTTTTATGTTCTCTATTGTAACATAGGAGAGGGTTATTGGGGGAAAGGCATGTATGCTCTCTGAGGCCTGTCTGTACTTTTATGCAGATAGTTAGAATGCCACTCATGGGCATTCTCAAAAAATATGGCCTATGTAAGTTCAACATAAATCGAGAGTTCCAGCTGAATCTAGATATGCTTATTTGGTCTCAGATATTGTGTGTCTAGCTTTCCATTTGTAGCCTTCAGAGGAAAATTTTATTATTAATACATATTATATATTAAAACATATAAGAATCTTTCTTTTTTTTTTTAGATGGAGTCTCACTCTGTTGCCAGGCTGGAGTGCAGTGGTGCCATCTCAGCTCACTACAACCTCCACCTCCGGGGTTCAAGCGATTCTCCTGCCTCAGCCTTCCGAGTAGCTGGGACTACAGGTGCCTGCCACCATTCCCAGTTAATTTTTGTATTTTTAGTAGAGATGACATTTCACTATGTTGGCCAGGCTGGTTTTGAACTCCTGACCTCGTGATCCACCTGCCTCAGCTTCCCAAAGTGCTGGGATTACAGGCATGAGCCACCACGCCTGGCCCAAATCCTATTTTTCAATATTTATTTCCTAATTATGTCCTACTAGGTTAGGTTTTATTTTCATTTGTTACATATTTATTGGGTTATTTCCTTTATGCTAGGAACTTTATTAGTATAAGGATACAGATAAGGTCCATTCTCTGTTCTCAAGAATCTGAGTCTACAGGCAGAAGACAAAATGCAGTACAGAATTATGGAAATGTGAATGGAAACTGCATTCAGAGAGGGGTATTGCTTGGGAAAAGCCACATTGGCGTGCCACAGATGTATGCCAGCCTGGCAGGCCCATAGTGTGATTACTTGAGTTTCAATATCTGATTCTTTTATAGGCTTGAAATTGGTTTATCAGGTCTGGAAGTGACTGGACTCTGGAGTACTGAGTTACCCACCACAAACTGCTAATAAAATGCTGTGTAAAAGCCATTAATACTAATGTATTATTTATGAGAAACACAATTATGGGGAAGCTAGGATAGTTGAGTTTGCTGGTCATTATCTTCCTTGTATTGACCAAATTACAATGAAGGCTAAATCCAAATTATAATCAGAAGATTGCTTGGTAAATACAGAACAGAAACAATAGAAATGTGTGTGGTGCTTTTAATGGCTAGTATTTCAAGCCTGATGCAGCCCTTTCCACTTGAGTCACATTGTCTTACATTCTTTGACTTGGCTAGTGCTAAAAATACATTGCCATTTTACTTTCTCCATTTTTTTTTTTTTTTTTTTTTTGAGACGACGTCTGGATTGCAATTGGTGTGAGGTTGGCTCACTACAACCTCTGCCTCCCGGGTTCAAGCGATTCTCCTGCCCCAGCCTCCTGAGTAGCTGGGACTACAGGTGCACGCCACCACGCCCAGCTAATTTTTGTATTTTTAGTAGAGACGGGGTTTCACCATGTTGGCCAGGATGGTCTCCATCTCTTGACCTCGTGATCCACCTGCCTCGGCCTCCCAAAGTGCTGGGATTACAGGCGTGAGCCACCACGCCCAGCCCATCCTTTCTCCTCTTAAATTTTCTTTGCTGACCAGTATCTCTTGATGTGGAACGTTCTTTCATTAGTGGTAATACTGTCAATCAGGTCTTTGGAAGATATTTTGGGTTTTGTTTGCTGAACCATTATGCTTATTTTACAAATTAACTTTTCTGAACTTTATTGTGGTAGAATTTACATAACAATTTACCATTTTGACCATTTTTAAGTTCAAAGGAACTAAGTACATTCACATTGCTATGCAACTATGACTACCATCTAGCTCCAGAACCTTTTCATCTTCTCAAACTGAAATTCTGTACCCATTAAACAATAAGCTCCCAGCCGGGCACAGTGGCTCGCGCCTGTAATCCCAGCACTTTGGGAGGCTGAGGTGGGCGGATTACCTGGAGTCAGGAGTTCGAGACCAGCCTGGCCAACATGATGGCCATCTCTACTAAGAATACAAAAATTAGCTGGTTGTGGTGATGAATGCCTGTAATCCCAGCTACGTGGGAGGCTGAGGCATGAGAATCACTTGAACCTGGGAGGCAGACGTTGCAGTGAGCTGGGATTGCACCACTGCACTCCAGCCTAGGCAACAGAAGGAGACTCCCGTCTCAAAAAAAAAAAAACAAAACAAAAACAAGAACCAATAAGCTCCCATTCCTTCTGCCTTCCAGCCCTTGGCAACCACCATTCCACTTTAAATTTGATTATTCTAGGAGTTCATAAAAGTGGGGTAACACAGTATTTGTCATTTTGTGACTGACTTATTTCACCTATCATAAAGTCTTCAAGATTCATCCAAGATGTAATATATATCAGAAGTTTCCTCCTTTTTAAGGCTGAGTAATATTCCATTGTGTGTATATGTCACATTTCTTTTAACCATTCATCCCTTGATGGACACTTGGATTGCTTCCACCTTCTGGCTATTGTGAATGCTGCTGCTGTGAACATAGATGTACAAATTATCTGTCCAAGTTCCTGCTTTTACTTCTTTTGGGTATATACCCGGAAGTGGAATTGCTGGATATAATTTTAATTTTTGAGGAATCTCCATACTCAGATGATCTTATTTCCTTATTTTTCAAGTGTGTGGGTCTATGTGTGGTTTTGGCAGGGAAGCGAGTCTCTGTTATTCCCACATACTCCCCATGACTGTTAAGTGCTGTGTTAGAAGCATATGGTTTGATGAGAATTCTAGGAGAGACAAATGTTTCAAAGGATCTCTGTATTTTCACCGGCAATAACTAATAAATCATCTGGCTTCGCTGTTCCCCCTGTAAAAATTATAAAATGGAGAAAATAATGCATGTTTTATCATCTTGGTAAAATGGTCAACATAAATGCAGAATATTTGAAAACTCCGGGGTTTTCAAAATAAGATTGTCAATAAAAATTTATAATTGCTAATTGGAAAGTCAGAAAATTTATACACTGTAAAATTCCTTTCATACTTTATATCTTAAAACTATTTTACAATGTTAATGAAGTGGCTTATTTCTTTACTAAAGTTCTTGTATTTAAGATTATTTTATCAACACATACTTATGCTGTCTGAGTGAACGGACACTGTGATAAACTGCCTTATCTGCTAAACTTAACATTATTTAGAACTTGAGAGCTACACGTAAGTCATCCCATAACCATTGTTTATCAAGGGCTTGAATAATTAGTCAAGAAATGAAATAAATTACAGTGCTACACTGAAAACCCAACTTTTTTTACTATTTTTCTAATTATGAAATATTTCAGATTTTGAAAAAATTAAATACTATAAACAACTTCTGTGAGGCCAACATTCAACTTGAGATAAAATCATCCAATACAGTTGAAGCCCTGTGTCCTATATACTTGATACATTCAGGATTCTGACTTTGATGCTTATAATTCTCATGCATTCATTTGTAGCTATATGAAAATTTTTAAACCCAACATAACAAACTACTTGCTACATCACTGGATCTTTTTTACCTGGAACTGAAATTAGGCAGTAAAATAAAAATGTGATACATCTCATTCTTTTCTTTTTGACACAACAAAGGAGAGTTTATCTCTGCTATTCTACTTACCTTCCCCTTCCCTGCGCTGCACTACTCCAAACCTCCTTTTAGGGTATTTTACCTAGATAGGTCTTTTCAGTACTGAACTTGTTCACATTGCTCACATCGACATGTACTATCCATGTTATTGTTTTAGGAATTACTCTTTTCTGTCTATCCTGTTAGAAAGACTATTAAATTGCACTGGTTGACACTGGGTTACTCCATTTGTGTTCTTCATGACTAGCATGAGGCTATTTTTGGGTGATACTTACTGATGACATATATGATATAGAAGACACAGGAGAAATATACTGCATGAAAATCAAGATTCAGCTTTAGCTAGACAAGATGAATCAATAAACTAAAATCTAACAAGATGGAGTTCTATAGGAAAAATGTCTTAAGAGTTTGGTTTAATAAATCAATTTCATATGTGAAGGGTAAGCCATAATTTAACAGCACTACATATTGAAGATTTAAGGTTTTAGTGACATAAAGTGAATCAGTGATATGTGGTTGTCAAAATAAAAAACTAAAGTGGTATTAGGCAGCATTAAAAAAAAGCATCCAGAACAGGGGAAGTGGTACTCTTTCACAGCATATCTGATCACCTCTTGTATTTAACTCTTGTGCTATATAATAAGTAATAAACTGGAACTTAGAGCAGAATTACCAGGATAGTGGGAGAAATCTGAAACCATATCATATGGAAAATGGTGAAGGCTCTAGTAATATTTATTCCATGCTGTTGACACCAATTTAAAAGTTATCTTTAAATACTTGAAGAGTTATGTAAAGATTAGATTTTTGACTCGATATACAACAAATTGTAAATTCTATTACAAAAATAGAATATACTGTCTTATAAGTCCTCTTCTATTAATATTATTATTAAAACAGAACTAAATGGAAGGGTGGTAATTAATAAAGATTCAAGCTAAGGTAGGGGGCCCGGCATGTTGGCTCATGCCTGTAATCCCAGCCTGACCAACATGAGGTTGAAGCGGGCAGATCACTTGAGGTCAGGAGTTTGAGACCAGCCTGACCAACATGGTGAAATCCCATCTCTACTAAAAATACAAAATTAGCTGGGCATGGTGGTGCACGCCCATAATCCCAGCTACTCAGGAGGCTGAGGCAGGAGAATTGCTTGAACACAGGAGGCAGAAGTTGCAGTGAGCCGGGATCACGCCACTGCACTCCAGCCTGGGCGACAAAAAAAACCCGGCTCCAGCCATCTCAAAAAAAAAAAGTTAAGGCAGGGGGTTGAATTACATGGTGTCTAAGGGCTTCTCTAACTTAGCCTCATATAGCTCTATAAGCTAATTCATATAGGTATTAGTGAAGGAGATATTATTATGCCTCTTAGGATCTTTATAATTCAATAGACAATAACACCATAAACCTAGAAAAAGGATGGGGGCAGGTCAAAGGGACACAGCAGTCAGCTTGTAAGAGCTCCTAATGGTCAAAGCTGGAGGACAATTTGAGCAACAAATCATAATAATGGATTATAACCCAAAGAATGAAATATCCATAAGCCCAGAGTATAAGTGATTTAATAAGTAAATAAAGAAGGGACAAATCTTCCTTATAAAAAGATTCTAATAAATAATTATAGAATAAGGGAAACAGAAAATCATCACTAGAACTCCACAATAGTAATTGCTGCAAGAAAGATCCACCAATGAATGCTAAAATTTGTGGCATTTCTAAGCTCATGACTCCTTAGAAATTGCCATTATGTCTCCTGACTTGAAGTCAGGAGCATTTATGGCATGGCAATTTATTTTGTTCCAAGTAATAGTCATTTTTAGATTTTGTTTTAAACTGGAATGTAGGCACCAAAGGGAAGGGAGTTGGTTTTTCTTGTCTACAAACTATCCTCAATACCTAACATAATTCCTGTTACAGAGTGGGCCCTTCAAATATCTACTGAGTAAATATTTTTAAAACATTGACGGGAGAAAGCAGTGAAGAAAGCATGTCTAAGAGGGAGACTTCTATCTCTGAAGTATGTTAAAAAAATGTAAGCCTTTTGAGAGGAACTTTAAAATAAAGAAAAATGAATGCTTTTTGTTACTTTAATTTTACGAATTCAGTTGCTTAAAAATAAACTTGAAAAATGTCATTTTAATTTTGATGACTAAATTTGGAGGGCTTTTGAAATAATATTACACCAACGAAAAATTTTATTAAATTATAGATCACCAGTTATTTAAAAATACACGGGAAAAGACAGACATACAAAGGTAGTATCATACAACTGATTTCTAAACTCAATACTTTTGAGATACAAAACAATGATCATTACCCCCAAAAGTCAGTTTACTGACACGAATTGATGTTTAAGTTGGTCTGTAACTCTTTTCATTCAATTCTGTTTATAAATGTTACTGAATTTTTAAATTTTGTCCCATATCTGAACTTTGTTTTTTTTGACATGTTTACTTCTCAAAGTAGTATATAGTTATTTCTTGCAATTAATGTCAGCAACTATAAGAAGCTTTCCTAAGTCACAAGAATTCAATGTGGTTGCTGTTCTGGAGACAGTTACCATTTTGGGCTATATATACTAAAACCCACGTATTCAAAGGCAAAATATGGGGGTTGAGAGCAGGAGGACTAAGAAAAGAAAATGTTATCTTTTACTGCAGACCTGCCAAAAAAAAGACTCCATTACTTACTTTGGTACTATTGCTAGAGACGTTGTTTCTGCCAGACCACAGGTTGGCTATATGGTTGTTCCTTTTATATTTCCTTTTTCAAATGATGACAAACTTTCCCAATTAAATTGTTCAACCAAATAAGCAGACACCTTTAAATTACCATATATTTTTTAGTTGCTTGAAAGAAATTAATTATTTTCTTAATTGGTTTAGCAGCCTTGTGTCTGGAAAAGCAGTAAAACCTGCTTTGTTCCAAAATTAGAACACTTGACTCAGAAGCTGCTTGTAAGACACTTGGCTATCTTTTATCACCAATCAGTCACAAAGGTGAACCTCCATGAACTCTGTAACGTAATAAATGTAAAAATGGCCTCATTGACCAATACACAATATTAAGCCAGCAAAACCAAAAAAGTACCCTCATAAGTGGGAACTGGCTTGTATAAAACAAGAGGATATACATCCGCTTACATAAAACGAGAAATATGTACGGTAATAAAAATAATCTTTAATAAACTTGTATAGAGAGGATTCCGGTTTACATGTAAGTCTGCTTTAAATAACCACAGCTGAATGACTGGAAATGTTCTTTTCTTAACACAATGCCCATTCATTATAAGTTAAGCTGGTCCTAGTTTCTTACAAATCTCTTATTTCCTTGAATTTATCTACTACACCCTCACTGTGATGCCCTTTAACTTATAAGCTGGGCCTGCCCAGCCTGCTTATAAAGCCCCTCTTCAGAAATGTACCAGGTGTATTAAACAGAGGCATCATTTAATGGAAATCTGCACTTCAAAACAGCACTTGAAGGACCAGCCATTGGCCCTCCAATGTAAATACTTCTCATTTCACATTATCACAGAAACAGTGCAGTTTACTAACCACTCCTTCCTTATAAGAAATTCAGTAGCTGTAAAATTTTTTTTCAGTTTCAAAACATTTCAATACTTATTAATTCCAAAGATCCGAACACCATGTAGTTGTGGCATTTTGGGAATTAGTACACTCAGGAGAGAAGCTGTGTTTAGGATGAAGTGAGTTGGATCATACTTCGTATAGAAACTTGCCAGAAAATATCTGTAGAGATAAAAGTTAAGAATATATATAACATCCAAAAATAAAATTACTTGGAACTTAAACAATTTTAAAGGTAGAAAAAAAGGCCACTAAAGCATAAATACCTAAAAATGAAACTATTTTTGAGCACTAAAACAAGAGGAATCGGTTTGGTCCCAAGTTTATCTCATTAGGAACTAAAAAATTTGTTTAATGGAGGTCCACATTTTCCATTTCTGCAATTGTATTAAATACATTTAATAGAACACACTGCATCCTTTAAAGCAAGGCTTATCAAACTAGGGTTCATATGCCCTCTGTAATTACAGGTGTAGTTCTGTATTTCCATGTATGTTTCTGAAAAAGATATGGATTCAAAGCATTCATCTTATTCTCAAAAAGTTTTGTGACTCACAGGTTAAGAACCTGTACTGTAAAGCTCCAAAAAATGGGGTTTTAGTGCATTAGTACAATTCCTATCTTTGAAGGAAATAAATATTTGGTTGCCCTTTTGATGTTCTCATTTTCATACTGTAGTTGAGCAGCTCTATAACCAGTTTAACCGGTAACCTGAAAGACACTGTTGTACCATTCCAGCTGCTTTTTAATAATCAAATGCATGTATGTTTTTGGATATCCAACTGAGAATTTGTTTTAACAAGCCCCAAGCCTAAAAAGCACCTTTAAAATCATAAATCACCAAGTCCAGAATGTTTAGTTTTACCTACAGGTATATCATATCAAGGTGCAGACACATCATCTGATTACTAACAGAATAATACAGATAAGATGTAAAGAATAAAACATCATATCTTATTTGTTCATAATTAAGAAGTTAGTTTCTATTTAGGTCTTTGCAGTACGCAAGGAA
This sequence comes from Homo sapiens, assembly GCF_000001405.40. Lineage (NCBI taxonomy): Eukaryota > Metazoa > Chordata > Mammalia > Primates > Hominidae > Homo > Homo sapiens. The sequence continues at coordinate 189,772,753 of NC_000002.12, forward strand.
AGTATTCTAATAGCCTTTACTGACATTAGTTTCTCATAAGGGAAAATAAATATCTTGTGTAACATGGTTAGAAGAGAGGAGCTACTTCCAAGTATGACAAAAAACATCACAAGAGAATTTTATACATTTTTAAAACCATCTAGATTGAGAAATTCTACAATCTTCCACCTATTTTGCAAACTACAGTCAGAAAATTCTTTCTCTAGTGTAAACCATATTCCTCAATTCTGAAATTCTTTCTTCCTGTTTTCATATATTTGAAGACTAAATTTATACTTCCTTTACTGAACAAAATAGGACATCACTTGCATTTAGCAAACTCATTTCATTTCCCACCATCATTACAGGTTGAATCTATAATCTGATAGGTTAGAAATAATAAATCTTATAATGGGTTCTTTTGACTATAACCTAGCATATGTCCCCTTTTTGTCTTTTAATTAAAACTAATTTTGTGTGTAGATTATATGAAAATTACTTGACTCTTTCAAAAACTTAGGCAATCCTCTGATGGTATGCAAAACCCAGGTGGGACTCAGTGTGACAACATTTATTTGCCAACAGCTATATTGGAAAGAGACCTGTATTACAAGATAGTAGTTTAGGGTTTAACCTGAGCTCTGAACTCCAACTAGGTGCAAGATCTTCAACAAGGTAATGCATTTGAGTCTGTTTCTTTACTTAAAAATCTGGAATATGGTGGCTCACCCTGTAATCCCAGCACTTTGGGAGGCCAAGGCAGGCGGATCACCTGAGGTGAGAAGTTCAAGACCAGCCTGGTCAACATGGTGAAACCCCATCTCTACTAAAAATACAAAAAGTAGCTGGGCACGGTGGTGCACGCCTGTAGTCCCAGCTACTGGGGAGGCTGAGGCAGGAGAATCGCTTGAACCTGGGAGGCGGAGGTTGCAGTGAGCCAAGATTATGCCACTGCACTCCGGCCTGGGCAGCAGAGCAAGACTCTTGTCTCAAAAAAAAAAAAAATTCTGGAATAACATTCCATGTCACACCTACCTGACAAATAATCAAATAAGAAAATGTGAAAGCACTGAAAAGTCCTAATGCTATATAGATGGCTTTAATGCTATTTCTTCAGTTAAGTAAGCAATTTAATCAGAATATTTGAAATCATACCTGTTGGTCAAAAATACATTTTGAGAAATATGGACACTGTATACAGGTACATCTCAGTTGGCTTTTTGTGTGATAGCTGTGATTAAAACTTCTGAATGTCAGGCATTTTACATGTATTATAATGCAATCCTCAATGTTTTACAGATGAGAAAACTGAGCTTTTGAAGAAAACGGCCAAAAGTCACAGAGCTTCAAAGGGGTTGAGCCAAAATCCAAATTCAGGGCCATCTGAATAACCAATATTTTTGTTATTACATGCATGCATGCATTCATTCACTTATTTATTTAATAAATCGGGTCTTGCTCTGTTGCCCAGACTGGAGTACAGCAGTGTGACTACAGCTCACTGCAGCCTCTTAACTCCTAGGCTCAAACCATCTTCCTGCCTCAGCTTCCCATGTAGCTTACATTTATTTTTATCAGACTACACTGACACTTTTCTTTGAGGTTAATATTATATGGGACTAAATCAATTCAAAATTTCCTCAAAGGGCTATAAATTAAGGAAAAAGAACCCCATTATTTTATGATCAGTTTATTCCTTTCACTTTAAAAATGCCTTCCCTTACTTAAATATCTAAAACCTAGTCTCTCTTAAGTTCTAACATAAGGATTTCCAACACCTCCAAGAAGTCTTTTGTGCTATGCCAGGCTGCACTGACTCTATCATGGACATTATTATGTATAGGCTAGATGGTACAGAGTATTAAGATATATGAGCAATACCTCTATTATGTGTAGGCCACTGTACTTACTGTGGGATTCAAAGCAATCCATGCACTTATAAATTCTTTGGAGAGACAAAATAAAACATATATACATTTTTTTATTTGTCAATTATACCTCAGTAAAGCTGGGGAAAAAAGGAGGAGGCATTTCAGGTAGGAGATATGATTTGAACTGATTTGAACAAAGACAGAAATAGGACTACACATGAAATATTCAAGAAATGCTGCTTAGAAGGCCAGGTAGGAGTTGGGTGGGGATAAAATATTTACATCAAGGGAAAAGGAGGTAAGAACTATTTTCTGGAAGGCCCAGAACATCAGATAGGAGAAAGAAATTAGATACCAGATACAGGTTACATGCTATCCAGGTAGATTATTATCTCATTTATTTCTTACAGCATTAGGATTGAATTAGGTATCACTAGCTAGAATTTTATATATGAGCAAACCAAGCTGGCTGAGTGATATATATAGGACTCCACCCAGGTCTATCCTATAATGAAAGCCTGACCTACTTTTTTCGAAACCATACTCTTTCCCAAGGAGTCTGAATATCTTAATAGGATAGGTGGCCAGTGAAATTCTTCTCATTATCTAAATCATTGCTTAAGGAGATTAATCTGACAGTGCAATATAGAATATGATTATGTATTTTGTGTCCTTATATGAAACCTAAGGACGGGAGCTGGAATACATTTGACCTGTATATCCTAAATGTCTAGGTGCACTGATTAGCATGTAATATTGTCTCCGTATATGTACTGACTGAAGTGAAAATTAGTTTATTATCAACTTGTTAAAAATTTTGTCTATATTTTATGTTCTATCCGAGGTGCTACTTATTGATAGAAGTTTGCAACAAAATATGTTTCTAATTCCAATTCAATCTGATGAAAAGATATCTTCCTCTTATCCAATCCTCCTCATACCTAAAAATTTCTGCCACTTACAGAATTATTGGAGAAATTGTGAAAAACTTCCGTGAAGATGTAAACTGTACTCCATAGTCCAGTTGTTCCCAATGAGTTAGGAGCCTTGCTTTACCCTGGTCAGGAGTTTCGAAAGGTGTTCCTTTCACTGCATGCAAAAATACGTACATCCCCTGGAAAACAAGCAAGGGGTTATAAATGATCAATATTAAATACAAAATTAGTCTTTGTCAGTAGCATTAACGAGGTTCCAAGCTGTTTGTGAGAGTGTGTGATTTAACTGAGTTCGTTTTAAGCTTTCATATAATAGTGAAAGGCTGTAGCCAGTTTCTTTATAATAAAATAGAACTTTCTGGGGTATAAAAATATTAAGTGAGAATTGGTAAAAGGTCAACTGAAAGTAACCTGTTTGCATTTCTATTCGTTAAACTAAAAATAATTATCAGGGTAGCTTCATATCTTTACATTCAGATTTTCTTACACTTTTCCTATTAGGAAATAGGATTACTTTTTCCCCAATGTACAGGAGGTTTTTCTTCAGGGTATATTAGTAAATTTGATGATACTTAAAAAATGATAAAGACATACAAAGTGGTAGAAAACAATAAAATGATTAAAATCTATTGGGAAAAATAGTTTTGAGATATTTAATATGATGACTGCCTTTGCCTTAATAGTTCTCTTCCAAAGCAATAAAAATAGTTTGATATAATAGGTATAATGTTCCACTCAATTCCCTTTTTAAATCGCTATTGTGCCTCAATAGCATTTCTTCTGAAGTCAGTTTTAAAAACTCAAAGCAAATAACATTACTAAAAGCCATTCTGTCAGATCATATGTCTAAACATATAATTTTTTTTATCAATAGGGTAGAAAAAAACCAATCTATAGATTTGGTTTCCTTGAGATTATGATACCCATTTAGACTCATAGGCAGTGTTTCATTCAGGATCACTGCTTGAGGCACTTTATGTAAAGGGATAATGCCTAAATATTATCATGACACAAAGTTTTTCCTTCTAGACGCCACAATGTGATGTCATTTTTCCTACCTCTACTTTTAATGATTATATAGAAAAATTAGGGATTTGAAATTTTATATGATACCAACTTAACCAAGCCCTTCCTTTCAAGGCTTAGTCTACTTCCTAGTTATTCCAGTAGGCAATTCAGAAGTCGTTTAGCTACAATAACACGTAAGCTATGGAGGAAAGGACTCATGTTCAATTGGATTTAACCCATCAAACATTTAATAGGTGGCTTATATGTACAAGACATAGGACATATATGCACATATGAAATTGAATGAGATGTACCCAAGCCTTGGAAAAATTCAATCCTCCAAGAGATGATAAGGAAAAAAAATGCATAAACAGCTAGAAAGTAGGGCAGAAATTGCTATCAAAGGTACAATCAGAATACTCAGCAAATGGCAGGGGAGGGAAAGGTTCCTTGTTGCTGTGCCAAAAGTCTTGATGCTACTTCATTACCTCATTCTTAAAGGTTCAGCTCAAATAACAATTCCTTAGAAAAACCTACCTCATTAGTAATAATTAATCTCCTCTTTATGTAGTTGTATACAATTTTATTGAAAATACGATTACAGTACAATATATCATGTTAGAGTTGTTTGCATGATGTTTGTTTTCCCATTAGCCTGAATACACTCGGAATAAGCACTGGGACACCGCAAGACATTAGACATTGGACACTTCCAACATTAGAAATGTTGGAAGATGACATTACGCCAAGGAGTATTTATTCTGTAAGCTCTACGAAACCATTTTCATATGGACTTTAAAGTGAATTATAAAACAGAAAGTATATGTTTTCAAATCATCGGGGGTATAGGACCCCCAAAAAGTTAAGAACATCTATTCCAGACCACATAGATATTAGAATATAAGAGAATAATCATCCTCTCATTATTTCCTTCAAACCATATGTACTTAACTAGTGTTTAGAATATCAAAACAGTTTATTTTATACATCTTTTCAGTGAAAAATAATAAAATCTTATCTGGCCATATATCTACTGCCCCAATATTTTTTAAATTGTTTTTATGTAAAAATGTTTGTGATTATTATTCCTCCATTAAAAGAATTAGAGAACAAAAGTATGTAGCTCATGCTTAGTCCTTACTAAATACCTACTGAATCAAAATGAATCATTCATTTTTAAAGCTGGGCCAAGAATCCTGTGAAGCATTAATACCTCTAAGGGTGAGGTAGCACTTAATAAAGCAACCACTGTAGGTTTCTACTGTACGGTTCAGAAAGGCAAATATACTGTATTTTTCTAACCGGGTGTAACAATTAGGTCCATTTTCTCATTTTTAAAGGCATTCAATATGTACTTCAGATTTTTAATTGGTTTAATGTGGCTATATTCAAAGGAAACTTAAATTTGGAGTCATGTAATTGCAACTCCGATGGCTAATTAAGTTTTTAGTGTGGTGAACTAATAACAAATAAATCAGAAGTTTGCTTTTCTATACAATGTCAATTACCAATCATTTGTCCATGGTCAACCAACTTGAAACACGGTTAGGGGGTGGTGGTGGTACAGGGATGGCATCTAAACCGTGGTGGCTCACACTCAGCACTTTGGGAGGCCGAGGCGGGCAGATCACCTGAGGTTGGGAGTTCGAGACCAGCCTGACCAACATGGTGAAACCCTGTCTGTACTAAAAATACAAAAATTAGCCAGGCATGGTGGTGCACACCTGTAATCCCAGCGACTCAGGAGGCTGAGGCAGGAGAATCGCTTGAACCCAGGAGGGGGAGGTTGCAGTGAGCCAAGATCGTGCCACTGTACTCCAGCCTGGGTGACAGAGTGAAACTCCGTCTCAAAAAAAAAGGACTAACTTATTCGGCAAACATTTAAATACGTTCTTAGCGATACAAAAATTAAAACATAAAGAGATAAACTGCTAATTATAAAACAATGACAAACACATGATAAAAGAATGCAGCATGGGAGTTGTGTAGATTCCTGGAGGGACAGTTTTGCTGTAGGAAATCAGGCAGAGCAGGAAGGAGGGAGAGGTATTAAAATAGTAGAGACTGGGCCGGGCATGGTAGCTCACACCTGTAATCCCAGCATTTTGGAAGGCCAAGGCAGGTGGATCACCTGAGGTCAGGAGTTCAAGTCCAGCCCGGCCAACATGTTGAAACCCCATCTGTACTAAAAATACAAAAATTAGCCAGGTGTAGTGGCACATGCCTGTAGTCCCATCTGTTCAGGACGCTGAGGCAGGAGAATTGCTTGAACCTGGGAGGTGCAGGTTGCAGTGAGCCAAGATTGCGCCACTGCACTCCAGCCTGGATGACACAGAGAGACTCCATCTCAAAAAAAATAAAAGTAGACCCTGAGTACTATGGCTCACTCATGCTTTGGGAGGCTGAGACAGGAGGATCACTTGAGGTCAGGAGTTTGAGACTAGACTGGGTAACACAGCAAGACCCCCATCTCAATCAGTCAATCAGCTGAGCATGGTGGCACACACCTATAGTCCTAGCTACTTGGAAGGCTGAGGCAGGAAGATCACTTGAGACCAGGAGTTCGAGGCTGCAGTGAGCTATGATCATGCCACTGCACTCCAGCCTGGGTAACAGAGTGAGACCCTGTCTCTGTAAGAAAAACAAAATGGCTGGGCATGCTGGCTCATGCCTGTAATCCCAGCACTTTTGGAGGATGGTGCAGAAGGACTGCTTGAGGCCAGGAGTTCAAGACCAGCCTGGGCAACATAGTGAGAGCCTATCACTATTAAAATAAAAACAAATTAGCCGGGTGTGGTGGCATGTGCCTGCAGTCCTCAAATTTATTGGGAAGCTAAGGTGGGAGGAGCTATGATCACGCCAGTCTCTTAAAAACAAAAGAGTACTTGGTCCAGGTGAAAAGAAAATATAGTAGAAAAGCTTAAGCCAAAACAATAAAATGAGAGCAAGATGATTTTCTTTATTGCTAGTGTATAGCCTCTATTTAGAGATGGTTGAGACAAGGTGAAGTCTCCTTGTTTCTGCACTGTTATCAACTGGTCTTATATGTCACACAAGAAACTTGGATTTTACCATGACTGCAATGGATGATCACTGAATGACTTAGAGTATGACTTGAGCAAACATGCATTTTTAAAACATCACTCTGCCAAGCTGGAATGGAGAAGGGTAGAGAAGCATCAAGAAGACTATTTGATTTATCTGAGTAATTTACTTGAGGAAAAAATGAGGGTATGGGGATCAAGTTGAGAGTAAAGCAGTAGAAGACAGTGCTCTGAGCAAATGGATATGGAATATAAAGGAAAAGAAGTTATCCTAAGACTTAGGTGACCTTGTATTCTTGTTTGCATACGATGGTTCTGATTATACCTAATCTCTTGTAGTAGTTATTACCAAAGCTCCATTTTACTCTCTAAACAGCCTGTTTGGACTATACATTACAGGTTGAGTATTCCTTATCCACAATGCTTTGGAGCAGAAGTGTTTCAGATTTTGGATTGTTTTGGATTTTGGAATATCGGCATATACATAATGAGATATCTTGGGGACAGGGCCCAAGTCTAAACATGAAATTCATTTATGTTTCATATACATCATACACACACAGCCTAAAGATAATTTTATATAGTATCTTTAATAATTTTGTGCATGAAATAAAGTTTTGATTGCATTTTAATTGCAACCTGTCAGGAAGTCAGGTATGGAATTTTCCGCTTGTGGCACAACACTGGTGCTAAAAAAGTTTCTAATTTTAGAACATTTTCTATTTTGGGTTTCTGATTAGGGATGCTCAACCTGTATATTAATTGCTTTACCATTAACATTCAGCTGTCTGGCTTGGCCTTTAGATAAGATTAGTAGTGAAGCCAGAGGATCAGATTGTGGGTGGTAAGGGAGTAATCAGGAATAAGATAAGTTCCATTTATACTTGTTTGGTTTAAGGTGCAAAGTAATCTGGTGATAAAAATAAATAGGAGCATCCTTATTCTACAGGTAGAAACTGAAAATATGGGTAGATGAAGTAACCTAGGTAGAATACATAGCATAAGAAGAGATGAAGAAAAGAACCTTGGGAATAGAAATATTTAAGAGAGGAAAAGAGAAGGAAGACCCCATAAGAAGAAAGAGAAGGTCAGAAATATATGCCGGTGAAAGTGATCCTATAGAAGCCAAAGGAAGTTTCAACAAAAGTGAGATGATTAGTGTAAAATATTTCAGAGAAGTCACTATTTAAAAGAAAACATCGTTTGCTCTTACAAAGTCTATCACATAAAATGGACTAAATGGACACATATTTATCATGTCTACCAGCACATCATTCTTATCCTCCTCCAGTCAACTTCAAATATACTCCAGAAGATAGAAAATAAATATTATTGTTATTATTTGAGGCAGGGTCTCACTGTCACCCAGGCTGGAGTGCAGTGGCACGATCTTGGCTCACTGCAACCTCCACCTCCCAGGCTCAAGCGATTCTCCTACCTCAGCCTCCCGAATAGCTGGGACTATAGATGTGCTGCCACCATGCCAGGCTAAGGTTTTGTATTTTTTGTAGAGACAGAATTTCAGGCTTCACCATGTTGCCCAGGCTGGTCTTGAAATCCTGAGCTCAAGTGATCTGTCCACCTCAGCCTCCCAAAGCACTGGGATTACAGGCATGAGCCACCGTGACTGGCCAAAATAAATATTAATTTTTAAAAATCAATTTCTCCTGTTTTCCTGTCTTAATGCTTTAAGTTCATTTTAAAAAATATCTTTCAACAAATGTACTGCTAAACTGGATTCAATTAAAATCCTCAACTAACTGTATTTCCTCCTTTTCACGTTACTTTAATGGGTTATTAAAGACAAGAAAAGTCGCTGTCAAGATTTTTTGTTTTTGTAAAAGGCAATTTCCAGGGCTGCATAATATGGTCAGTACAGTCAATCAAAACTTTGATACTCTGTAGAGCTAACACAAGAGAGTAACAAGCAGCAGCTAAGGCACCATAAGATCCTGAATCACATAAGATGATTAAGTTCAAAACTTAAATACTGAAACAGTGAAGTATACTTACACTATTTAGATAGATAAGTTAACAAGGATTGAAACTAAAATGATCTATTTTCTAGATTCTATACAATGAGAAAAAAAAAAGTCTTACTTAGAAAAAGGACCAATGTTGAAATAAAGCGTGAAAGAAAAAAGAAAATTCTATCCCAGATTAGAATTCTTCAAAATTAAGTCTTATATACTAAAAACTACTAAACTATACACTTTAAATGGGTGGATTTTATTGCATGTGAATTATATCTCAAAAAAGCTGTTAAAAAAACTAAGTTGTATACAACACAAAACCTTAAGCTTCTTTAAAAACTATGTTTAAACACACATGTCATAAAGTTTACCATCTTAGACACTTTTTTTTTTTTTTTGAGACGAAATCTCACTCTGTCACCTAGGCTGGAGTACAGTGGAATGATCTCGGCTCATTGCAACCTCTGCCTCCCAGGTTCAAGCGATTCTCCTGCCTCAGCCTCCCGAGTAGCTGGGACTACAGGCATGCGCCACCATGCCCGGCTAATTTTTGTATTTTTAGTAGAGATGAGGTTTCACCATGTTGGCCAGGCTGGTCTTGAACTCCTGACCTTGTGATCTGCCTGCCTTGGCCTCCCAAAGTGCTGGGACTTTAAATGTACAGTTGAGTGGTATTAAAAACATTCATATTGTTGTGCAATCATCACCATTACCATCCACATCCAGAACTCTCTTCATCTTGCAAAACCAAAAACTCTGTACCCATTAAGCAATAACTTTCCATTCCTTCCTCCCCTTAATTTCCGGCAACCACTAAACTTAAAACTTTTAAGTGTTTAGTATAATGTGAAATTCTTACCAGATTATGTATAATATTTGTTAAAGTCCAAGCAACAGGAACACTGAAGAAGGGAATGCTGAGTAAGACAATATGAAGCAAGCCAACTCCCAATGCATATGTCAGCCACATACCCCGGCTGTTCATGACACGGGTATTTGGATTCACTTCACTGTGGGCAACTCCAACGTTCATGTTTGCTCTGTAGGAAGTAATGAAATGAATCAACACTGATACAACTGGCAACCTAACACCCCCAATTCTGACATGACAAGGTACCTGTGTTGCGAGGATTATTTTTTCCTAGTTACTTTGAAGTAGCACACAAACACCATCCAAAATATGCTACTTGTAGATGCTGATGACAGCAGTAAAGAATCTTCAGCATTTGACTTTAGGGTAAGACAAGACTTGTTATTATGGTTCTATTTGAAAAAATAGTTACAATGCCTTTCCAAAAGTTTGTTTTCTAGCATGTTGTTTTACTGAATAGGAAAATTCAAACTGAAAGAGAAAACCTACATTTTCTTATATCATGAGAGCAAAGTGAAAAGCCAAAAGCTAAATTTACCAACATAATAAATTTATATTAAAAAGAAAAAGCAGAACTCACCGAGCCAGTGTGTCAAGTAGTCAGACTCTTATATTTGACTTAATGTATCCATAAAGAATGGTCAGAGTTCAGATCACTTCTTTCTGAATACTCAATGTGGAAGGTACATGCTGTTGACATAATGTGGTGTAAAATTTACATGGTCAAGGGATAATGTTTGTTTCTCAATTTTGTGATTAAACTAGGTGAAAATAAGGAGTCTTCTGAATATTTCTCTAGTCAAATCAAAAACTTCAGTTTTCTTTCTTCTTTTTAAAAAAGGTTTTCCCTTCTCCTTTCCATTGAAGATGGACTCCAAAGGAAGAATTGATAATAGTTCTCAGTTCTTTTAATGATGGTGTTTACTTGAGACTAAGAATTGCTTAAAATAAAACTGTCCTGAAGAACACCTATCATCCGACGGAGGGGGAAAACGAGGCTAGATTATATTTGGAACAGCTGTGATTTTAAAATACACAAACGCTTGTATTACGGAGTTAGCATACAGAGAGGAATTTCTCATAACCCCTTCCAGCAAATGTTTCCGGAGTATAATGCTCCTTCCGCTCTAGAGACCCATAGAACAGGCATCAAGGGTTAAGGGGACGAAAAGTTAGTTACACTAAGACCGCTAAAGCCTCCAATTTATATGTGTAAATCTTTCGTCTAAACACCCATGATTTATCATACATTAAACTATTATGTCATACTTAGAACATGCCAACACTCAAGATAGTTTTCCCACGTTCCACAGGATGGAGGCCTGAAATTTACATCTCAGCTGGAAGGCAAAGCTGGTGCGGTACTCATCCTATTCCAACCAGAAAACCTTTTCCCAGCAGGTTTGCCGCGCTGCCCACGACTGGCAAACAATGACCTTACAGACCGTGAAGAGGCTGTTGGCTCTGCCCTCGCCGGTGCCTCCGAAGACGGCGACCCGCAGCGGCCCCTCAGGGGAGTCCCCCCTGCTAGACCGACAGCCCGAGCGCTCTGGGCCAGAGAAAACTCAGCAAAAGCCGCCGCTGCTACCACCTCAGCGCCTCCCCCAACCCGCCCCTTCCTTCTCGCGGCCGCACGTCACGTCAGGACCCTGGCAAGACAACGAGGATTTGCGTAGGGGGCGAGCCTCTGAGGCCACTTGGCTCTTACGGCCACGCAGGGCGCCGCAGATGCAGCCGGAGCCCGCTTTTCCCTCTCAGGACGACCCCTAGGCCGCCAGCAGTTCCCTACCGACGAAGGCGACTGTACAGCGTCCACCGCGTTCGTGCCCACTTACCCGCCGCCCCACTCCGGGCCGCCGGCTCGCAGCAGGACCAGCCCGGCTGCTACGGCCGCGGATACACGCCCTCAGGCCCGGCGCTGCGCAGCTTGCGGAAGCTTTCCCGGACAGACTCGCTGCCAGCGGATTGGCTGCGAGCAGCGCCAATCTCACGTTGCCCCCGGGCGAGGCGGGACTCAGTGCCGCGCTCTCTGCACCCGCTCTGCCGCGCGCGTGCGTGCTGGGTGCGGGTGCGGGTGCGGGGTTGGGCCTGCGCATCGGGTGAGACGCTGGCTGCTTGCGGCTAGTGGATGGTAATTGCCTGCCTCGCGCTAGCAGGAAGGTAGTGTGGTGTGACTAACGGGTATTTATTATATCCTCGATGGCTCGAGGGCCCCGTCCCCTCTACTCGTCCTGGTCCGGGCGCGAACGCTATAGGGCAGCTAAGGGCGCTCCCCGCGGGGCGGGAAGCGAAGCCGGGCTTGCGGGCGCGCACACGTGGAACGCGTTTTCTGAGCAGGTCTGGGCTCCGGGGTGTTCTGGCTTGGTCTTTGTTGCGTCCCATTCCCCAGACCCTTCTGGGTGGAGGACTTAAAATTTGTTTTCCAGGCAGCAGATTTAACCCATGGCAACTGTAACTCATCTTGTGTGAGTGGCGGTTTATAGTATTGTATCCTGTGGCATCATACAAGGGGTGCAAGTTAAACTCTTTAAAGTTAATCACGATTTTTGCTCTTGGCCTTCTGGGTTTATCCGTACGCCGAAGACAGGCACCTGTATTACATGCTAAGGAAATGTGAATACCAAAAATTGATCCTGAGGAAAGTCTTGATTAGGTTTTTTTGGAATCGCCTTTGAAATGTAATTTCCCTCACCTTGGCAGTGCAGAAAGTTTGTGATTTTTATTGCCGAAATAGCTTTCAACATTTTGAAATTGACTTAAGAGAATGTTGGCTGTGTATGTCTGTATCTTGCATTTCTGTTGGCTTTGTGAACCTAATTGTTTTGGATTTAGTCTGATCTTTAAATAAATGATTTCTTTGTGTTCTCTCTAATGGAAGTCTGTGAGTTCTCTGATCTTTACTTCTTTTTTAGGCACACCTGTTGTCCTTAACTGACTTTCCGGGTCATCAGCACTTCTTCAGAAGTGTTCCTTTTCCCTCCCAGCAAATATGGAAGACTGACTATCCTGATATTCCCAGACATTCTTTGCTGTGATTTGTAAGCCCGATATAAACCCTTCCATTTGGTACACATATGGTATAGAGTGCTATATTCCAGGGGCTATGCTAGCGATGTGTGATTGATATAAAACCCCTGTCCTCAAAGAACTCTGAGTCAGGAGCAACAGACAGAAACACATATTAATAGAGTAACTTGTGATGAGGTTAATTAGAAATGAGGTAAAGGGGGACTGCAGGGGAAGGAATACCTAATCTGTTGGCAGGTGAAGGAAAGGAGGCTGCAGCAGGGAAGAAAGGCTTGAAGAGTTGATACTGAACTAAATCTGGAAGGATGATTAGAAGTCAGCTGAGAGAGAACCATGTGAGCTGAGGAAGGAGTGAGTGTCACCATGTTAAGAGAGACAAGTTGGCTGGGCACGGTGGCTCACACCTGTAATCCCAGCACTTTGGGAGGCCAAGGCGGGCGGATCACCTGAGGTCAGGAGTTCGAGACCAGCCTGGCCAACATGGTGAAACCCTGTCTCTACTAAAAATACGAAAATTAGCCGGGCGTGGTAGTGCGCTCCTGTAATCCCAGCTACTTGCAGGGCTGGGACAGGAGAATTGCTTGAACCTGGGAGGCAGAGGTTGCAGTGAGCCAAAATCGCTGCACTCTGGCCTGGGCAACAAAGTGAGACCCTGTCACAAAAAATAAAAAATAAAAAAAGACGAGCTGTGCAGTATGATCGCCCTAGAGCACATTTGGGCAACGATGGGATGACTGGGAGAGGAGGCAAAAATCCAGTTGTTAAGAAGTTTGTACTTAACCTGGTTGGCAATTGGAAACCTTTATAAAAATTTTAAGTGGGGCAGCAACATGATGAAATTTAAATACAGAAAGAACCCTATAGGTGGTTGAGATTCGAGTCAAAATATCAATTAGGTGGTTATTGCAGTAGTTCAGGAGAGAAAGGCCGAATGGAGGCAGTACAAAGAGGAGAGGACTAGTTTGGGAAACATTTAGATAGTAGGAGAGAGATGACTGGGTGGCAGGATGTAGAGAGCGAGTAGAATTTCTAGGATGACTTCAAGGTTTCTAATTTTGCTTTATGTGCTTGGATGGAAGGTGTTTGAGAGCATGGCCTTTGGAGTCAAACATGCCAAGGTGTGCATCTGCCACTTAATAGTTTTGTGATCTTGAGCAAGTTACCATGCCTTTAAATCCTATTTGGTGATAAAGGATGATAGAATACGTAGAGTTGTTGTGAGGATTAAATAGGATAATATATATAAAATTCTCATGTTGGCTATTACTTTTATTATCAAACAAGAAATATAGGAAGAAAGTTGATTAGAGGCCAGTCGTGGTGGCTCACGCCTGTAATCCCAGCACTTTGGGAGGCCGAGGCGGGCGGATCACCTGAGGTCAGGAGTTTGAGACCAGCCTGGCCAACATGGTGAAACCTTGGCTCTACTAAAAATACAAAAAATTAGCCAGGTGTGGTGGCGGGCACCTGTAATCCCAGCTACTCGGGAGGCTGAGGCAGGAGAATCGCTTGAACCCGGGAGGTGGAGGCTGCAGTGAGCGGAGATTGTGCCATTGCATTTCAGCCTGGGCAACAAGAGCGAAACCTGAAACTCTGTCTCAAAAAAAAGAAAGAGAAAGATTCTCTGATCAGTTTGGGACATGTTATGTTTAGGTTGCCTTCAGGTCATCTAAATGATGATATTTAGAAGGTAGATGGAAGTAAGGCCCTAAAGTCCAGAAAAAAAGTGTGAGATACAGGTGAGCTGGAGGATGGTGTGGAAGCCAATTGAAATTATGTATATAAAGGGAAGGAGGATACTTTTTCTAATGTTTGCGTTAGCATAAGAAAGATGCTGATAAATTATATTTAGTGGTCCTTCATTAATATTCATGAAGTGAAGGGCTTGCCATGGGTGAAGCATTTGATTGTTCTGCCTGGCATCCAGAGATACATAATACATAATTTCCTACATTCAAAAGTTGTACAGCAGGAAAAAAAAAGTTTTACAGTTCAGGACAAAGATGTAGTAGGTTTAATTATACAATTTAATTAATTTAATCTTTACAGTTATCTTACATTGATTATAGGACAAAATGATATTTGATATTTTGAATATATTAGATTATCCAAATACGTAATTAAGATTAACTTCACTTTTTTATTTTTTTTTTAGCTTTTTTAATGTGAGTACTAGAAAATTTTAAATGATGTATGTACATTATAGTTCTGTTGAACAGTGCTGGATAGAGTACTGGTTAAAATGGCAGGCTCTGAAATCACGCTACTTTGGTTTTATCCTAGCTCTTACTAACAGCTATATGATACTGAGGAAATTAAACTTTCTAAAACTCAATCAGCTAATCTATAAAATGGAGACAATACAGATATCATATGCTTATGAATTTGGTAGAGACACAAATATTCAGACTGTAGCAATTAGGAGAGAAGAAAGATGACATGACATGGAAGAAGAGTATGAAAAGAGATGCAGACATCTTAAGACCAGAGGATGCAATGGGATGGGGTAGATAAAGTGTGACAGAATTCATGCTATGAATTGCCATGATCTTAGTAAACTAGAAGAATGAGGAATATTGGGATGCAATTATAGAGATTTAAAAAAAAAAGATCTTGGATTTGGCATTGTAGGAGATGAGGTATTATAGGAAACGAGACAAAGATGATGAGATTAAGACTGCTCAGAAGGAGTCAGTCTAAGTTTATACCCCAAAGTTTTGTTGATCAGTGTTTTTCTTAGATCCTTGGGATTTCCTAGCTGAGGTGGAAGACTTCTTGAACCCAGGCCTAATGTGTGAGCCCCTTTGGGGTAGGGGTTAGAGGTGGGGGGATTGTTCATTTAGGGGTTTAGAGGAGCTCAGTTTAGTCCCAGTATCCTGGGATGTTTTTAGCACTTATATGCCAAACACTGTAATACATTATTTATATATACTACTTTATTTACTTCTCACCACAATCATATGATATCATTATTAGATCCATTTTATAGATTAGGTGATTGCATTTTAGAGAGTTTAATTTCCTCAGTGTTACATATCTGTTAGTGTAAGAGCTAGGATAAAACCAAAGTAGTGTGATTTCAGAGCCTGCCATTTTAACCACTGCTCTATCCAGCACTGTTCAATGGAACTATAAGCCACATCTATCATTTTAAATTTTCTAGTAGTCACATTAAACAGATTTTTTAAAAGGTTAGTTTTAATAATATATTTTATGTAATCTAGTGTATCCAAATAGGATAAAATCATTTCATCCTATAATCAATGTAAAAAATTGATATGATTTTTATTAATGCTGAGTTGGAAATTGAGTGTGTATTAGCACATCTCAATTTGGACTACCCACGTTTCTAGTGCTCTAGTGTTCAGTAAGCTACATATGACTGATGGCTACCATATTGGACAGTGCAGATCTGTCCCTTAGATCGAGGTAATTCTGAAGCTTTGGAAAAGTGCAGAGGTGCCTTTTGCTTGTGACAGCACTAATTTGTGTGAATGTTATGATGATGGAGT
The DNA here is from genome assembly GCF_000001405.40 of Homo sapiens. Classification (NCBI taxonomy): domain Eukaryota; kingdom Metazoa; phylum Chordata; class Mammalia; order Primates; family Hominidae; genus Homo; species Homo sapiens. Next base: position 189,788,973 of record NC_000002.12, read on the forward strand.
AGCCTATAGTCCACTGTTTCCCTGCTTGATTGGGACAGGAAAGCCTCCCAGCTGTTGAGAACAACAAAAACAACTATTGAAAGGTAGTTGTTCACAGCTGCTCTCCTGAGAACTGGGTACCCCAAAACTAAATCAAATATATAGATTAATTAGAGGGTAGTTAGTATTTAAAAAGAATTCTCAGCATTCCTTTACATAATGATCTCTTATTATAATACTCTACATTTTATAAGGCCTTATCATTTGTAGAACAACACTTTATATATTCTTCCTTATTTGATTCTTCACAGTAAACCAGTGAGGTATTAGCTCCATCTTTACAGATGATGAATTGATTTATGGAGGGATTTGAGTGATTTGCTCCATTTTTATAGATGACAAATTGATTTATGGAGGGATTTCAGTGATTTGCTGAGTTTATGTGTAATAAAGGTGAACCCCCAATACCTATTTTATAGGCTCTGGTCTGTTACATTTTTTTCATTGTGCCAATCACCTTTGCCTTCTATATAGCAAAATATACTGTATTTATGAACTGTGATCAGTTAACACTCTCAGAACCCAATATGTCGGCCTCTTCCCAGAAGTGCATTCCTTAAACTCCTGTGTAATTGTTATAGTGCCTGTACTCCATTTCCTACTCAATTACTGAGTCTTTCTTTACATGTCTTTGTCTTATGCTGCCTGAGAAATAATCCTAAACTGATGACTTTTTGTTGTGTTTGTTTTCGGTGTTGCTATTTTATTTGCACCTAGATTGCATAGGATTAAATCATCATAGGAGCATGTAACTAGTCATGGGAAACAAAGTACCTTGAGTCCACCCCCAGCCCCCATTTTTTTTGGTCCAATAAAATCTTGATTCTGCAGAGGAATTGCATGTTGTCAAGCTTGTGCTTATTTTCCTGTAATCTTTTCTGAAATTAGGCAATAAGATGCAAAAAGCACCCCCCTCCCTGCATGCTTTACAGATGGAATTTCCATAGGACGTTTTTGGATTTTTCGTTTGTTTGAACAAAGGATTTCCAGTTACCAACAGAGATTTTGGATCTGCAGGTTGGATCTATAAAGGACCTCAAATGCCAACTTAGAGATTTGAGCTTTATATTATTGGCTTTGAGGAGCCACATGATTAAAATAATGTCGTAGGCAGAATAATATAGAGGATAGTTATCTGACATGTCTGGTATGAGACCAGTTCAGATTAACAGTAATCCTAACTCTAAAGGAGCTCAGTGATTGAAAAAGACATTATAATTCATCAGAATGTATGGATGACTAATGATGTTTAAATGAGACTGTTGGTAAGGCACATAACTGATTGTCATTATCCACTTCCCAAAGTTATATTATCACTTGGTCATTCTCAGCCAACATTACACTCATTATAGCACAATTGTTCTTATCATTATTCAGTTATTACCATAGCATTTGTTTTTAAGAAATCTTTTTAGAACATGCATGTCTTGATTCCAGTATCTGTGAGCTTTCGGTGATCTACTGTAATGAGTTTGGACCAAGATGTAGTTGGCACAGACATTTAAGGAAATATATTTGAAATAAAAATCTCAAAAGTACCTGGGCCCAGTTACTTACTCAGCTTTCAGCCTCTTAAATGTCCATAATAATAAGTATAATGTTTTATTCATAGTACCTACTTTCTATGGTTTAGCGGTTTAAATGCAATCCTATATGTAAAGTGTTTAGCATACTATATATTTAATGTAGTAGTTGCTGTTCTTATTGTAATCATCATTTTAATAAACGGCAGTATAGACTGGGTGACCAAAGGTGAAGAGTCATTGAGGCTAATTAGGAAATTATATTGGGAACTAAATGTGAGAAATACTGAGAAAAGAATTGATAGGATTTAGGAGTTGATTAGATTTGAGTCAGGGTGAATGGATAATTCCTGTAGGAAAGTTGTGGGTTTAGGGTAGGGATTGGTAATTATACCCGGAGTTTGAGCTAGTGATTATTTCAGCAGGCAGTTGGAAATACAGAGTTCGAGTTTGCAAGAAAAGTCAGAATATAATTAGTCACACAAAATCCTGGAAGAAATTAGAAAAAAAGCAATTTCTTCCTCTAATGTTATTGTGGACTTTTTTTTTTTAGGTGCTTGTGGCAGAATATTGTGGATTTTTTGAACCCATTTTTGGTTATTTTTATTCATAGGCATTTATATGTATTCATATATTAGGTATCAATAGAGGAATTGTTGAAGGACTTGCCTTAGCTCTGCCTCTTAATAACTGGATGACCTTGGACAAGTTTTCTAATTTCTTTATGCCTTAGTAGTTTTATAAAATTGAGGTGATAATGGCACCTATTTTCATAGGGTAATAATAAGAAATAGAAGACTTATGGCTGGGCGTGGTGGCTCACGCCTGTAATCTCAGTACTTTGGGAGGCCAAGGCAGGCGGATCAGTTGGGGTCAGGAGTTTGAGACCAGCCTGACCAACTTGGCAAAACCCCATTTCTACTAAAAATGTAAAAATTAGCCAGGTGTCCTGGTGGGCACCTGTAATCCCAGCTACTCTGGAGGCTGGGGCAGGGGTGGCTGAACCTGGGAGGCAGAGGTTGCAGTGAGTCGAGATCACGCCACTGCACTCCAGCCTGGGTGACAGCGAGATTTCATCTCCAAAAAAAAAAAAAGAAGAAATAGAAGACTTAATATTGTATGTGCTAACAGTTGAGCGTAGCATACAGTAAGTCTCAGTGAAGATGATCTATTTTCATCTGTCATTATTATTGCCATTTGTCCTGTTGGTCAGGAATGCTTAACAATTCTTACAAGTTGCATTTTTATCTTCTAGCTGCTCTGTTAAAAGCGAAAATGAAACAATTGCCTGCGGCAACAGTTCGACTCCTTTCAAGTTCTCAGATCATCACTTCGGTGGTCAGTGTTGTAAAAGAGCTTATTGAAAACTCCTTGGATGCTGGTGCCACAAGCGTAGATGTTAAACTGGTGAGTGTCCTTGAGAACCCAAATACCTTTAAGACAAAGAAAAGGGTCTGGACACATGTTTTCTCCTTAAACTGTTACCTTTATTTTATTTCTTTACACCAATAAATTATTCTTAGGACATTGGACCCTTTGTCTTAAGAGTAAATCCTTAAAAATAAATTTTAATTTAAATTAACATTATAGTAACACTAAAGGAAATATAAAAGAAAACATGTTCTTTAGGTCTCCATCACCTAAGACATCTAATGTTTGTATTTTCTACAAATATTGGTTATTCATATTTCCTTGTTTTAGGGATTTACTTTTGCATTTTATTTTTTCCATCTAATCTAATTTCAAACCATTTCCCTTGTTACTTTTTTCACATTTTAAAATTTAAGTGCTGTATATTAAATCATTTGAGTAAATATGGCCTATATCACTCATTATGATTTATTGCAATTAGTTTCCATGACTAGTTCCCCTGTTCTAAATTGCTAACACATAGAGATATGGTCTATTTTATTCATTTTTGTGTCCTCTGTACCTGGCTAGTACCTAGTATGCACTAGGAAGGTAAATAAATCTGATTGAATGTAAGAATACATTTTTTAAAATCTCTTAATTATCAGATATTTATGCTATTTCTAGTGTTATAGAACTAGAAACAATGCTGATAGAAATATATTTGTAGGAAAGGGACCTAACTTTTTCTTATCTACCAGATAAGATTCTATGAGATAAACATGTATATATATATGGACACAAATATATATATATATATATATATATATATATATGTAAAATAAAATCCCTTCTATAAATCACTTCTCATAAAACACTGTGACTTAACTACTACTATACCCATTTTATTTTTTATTTATTTATTTATTTATTTTTTATTTTTTTGAGGCAGAGTCTCGCTTTTTCGCCCAGGCTGGAGTGCAATGGCGCGATCTCAGCTTACTGCACTCTCCCTCCCCGGTTCATGCAATTCTCCTGCCCCAGCCTCCTGAATAGCTGGGATTACAGGCACCTGTTACCACGCCTGGCAAATTTTTGTATTTTTAGTAGAGATGGGGTTTCGCCATGTCGGCCAGTCTGGTCTTGAACTCCTGACCTCAGGTGATCCGCCCACCTCGGCCTCCCAAAGTGTTGGGATTACAGGCGTGAGCCACTCATGCCCAGCCATACTATACCCATTTTACAGATAATGTTCTGAGAAGTTTCCCAAAGTCTCATAATTAGTAAGTAGTGGAGCTAAGACTAGAATCCAGGTCTTTCTGACTCTTAAAACCCATTCTTGATCTTCTCTCTGTGCCAGTGGTTCTCATGATGTTTGGGTGCATCAGAATAACTTAGGATGTTTGTTAAAACTGTTACTGGGTCTTACTCATACAACTTCATAGTCTAGATGGGGCCTGAGAATTTGCATTTCTAGTAAATTTCTAATTGATGCTGATGCTGGTGGGTTATGGAACACACTTTGAGAACCATTCTTCTATATCAAACCTCTGTTCTGTTTTGAATACACTATAAGCTTTATAAACGAGAAAACAAGTATATTAAATTATACCCAAAGAAAGACAATTTGTTTTTCTTAGGCATTTCATATAGTCAGTTCAGTCTGATTAGAGTATAATTGATAATAATTAAACAGGATTAGATAGTTATATCTGACAGACTTCACTTAAGAATCTTTGGCAGGCAGACATCTTTTTCTTAAACATTTCTGGAAGAAAAACTGGTTTTTAAAACAGTGTTACAAAGCCAACAGAAGTCCTGTATAAACTAAGTTAAATATTTTAATCTGGCTGTAAATTTTAGTCTCTTGACATTTACCAGTATTTGCTTTGTAGAATTTTAAGATATACACCTTAAATGTGTGGCTCTACATGATAAGACCTGTTTCATTATGGTTTTATGCTATAATAGCTATCCTGACTAGATATGTTTTCATAATTAATTAAACGTGATGGTACTATTTTGAACATTTAAACAAATCTTTGTGTTCTTATTACGGGATTTCGAGACCATGTTGCCCAGGCTGGTCTCGAACTGCTGACCTCAAGTGATCCACCCATCTCAGCCTCGTAAATTGCTGGGAGTACAGGCGTGAGCCACCATACTTGGCCTGATTTTTCTTTAAAATATAGAAGACCGACAGTTCCCAGAATGTAAACTTAACTTTATTCATTTATTTATTTATTTTGAGACAGTCTCATTCTGTTGCCCATTCTGAAGTGCAGTGGTGCGATCTCAGCTCACTGTAACCTCCGTCTCCCGGTCTCAAGCGATTCTCCTGCCTCAGCCTCCCAAGTAGCTGGGATTACAGGTGTGTGCCACCATGCCCGGCTAATTTTTTGTATTTTTAGTAGTGACCGAGGTTTCACCATGTTGACCAGGCTGGTCTCAAACTCCTGACCTCTAATGATCTGCCTGCCTTGGCCTCCCAAAGTGCTGCAATTACTTGCATGAGCCACTGTGCCCAGCCAAACTGAATTTTAGATTGAGAGAGGTGTGAGGAACAAAATCTTAGGCATCTCTCTCCAATGTTTTGTATATCTAATTTATCTAAAAATTGCCGACATATACAGTATTATATCATTTTAGGTTATTAAAAAGATGTGATTTTATTTTAAATACCAGAGTCAGTATAATTATAGAAAGATTTTATTTCCCCCTTTGTAACTTGCATCTGTGGTCATACACATAAGACTTTGTGGAGTAAAGTCAGACTTATTTATTATGGAAGTTGGCTGCCAAATTTAGAATATGGTGTTCATAGAAAGTATGATCACTATGGGAATTTAAATTTTGTTTTTGTTATATATGTATATTTTTAGTATAAGAATATAAAACTAAGCTATGAATTGAGATTTTGAAAAGATTTTCATCTGATATGATGGCTCACACCTGTAATTCCAGCACTTTGGGAAGCTGAGGCAGGAGGATCGCTTGGAGCCAGGAGTTTGATACCAGCCTGGACAACAAAGTGAGACCCCACCTGTACAAAAAATAAAAATAAAAATAGTTAGGCACTGTGGCATGCAGCTATAGTCCCAGCACCTCAAGAGGCTGAGGTGGGAGGATCACAAGCCCAGGCATTCAAGGCTACAGTGAGCTGTGATCATGCCACTGTACTGTATGTAGCCTGAGTGACAAAGTATCTAAAAAAAGTCTTGATTTTTTTTCAAATTAAAAACTTACTGTGGTTGCTAAATTAGATGTGTTTTCTCAGCAGTTTCCTGTTAGATGGCTGTTTGCAGAAAAAGATTTAGAAAGTTATAATGTAGTAAACATAGATTTTTATGTAAGGGAGAAAGTATTAAATATTAGGTTGATTCCTGCCATAGAAAAGCAAAATAAGAAAACAAAAAACAAAATAAATAAATAAAAATCAGGTTGAATAATGATACTTGCTAGGTTCTGCCTGACTAGAACATGTGTTACTTTGTCGCTGATGGAGTTCTGTTCTGTTCTGTTTTGTTTTGGGGCCATGCATACCAAAGGTGTATGTAATTCAGAAGAATTTTTTTAGTCAAATTTAAACATAAATTATTGTTTATTGTAAATACCCATGATAATGAAACAGTGAAAAGCAACCTTAAAGATCAGCCTAACCTCCTTATTCAACAGTTGAATCTGTGTCCAGAGAAAACAAGGGAGTTGCCTGTTGCACCATAACTAGAAATTAGTAGAGCTGAAGAATTTAAACTCTTATATCCATAATGCTATGCTTCCATAAAAGTAAATAAATGTCAAAATTCTTTCACTTGTGTTTCTTTCTAAGTGTGATAACAGTTTAATATTTTTACATATTAAAAGTGTTTTTTGACATTTTATAGGAGAACTATGGATTTGATAAAATTGAGGTGCGAGATAACGGGGAGGGTATCAAGGCTGTTGATGCACCTGTAATGGCAATGAAGTACTACACCTCAAAAATAAATAGTCATGAAGATCTTGAAAATTTGACAACTTACGGTTTTCGTGGAGAAGCCTTGGGGTCAATTTGTTGTATAGCTGAGGTAAGGTAATTATATTGGTTATTTTAGTGATTTCATATTCACTGAACATTACAGTTAAAACTAACCCAGTATTTGGTGAAGTATGGTTTTAATTATTTTTATTATGGTAAAATATACATAACATAAGCCGGGCGAGGTGGCTCACGCCTGTAATCCCAGCACTTTGGGAGGCTGAGGCAGGTGGATCACCTGAGGTCAGGAGTTCGAGACTAGCCTGGCCAACATGGTGAAACCCCGTCTCTACTAAAAATACAAAATTAGCTGGGTATGGTGCCTCACGTCTGTAGTCCCAGCTACTTGAGAGGCTGAGGCAGGAGAATTGCTTGAACCCGGGAAACAGAGGCTGCAGTGACCCGAGATCATGCCACTGCACTCCCACCTAGGCAAGATAGAGTGAGATTCTGTCTCAAAAAAATATATATATACATAACATAAAATGTATCATTTTAATTATTTTTAAATGTACAATTCAGTGGCAGTGGCATTAGCTACAGTCACATTGTCGTGTATCTATAACCATTATTCATCTCCGCAACCTTTTCATTATTTCAAACTCTGTACCCATTAAACAATAATGCCTTTTCCCCCCATCCCCTAGTACTCACTGTTCTACTTTCTGTCTCTATGAATTAGACTATTCTAGGTATCACATATAAGTGGACTCATAAAATATTTGTTCTTTTGTATCTGGCCTATTTCTCTTATAATGTCTTCAGGGTTCATCCATGTTGTAACATGCATCAGAATTTCCTTCCTTTTTAAGGCTGAATAATATTCCATCATGTGTATATACCACATTTTGTTTATCTGTTCATTTTCATCGGTGGACACCTGGGTTACTTTCACCCACCTTTGGGCTATTGTGAATAATGTTTCTGTGAACATTGGTGTACAAATACCTGTTTGAGTCCCTGCTTTTACTTCTTTGGGGTATATATCCAGAAGTAGACTTGCTATGTCATATCATAATTCTGTGTCTAATTTTTTGAGGAGCAGCAAAGTGTGTTTTGCATTTAAAAATTGTATTAAGAAAATTAAGCAGATATTTAACTATAGCACTTCTCAGAGCCTTTACTATATTCAAGCACATTGTAAATCTCTAAGGTTGGTGGTTTATATACGCACTTTTTCCTATACCTACTTGACCATGAAATTCTTTTATTGAGAAAGCATATCATTTTTGTTTGTTTGTTTGCTTGTTCTGTGGACTACACTTTAGAAATACCACTCTAACCGGTACAGTTAGTGAGATTACGCTCTAGAGATGTGAATTGACTTGGTCTAAACCTTAACTAGTTAAGGGCAGATTGGATTTAAGAACTTTACTCTTCTGACTGTGAGTTAGGTGCTCAGTGTCTATGAACTCCTGAGTTCAGTGCTTGGCACATTCACTTGCATAGTACCAATTATACTACGCTGCCTCTGCCCCAGATCTTATAACTAGTTTGTAGCAAAGCCCGTCTAGAACCTTGATCTCTTCATTTCTGTTATCTCAGTTGTGTTTGATCACGTGACTCTGTACTACTTTTTTTGTACTATACTATTACCCTGTGGATGTTGGGCTCTTATTGTGTGACAGTATCTATGTGCCAGGTGACAGGGTGATTGTGAGGGTCTCTTGAGTTATTGAAATTTGCCCAGTAGCCATGTAATCCTTCATTTGTGCTTAGGCTGGCAGACCCTATTTAGGCAAGAATGTTCCAGTACAGTAAAATGATAGGACTTCATACTTGTTGTTCTGGAAAAGTGGCACAGAAATGAGATACTGTTGCTGTCTCCCCTTCTGGTCTTTGGACATCTGTTTAGTAGTCCAGTCTTGCCAAGAATAATGATATATTCTCTAGGTTCATTGTGGTCTTCCCTCAGCCCTTCTGTTTTTGAAGTGCTGGCATAGGATAGTGTAGGTTTTCTCCATTTTTTGTGGCTAGGATTCCAGCTCAGTACAGATACTCCTTGACTTATGAGGGGATTACATTCCTGATTAAACCTTTGTAAGTTGAAAATATTGTAAATCGAAAATGCATTTAATATGCTTAACTTGCTGAGCATTACAGCTTAGCCTAACCTACTTTAAACATGCTCAGAACACTTACATTGGTCTACAGTTGGGCAAAATTATCTGGCAACATAGTACACTGGAGAGGATCTGTTGTTTATCCTCATCGTCACATGGCTGACTGGGAGCTGTGGGTCACTGCCTCAGCATTGCTAGCTTATCCACTGCTTTCTACTGAATGCATATCACTTCCGCGCCACTGTAAAGTCGAAAAATCCTAAGTAGCACCGTTGTTAAATTGGTGACCCTCTGGGTTCAGTTTTTTACTTTTGGGCTTTTCTGGCTGTGTAACATGTCTTAAGTAGGCCAGAGAAATTGCAAAGGAGATGAAGTTTAAGTGGGAGATTTTGCTGTTGGAGCATAGAGGACTAGGGGGCCTTGCTTATTAGAATCCAGATGTTTAGAGATCATTAAAGGGAAATTGTCATGTGTACTCTTAAAACCGCTGTCCAAAATCTAGCACACTGTGTACTTCTCTATTTTCCTCAGCACTCGCTTTATTTGGAGTTCACAGAGCCTTCAAATAGATTTTGGGGAAGAGGGACTAGAGGGTTCAATTGGGCATTGTCCGTTTTTCTCCTCAAGACTATAAATGGGAATCCACAACCCTGGATCTTGTACAAAGAGTTTGTCTTTAAAATTGCACGAGGTTTGCATCAGGGAACCTCTGAATCTGCCAGTACTATTTAGCTGTCAGTGACTACTCTAGAAGTCATTTTTTTTTTTCTGTTTTAGAGCATAAGTATTTGATTTTTTTTTTTTTTTTTTTTTAGCTGTTGTTCAAACTTGACAGATAGGCTTTAAGCTTTATTTGGTAGATTATCAAAAAGATAATTTGGCATTTCTGTATTTTCTGCAAGATATATATGTAACCCTTCAGAGCTGAAATTAGTCATAATTAGCTTTGCCTACTAGGTGGCAGCACTATACTTGGTTTTTAGAAATAGGTTTCACATGAGCTGTATGATTTATTCAAATCTTCACTGTAGTTCTGAGTTTAGATGGCAGTTTTGTAAGTCTTTCTCCATTGGTCACTTTCTATCTTGTTTCCTTATTTGATTACTTAAACCCACTTGATAGGCAAGTTTATCATTTTGTCTTTGTTTTATTTTGAGGCACTCAAGTGGCCTTGAGTATAAATAAAATAATTTTGCTCATCAGAATTACAAAAGAATTGTCAAAGTATCACAATAGTGGAAAACTATAAAGTTTTTAAAAAAATGTTTGCAATGCCAAGCATTTATCTTAGAAAATATTAACAGTATTTTATGGAGTTTCCTTTCTTACAAGTCTTTGGGAAAACCACATATAGATGTGTGTGTGTATGCATGCACACACACACCTACACTAACAACACAATGAATTTTTACATATGTATACTCCTGATCAAGATTTAGACCATTATCAGAACCCCAGAAGGTTCCCTCATACCCACTCCCAGTCAGTACTTCTCAAAGGTAACTGCTATTCAGACCTCTGTCAACACAGATTAGTTCTTTATGTTCTTGAACTTGATATAAATGAAATCATATGGTATGTATTATTTTGGCACAGAGTTTTTGATGATGATTTAGGTTTGATTGTACCTGAAAACTAAAGGAAATACAGAGCTAGCTGGAAGGAACTTTTATAGTAGTAGGGGACCCTAGTACACCATCTAGATCCCCCACTTCAGGACTGAGCAGTCAGCCCCCAGCTGCCAAGAGTGTTGGTGACTCACCCCTGAGTCTCCATCTGGAGCTTGCCCTTACCGCAGCTGAAGACAGCTGCCTTACCCAAGTCATGCAGGGCAACCTGCATCCAATGAATCCAGTGACTGGTTGAGGTGTTATAAACGTCCCAGTTCAGGACAACATTGCCCTATGCCCACTGGTGATCATCCCAAAGAACCCCCCAATAAACTGACTGCTCACTAATCTCCATCTCAGAATGAGCTTCATGGATTAGCCAGCCTACAATGTAGGTCTTCTGTGCTTCAGTTTCTTCATAGTACTGATGAGGAAACTGAGGTCTTTTGAAGCCAAATGCCAAGTCTTCTTACCCAACTTCAAAACACTGTCTCTAATAACTCAAGTAATGTTCATTGTCTACGCATGCAGGGTGCTGCACTAGGTAGTTGATTTCAGAGGAATTGTACACAGTGAAATATGAAATTTGTAACCTATTCAGGTATACATAGTGTGTTCAAGGCAAAGCCCAGAATTCAGTCCTAATTTCATGCCTTTCAGTAATGTATTTTCCGTGGTAGGTTATATTACCTCTTTACTAGCATGATTAGAAATGTATTTATAAAGTTTAAAAATACTTCCATATTAAATATTAAATTATTTACAAATATACCCAGGCCTGCAGTGCTAAGTTCAATAGATAAGTTGTTAGGAGTAGGTGAGTTGAAACTTATATGTGAGGACTGTGAATAGTATTTGAGAAAAACAGGAAGTAATGTATGTTTGTTGAAGTCAGTTACATTTAAAAATAAATATTTTTAAATAAGACTTAATGGGTGCATTTTGGGGGAAAGGAGTTCACTTTTTAATCTTAAGGAATATTCCTTAGCACTCAGAAAGAATTGAGGTTTCATATATAGAAAAAATATATTTTCAAGACTAGCTTATTTTGAAACTTTTTAGATGAAAATTACAGTGAATGCAATAAAAATTAGTAATTTGGTTATTTTATCTACCAAACTAACTGATGCATATAATTTTAAAGTCATAGAGTTGTAAACCATCCTAGGCTCAGTGGATCGATATGTAATTGGGCACACTATTAAACAGCCATCACCTATAACTCTAGTTGTTGACATTATTTTCTGTTTATTTAAAAAATGTTATTAAGAAGAAAAATTAAGTTAGACTTTCAGCAAAATTGGCTGGAGAAATCTAAAATACATCTAATTCTTTGTTCTTTATTTATATACTTGAATGGTCAGTTTTCCTAATTTGTCAATTATAAAATAACTTCCAACCTTAAACAGTCCAAAGAAGTAAAGCATTATTTTTGTTTTGTTTTGTTTTATAATTTTTATAATTTTTTGTAGAGATAGGGTCTCACTCTCTTGTTCAGGCTGGGCTCAAAATCCTGGCCTCAAGCAATCTTCCTGCTTCAGCCACCCGAATTGCTGGCAGGCAGGAGCCACTGTGCCCTGCAGGCATTCTTTTTATATCTGCAGAGTAAACTATTGGTATTTTAAAATGGAATTATTGCTTTCATGATCTGTGATGAGTATATCAGCAACTGACACAAATTTACTCGTAATGGTTTTCTTTAAAATCATAACAGCAAGCATAACTTCTTGAAATTTATTGTTTGTAGAGCAATAATTTTGAGAAATTTGTCATCTTCAATGTTTAATTACTAGTACTAATTACTAAGCACAGTGACTGGGTTGAAATAGAGAGAGTGAAAATCCTGTCTTGACCGTCTCATAAAAATTTTTATAAAGATTGTGTATATTATTCCTATCACATAATAAAAAACACAAAATATTTTTCTTTTTAGGTTGATATTTTATATGTGTTATCAAAGAAATGTTTAAGAAACTAACAACATTTTTGAACTGGATTTTACATGGAGGCTGGTTTTAGAAATACAGAACAGTTTATTTTATTTTATTTTTTTTCTTAAAGAACAAATTCTGAAGTAGGAGTCAGAAGCCTAATTCTAAATCCTGAGTGTTTGAATAAGAGACCTGGCCAAAGGCCAAAGTCAGATTAAGTTTTCTGAGAATTTTTTTTTTTTCATTTATCAAGTGAGGGTCAAATACAATAATACATCTTACAGTGTCTTGAATATTGTGTACATACAGATGCAAGTTATTTCTACTTTGGACTTGTATGTGAAAAGTAGTATGCATCTGGATAAGATCATTAGACTTGCTTATTCCCCTCTGCAAATAGTATTTCACCTCCGCATTCTATGTATGCTATTCCACATTTTGGGGAAATCCTTTCTAAAATGTAATAGCCATTCATAGGTAAATTCCTTCTAATTCTCACCAAATGTCTTCATCCCGTAGTGTTAGTTCATTTTTTTCTCTCGTTTTTCCCTCAGAAGAATAAATGTCATCCTCTGCATAACATTTACATTTATTGATTCATTCATCCACCATTTAAATGGTTACAGTGTACTGAATATTATTCTCACCTTATCAAGCTCATTATGCAGTTGACCCTTGAACATCACCCAGTTGACCCCACCACTTCGCTATGCAGTCAAAAATTCACATGTAACTTTTGACTCCTTTAAAACTTAACTACTGTTGACCGGCCTCCTGTTGACCGGAAGATAACATATTTTGTATGTTGCATGTATTATATACTGTATTCTTATAATAAACTAGTGAAAAGAATGTTATTAAGAAAATTATAAGAGAAAATAAATATGTTTGCTATTCATTAAGTGGAAGCTGTTCATTAAGTGTTCATGTTGAGTAGGCTAAGGAAAGGGTAGAAGAGAAGAGATTGGTCTTGCTGTCTCTGGTGGCAGAAAATCTGTGTGTTAAGTGGACCTGCACAGTTCAGACTTGTGTTGTGGAAGGGTCAACTGTACATAATTTTGTGATGAGATAATATAGGATCTGTAGGTTTGTTTTTGTATCACCTCACATTAAGCCTCCAGGGCTTAGAGGAGCAGAATGAGAAGCTGAGTCATTTTGTTTTGAAGATGGAAGTTGGGACTCACTTATTTGTGGGCCCACATACTATAAAAGGGTCAGGGGAAGCCCCTAATGTCATTATGATGGTTCTAAACCAAGGACTTCTGACTCCTTTTCCACAGTGTAGGGTTGTCTCGTATATTTTTTATAGCTGTGATGGAGGAGCTTTAGTCAAAATACGTCTGGGAAGTTTTGAAGCAGTTGGAATATTTTACTTCCTAAATGCAGCTTCATCACAGGTGATGGAACTCTATTGAAAGGAGAAAAGCCAGGGCCAAGATCTCCCTGTTGCTAGGCTCCCCATAGTGGGTATCTGGGAACAAGTCCTGCAGTCAGAGTACTTTAATTAGTGCACAATACTTGCACAGGCAGGCAGGCATACTCACATGCAGAAAAGAAAACATTTCAGCCATTCAGGCAAAAGTCTGTATTTCACCTGAATCGTAAAGACTGTGCGTTTTCAACTCGTTTTTGTGTCAGTTTTCATCTAAAACTTAGCCCCCCCAAAAACTCAAAAGGCTTTATCATAATTACCTTAAATGAATTTTTGTCAAGAGGATTTTTACCTGAATTATCAGGATATATTCTAAGTTTTTTCTTTACTTTTTATCTAAACATTGAAGAAAAACTATGTTTATCTGAAGTTTAAATGCTTTTATGTAATTTTAATTTTGTAATGATACTGCGATTTCTTGAAACTCAGTAAACTGGACCAGAGAGTCAGTTTTTAATAACTGATAACTAATATAGCCTCCAAGGTCCTCTAAGGACTTGTAAAACTTTTCCTTTTAAAATACTGGTTTTCTTTATTTCTTCTCTTGACACCACTAGGTTCACTCTCTGCCACCATTCCTCAATGTCTCTAGTAAGAATCACCAGTAATAGTGTGTACTGTTAGAGATGCTCCTGATGGTGGAGTTACTGCAGGCTCAAATGCTAGCTCCTGCACAGCTAATGAATTCTGAACCTGTGCCCGGTCCAAAAAAAAGTTTCCTGCTCCAGACACAGGGTCATATGATGAAACAAACTCTCGAAATACAATTCCCTTTCCTTCCTCTGTGGAACACACTGTATTTCATAAATTTATGAAGTACACTTATGTGTTTGCTTTATGCTTTACTGTCTTTAGCCATGAATTGCAAAGCATTTCATATCTAAATACGTTTTCGTAGTATTCTACAAATTGTAATTTTACAAAATTTTAATGTTGGAAAATAGAGGGTTTTTTTTTACTTTAACATAAATGTTACATTATGAGCACTAAGGTCTTATTTTGCTTTTTAGCACTTCAGTTTCTTCGTCTAGACTGGAGTATATATGTTTAAAGGATGAGCAAATTAATATCTTGTAAGATAAAGTGGTTAAAACAAAATCCCATGTAACCTTATAAAGTATTAGCATCATCTTCATCTTATCATCACCCTTCCCTTAAAGATGATCTGTGTAATCATTTATTCAGGACCATCTAGAAGCCACTGGCAGGGTTAGTCCTGGAACTCAGAGTTCCAGGGCCGCCTTTGCTCAGTGACACCAACTTTAGGTCAGGTGGCTAGTTCTTTGGAGTAGAGAAATAGAATTCAGTTGACCTTAGCATTTTGGAAAATCAGTTGGTTAAATGTAGAATTGTCTTCAAAGGGATAATTATGGAATAATGAGCCACAGAAAAGAAAATCTCTAGCACTTTCTGTCCTCTAAATTACACCATTTTTGAACCATGGAATGTATTTTGGAAGAGGTAGATCCCTTAAGAGTACTCAGAAACTCCCAACTTTGTTTTAGGTTCTGCTTTTTTGGGGGATAGTATCACAGTAATAGCTTGACATAGCGCCCCTAGTAAGAGTTTCATAGACTTCATTTTCAGAGAGAATCTAACGTCCTCTGCTGGTACTGTGAGCTGGAGAAGCCGTTTCTTTTTGTTGCTCTGATATTCCCTGCATGCTACCAACATGTTCCACAGAGCTGTAGGCCCTACAGTAAATCTGCTTGGTTAGGGCAGGGTGACAGAACCTTCAAATATAGACCCACTTGGATTCAGATGAGTTCCAACAGTGGGGTTGGATTCTTATGGTGTCTAAATTATATAGATTTACTTTAGAATATTCAGCTCTTCGTATAAAGATGGCCAAGAAAGATTACTCCCAATTTTGGGTCATCATTGGCTCACCAGACATGTGAGGAGGCTACCTTCTTCCCAATGCTTTCCTTGCCAGCATCCCCACTCCCCACTTTTTTTTTGTTTTTTTTCTGACAATGGCATATTTTACTATTGTACTTTCATACCTACCTCATGGGGTAAGTAAATAGAAAGCTGAGGATGAAGCTAGCTCAAAAGAGGGCAGACACTTCAAAATTTGTGTTTCTATGACTAACATCTGAGGAAATATTTTCATGCTGAATGAAATGTCTTCTTCACTTATGCTTACATGTTTTAAATTTTTTTAATTAATAAAAAATTTAGCCTTAATGAGTTTAAAGCTCAGTTTTAAGAAAAAAATCTGTAAATATATATATAATTTAATTTTTTTTGGACCATAATCTTGAAATACAGAAGTGCAGTTTTACACATAATAAAGAAGGGGGAGGGAATGATCACTTTACCAAAGAACTATTCATTTACCAACAAATTTATGGAAATAGTCTGTTAAAAAGCAAGTTCCCTTAATACAGTTGAAGTACTTGCTTTTACAGACATAAGTCATATAATGCATATAATACAAATGGCATTTCAGGTATACTTGTTTGTGTACGAGTGTTTTAATAAAGTGAAATACTCAAAACAGTAATTTGCAACATAAAAAAAATACAAGCTGGCCTGTTGCTTATTTGTGTAACTCTAAGGAATATTACAAAAGAACTGGTCACAAATGTTTATTAGGTAAAATACGCTATTGAGTAAATATATTATGCAATAATCATTTCAAATCTTTGATAATGAACCCATCGCAATATCTAAAGTGTTAGTTTTATTAGATGTTTTTTTCCCCCAGGTTTTAATTACAACAAGAACGGCTGCTGATAATTTTAGCACCCAGTATGTTTTAGATGGCAGTGGCCACATACTTTCTCAGAAACCTTCACATCTTGGTCAAGGTAAGAAAGTAGCTTTGTATACAAACATTCTTTACCTTTTCTGTCTTAATTGTTGGTTTAAAAAAAAAAAGTTACTCGGTGAATACAAATATATTGCTTTGGGCTTGGTCCTGATAAAGGCTAGTTAACTTCCAAGTAAACATTCAGCCTTTATTCTAGCCACCAATTTCTTAAATATTTAGAATTGTTCTCAAAAGGAACTGTATGAGAGACTGGACACTTCCATGGACTAGTTACTCCTCTGTAAAAACTAAGAGTATTTATTTTACCAGTGCTGGATTACCAGTGTCATCTTCATATATGAAGAAGATTAAAATTTTATTGAAACATATAAAACATAATTGATTTGGTAATAGTGGAAATAAACGATACCATCAAGATATGATTAAATAATTTAAAATCTATTTGTTAATTGATGGAAAACTTCAAACATGCATAAGAAGTTACTGTACTTATCACTCAGTTTCAATAATTTATCAATTCATTGCTAAAGTTCTTTCATGTAATACCCTCGCCCATTTCTTCCCTTTCTATATTACTTTGAAGCAAATACGTATTGTTTCTACTTGTAATGTAGTTAGTGTTTTATATACTTTTATGTAATATTATTACATTTTAATTGATATCTTATGTTTTTTATTTTATTTTATTTTATTTTCCTGAGACAGGGTCTCACTCTGTCACACAGGCTGGACTGCAGTGGCATCATCTTGGTTCACTGCAACCTCTGCCTCCCAGGCTCAAGTGATCCTCCCACCTCAGCCTCCTCAGTAGCTGGGACTACAGGTGCATACCACCACACCCGGCTAATTTTTGTATTTTTAGTAGAGACAGGGTTTTGCTGTGTTGCCCAGCTGGCCTCGAACTCCTGAGCCCAAGCGATACACCTGCCTTGGCCTCCCAGAGTGCTGAGATTACAGATGTGAGCCACTGTGTTCAGCTGATAAGTGTTTAAATTTCTCTAAAAACTATTTACTTATAAAGGTAAAAAAGATCTCTTTAGGCTTCAGTTTCACATATCTCCTTTAATCTTTTTTTAATAATTTCTAGTGATGGGATGATTAAGAGACTATTAAAGCTATTACCTCTTTAGAGTCATGTTCAAAATAATTATTAGATCTGAAAAGGGACTTGTGGGTTTTGTTGTTGTTGTTTATCCTTCTGCTTCTCCAATTTGTGTTGTAAATTCATGTTTAATTTTGTGTTCCCTCATTGCAGTTTATCAAAGTACATTCTGTATATTTTCTGTGGTTTTTTTCCTTCAGTTTTAATATTAAATTATTGGATTCTTTTTTTCAAATGACTTCTGTCTTCATTTCATGTATAAAATATAAATTTCTTATATTTTAATACTGGTACCAAATTCTCTCACTCATTCACTTATTTTGTAAATCCTTAGCTTAATTACTGATTACTTTTGCCCATTAGGAATTGATATTTTTGTTCCACATAAAGGAGAGAGTTAATAGAAACTCCTAAGACAATGCACATTTTTTCCTCATTTATTCAGTTAATGAAAATGAGCTCAAGTCTAACAGCTATTTTATTTGATGTAGAATGATACAAATATTATATATGTTTTAATTAAAAATAATAGATTATAATTCTTTTACTGTATATCAAAGGTTAGGACAGACAGAAGGCATTTTTAAAATATGGCTCCTCTCTAGAAATACTCTGACCCCAGTTCTTACGAGTTCAAATTAGGACACCATTAGGAGATATTTGAGTGGCTATCCAGTAGAGTACTTTGAAGTAATCTAGTCGCCTTATAAAACTTAAAGGAATTTATTTTTGTCTTAGTAGTGACCAGTCTAATCTGGATGGCCAATGGCTTTGCATCACTCATACTTCTCATGCTTTTCTTTATTCATCTCCATGGGAACTATGAAATAACAATCCTTAGATATGGAATCCATCTGATCTTTGCCCTTTTGCTGTTGATTTTCCTTTTCCTGCTGACCTCAGTCTTATACCTTAAGTAAGTGAGACCAGGTATGCATATTAAGGAATTTCTGTAGTCAACAAATGAACTTTACTTTCTTTAGTATATTTCTTTTATCTCAAGAAACAAGAATAAATACTTAGAAGATCAGTAGTTGCAAAACTACTAATTGCTTTTCATAACTCAGTTTTTTCACCTAATTATAGTTGATTGGTTAGGAAAACAGCAGAAAGTTAAAGTCTTAATTTTAAGTTGTTCTTGGTGGACATATTATATATATCTACAAACACTTTCAAAAGCCTTTTATGTTTATATTGCCTTAGTGCTGATAGGTTTTGAGTGATTGAATCACATACTCATATTTCACCAGCTGTCATTTAGCTTCCATTTAAATATTTTCTGCGTAAGATAAAATTACAGTTCAACCATCCTAATTTATACCTGTACATGTAGGGTTCTTGGACTAATTTCTGCTGTGAGGTGAACATCCCTGCTTAGCATTTACTCTTCATGTCATCTGATATAATGATACCTGTGGGTGGCATAATTGTAGGTACGGGAACAACTTACAACATAATTTTATTTAGGCATTGGAAAATTTGTTACCCCTTTAAAAAACGTAATTTATTATTATTATTCTTATTTTGAGACAGAGTCTTACTCTGTCGCCCAGGCTGGAGTGCAGTGGCGTGATCTCAGCTCAGTGCAGCCTCCACCTCCCAGGTTCAAACAGTTCTTGTGCCTTGGCCTCCCAAGTAGCTGGGATTGCAGGTGTGTGTCACCACACCTGGCGAATTTTTGTGTTTTTTTTAGTAGAGACAGGGTTTTGCCGTGTTGGCCAGGCTGGTCTCGAACTCCTGACCTCAAGAAATCTGCCCTCCTCAGCCCCGCAAAGTGCTGGGATTATAGGCGTGAGCCACTGTGCCCAGCCTAAAAGACATATTTTACAATGTTTAAAAATAGTTTACTAGAAATTCCAGCTCTGGTTTTTCTAGGTGTATATTTGTTTTATGGATTAATTCAGCCATTTAAAATGATTTATGTGTTTAACAGTATGTCACCCTAAGTTGCCCTTGCCTTCTGTTCACTTCCATTTTAAAGCATTTTTTTAAACTAAAAAGAAAAATAGAAATACATCTCTATCTTTTAAATTATTGTACCAAGAACATGGAGTAAATTAATAGCTTTAGTCCTATCATTTTCTGTCATCACTTCTATTCCCTTTACCCTAGATAATCAGTATTAAGCTTTCCAAATTGATTTACCCTCCTAGTCAGATTCTTTTAAGATCTTCCAGTACTTCTGCCTTAGAAATTTCTCATATATCAAAAGTAGTATTTAAAGGGCTGTGATCATTTTCCTACCCTGTTACTAGAGTTTCAGAACATCATGTTCTTTGTAAATTCCTACGGTGTGTGATTGTGCGTGTATTAAAAGATCTTTTCATCTTAATTTAAGAATGGACCTTTTATTCCTTAAATATTTTAAGAAAACTTTCTGATATATTCAAGCAACCATACCTTTACATTAGGAATATAAATAGCTGCCATTATAATAAATGGCATACCATAGGGTCATGTAAAAATATAACAGGGAGCATA
This sequence comes from Homo sapiens, assembly GCF_000001405.40. NCBI lineage: Eukaryota > Metazoa > Chordata > Mammalia > Primates > Hominidae > Homo > Homo sapiens. The sequence continues at coordinate 189,809,301 of NC_000002.12, forward strand.
TTACAACACTGCAGTTTAATTCTGGTGTTTGTAGGATGTGCTAAAGTTAGAGAGCTGAATGATTTTCTTGTAAAACATGATAGTATAATGGGGCCTCCTCCCTATTATTGGCCAATATTACTTGGTGCTTTTAAGGAAGCACATTTCTTTTTTTTTTTTTTTTTTTTTTTTTTTGCTTTTTGAGACAGGGTTCATTTGGAATCAGAAAAGACTTTTCCATAAGTATGTTTTATTCAAACATATAATTCTTATTAATCTCAATTGGCTGGGCACAGTGGCTCACGCCTGTAATCCCAGCACTTTAGGAGGCCAAGGCAGGCAGATCTTGAGGTCAGGAGTTCAAGACCTGCCTGGCCAACAAGGTGAAACCCTGTCTCTCCTAAAAATACAAAAAATTAGCCAGGCATGGGGGCGGGCACCTGTAATCCCACTGAGGCAGGAGAATTGCATGAACCCAGGAGGCGGAGGTTGCAGTGAGCCGAGATTGTGCCATTGCACTCCAGCCTGGGCAACAAGAGTGAAACTCCATCTCAAAATAATGATAATTCTCATTTTACTTTCAGAGGATATTTTGAGGTGCTGAAGCAATAATTTATCAATATACAGATTAGGTATAATGTGGTCTTAGATACATATATTTAAAAATCAACAGGTATCTCTTTTTACTTTCATATACACATTTATATTTTGCCCTCTTGATTTCTGTCTTCCTTCTGTCTAGAGCTACAGTGCATGCCATTATATTTGTCATCTAGGAACTTACTGACTAGTGGGGAACACAGGTGAGTGAATAATGACAAAATGAAGCCACTGACTGCCTAGAGAGAGGTTAGCAAGTTTTTCAGAAAAGATGACGTTTGAGTTTGAAGATGGTAGGAGTTTGAAGATGATAGATAAGAAGACATGGAGTGTAACCTTTCGGCAAGAGAAAAATGATGGATACAGATTTTCAAGAGACCATTGCTATCTGCGTAGCAATGAGGGGAAAAAACATAATTTTAAAAACTTGTAGTCTTTAAACTCATTGAAGACCTGTGTCACAGAGAAGTTTAAATGAACAAAGCTCAAGAGAAACACTACATCCTCCTAGAAAAGAAGTGCCTGGTGGCCATTTGCATCCCTGGGAGCATTAACTGAGTCATAGGTAGATAAAGGAACAAGTCTTCTACAAATAAGGGAGCTTTTATGGTACAAGGAGAAACCAGCTGAACTTTTATAGCCACTTGTGGGCAGACATGACAGATTAGAATATGGGATCCTCAAACAGAGCTAGTCCAACCCCCACACTGAATCTCAGCAGGACTTTTGTTGAGTAAAAAGTGATTAAGAAAATTGGGACTGAGCTAGAGAAAGAAGGATCTTAAAACCTTGCTAGAGAAAGAGACCTGATTCCATCTTCAAGACATTTGAAACCAAAGACATTTGAACTGGAACTAAAAGGTTCAACTCAGATAAACTCCTAGTTAGATTGAAGAGATATATTCTTCACTCTACTCTTGGCAGGAAACAAAGCACTTTCTCTGGGAGAAAATATTTTCTTCTTTAGTATCCTTTTATATTCAATGTTTAGCAAAAATAAAAATTTTGAGAGACTTGAGGAGAGGAAAATGGGATCCGTAATCAAGAGAAACAATAGTGTAAATAAACTCATCAATAACCCAGATGTTTGAATTAACAGACAAAAAAAAAAAAACTTATGTTAAAGAATTTAGAAGAAAAGATGGTCAAAACTGGTAAGAAGGTAGCAAATTTCAGCAGAGAAATGGAAACTAAAAAACTAAATGAAAATTCTAGAACAAAAAGTACTATGAAGAATTAATTGGTTGGACTTATTGGAGTCAGGTCAGTAAAAATAATATGCAAACAGAAGCACGGAAGTAGAATGAGAAAAGAGCATCAGAGACCTGTGGGGCAACATTAAATGGTCTAACATGCCTGTGACTGGAATCTCAGGAGAGAGAATGGGGCAGAACAAAATCTGAAAAAAAAAAAAAAAAAGTCTGAGGGCTGGGCACGGTGGCTCACACCTGTAATCCTAGCACTTTGGGAGGCCAAGGTGGGCAGATCACTTGAAGTCAGGAGTTTAAGACCAGCCTGGCCAAAATGGTTAAACCCCATCTCTACCAAAAATACAAAAATTACCCAATTTTTTTGTGTTTTGGCGCATGCCTGTAATCCTGGCTACTTAGGTGGCTGAGGCAGGAGAATCTCTTGAACCCAGGAATTAGAGGTTGCAGGGAGCCAAGATTGTGCCATACACTCTAGCCTGGGCAACAGAGTGAGACTCTTGTCTTCAACAACAAAAAAAACTAATAACATAATTAAGATTGAAAAAAGAAAATGTCTGAGAATGTTTCAAGATTTTTGAAAAGATACAAAGCCACATACCAAAGAGTGAACAGAACCAAGTGGAAAAAAAATAAACAGAACCACAGCTAACTACATCATAATTGAATTACCGAAAACCAGTAATGTGTTGGACAGGAGTGTTGTTAAGGCAGTGTATTATACTTTAATTGGAAGTGTTTTTTCTTTTTTAGAGATTCATAAAAGTGTGGCGCTATTTACAGCTTTCATGAAATATTAAAAGCAGCCAGAGGAGAAAATACATTGAATTCAGAGGAACAATAAAAATAATGACAGCTGACTTCCCATTGGAAACATAGAAGTCCAAAGAAAATGGAATGACATCTTTTAAGTTTTTAAATTTAAAATTACAGGCGGGTGCGGTGGCTCACGCCTGTAATCCCAGCACTTTGGGAGACCGAGGCAGGTGGATCATCTGAGGTCAGGAGTTCAAGACCAGCCTGGCCAACATGGCGAAACCCTGTTTCTACTAAAAATACGAAAATTATCTGGGTGTGGTGGTGCATACCTGTAATCCCAGCTACTCGGGAGGGTGAGGCAGGAGAATTGCTTGAACCCAGGAGGCGGAGGTTGCAGTTAGCCGAGATCACGCCACTGTACTCCAGCCTGGGTGACAGAATTAGACTCTCAAATGAAACAAAACAAAAAGACAAACAAAATTTGATTTAGACTTCTATAACCAGTAAAAATGTTTAAAGAATGAGTACAAAGTGAAGGCAATTTCATACAAATAAAACAGAGAATCTCCCACCATGCACTACAAGAAATACTAACAGGGTTTTTAAGCTGAAGGAAAATGATTCTACATGGCAACCTGAATCTGCAAGAAGGAAAGAAAAGCACTAGAAAATGTGTGGAAAAAATGGAAAGACGAGTATTTTAAAAACTTATTTTACAAAAACAAAATCAGTATATTGTGGAGTTTATCACACAGAAAAGTAAAACGCATGACAAAAACTTTACAAAAGGTAAGAGTAAATGAGGTACACTATTACAAAGTTGTTACATTGTGAAATATAATTTATTTCATGGTAATCAAGGTAAACTGATAATTTAAGAATATATGTTATACTCACTGAAAGTAATACAAAGTTATATAGCTAAAAAGCCAATTAAAGCATATAAAATGGAGTACTGAGAATGACATGACAGAATTCAGTGTAAGGATTTTGGAGTAGTAGAAGCAGGAGGTTTAGCTTAGAAAGTGGTAGCGTAGGTGTTAGATTATGAAGGGCCTTTTATATCATACCAGGTAGTTTGTACCTTACCATTATGAGCCACTGGAATTTATTTTAGGCAGACGATTGATATCATGTTATTTACAAAATTAACTAGTAGGATTAATATGTTATTTACAAGATTAACTGGTAATTTCTACTATAAATTTTGTCTTACTGTAAGATACTGTCTTCAACTACTAGGGTTTGAGGGGAGGGAAAGGACTTGACATAAATTGGAGAGACTCCTAGGATAGAATAGATAGACCTATAAGACTTATGCAATATTGCAGTAAGAAGTAGAGGGAAGAATCAATTCTTTCTGTAGTATCTGCCTTTGGAAACCATTGGATGTTGGTGTTATATGAGAAAGGAAGGTTAGGTGTAGTATCAAACCCAAGGAAGAAGATAATGAGTTCCAGCCTGAGTGTGGTCGATTTCATATACCTTGAGGATAGCCAGGTGGAGTTAATGAGTGAGCATCTGTCTATAAAACTTAAAAGAGTAGTGTAGGTCTCAGATATGTGTCTTAGTTAACCAATTCTAAGATGCACATTTTGTCACACTTGACGTCCCTGGAAACAGATTGTGGCTTATAATTAATGGCCTCCCAAAATCCTTTTTGGAAAAGCAGCAGTTTTGGATGTTCTTATTGTTGTATCAATTGAATTTTGTGCAATATTAATAATTCATGTGTTGATTGGAGGAATAAACAACTTCATATTTTATTGCAACAATTGCTTTATGAGAGTTAAAAAGGGAAATAGTCACAACTAAATGAAGCTGCATTAAGTGCCAAAGGATTGCTGTCATATGCAAAGCATTGAAATTGATGGCACCAGAAGAAATTGCCATATTCATGGGAGTAAAGAAATTTCAAAGGAATGAGAGGCTGATGTGTCCATTTCATGTGTTACACGGGACTGTTGTTAAGGCAGTGTATCATAGTTTAATTGGAAGTGTTTTTTTCTTTTTTAGAGATTTATAAAAGTATGGTGCTGCTTACAACTTCCATGAAAAGAATCATTGGCATATAGGTAGTAGTTGAAGACATGGGAATGGAGGAAACATCTAGGGGAACAAAGAATGAAGTGAGGTCTCTGTGAATAGGATCTGGTATAGATTCTGGTGTGTGTGTATTTTCCATTTAGCAGTAGAGGCAGAATGCATACCTGCTCTGACTGCTAAATGCATGCATTTCTTGATCTCCATCAGCTTTTGCTCCAAAATTTGGCAGTGACCTTTTTACTTTCCTAAGCCAAAGAATAGTAGCGCCAAAGAATAGTAGCACCAAAGTGTTACTAGTGAGAACTATGTGTTCTCACCATGTTAGAACATGGTGTTCCAAGGAATTTAATCCTGCCTCTGGAAGTGATGTATGCAGGTAAGCCAAGGAAATGCTCTATATAAAAATAGAGGAAGACCCCCCCCCAAAAAAAAATCATTAGTAATGTTATATGCTAATGAGGCACCAGATCAAGAAAAAAGCAGAAAAACATCAAGTGTGAGCAAAATAGGAATATTGCACTTCCTTTAGTCTTTTTCCACAAAAATCTTTTCCCCCCAATCTTCTTTTATTTTTCTCTTATAGTAAATTTCCTTTCAAAAATTGCAAGTACTATGTGTCTTCCATAAATAAATAATTCAGACAAATACAAACTTTATTACTTTCTCTTATTTTCTTTAAGTATTCATTTAAGACTTTTTTGTTAAATGCCTACAGATTATTCATTGTTGTTTAAGGTGCTAGGGATATAATGGCAAACATGGTAGTTCTTTGCTCTCATACTTGTATTCTAAGAGGCGAGGCAGACAAAAGTTTTTTCAAGTAGTGACATTTTCTAAAAAGAAAGAAAACATAGTTCCACTGTAGAAGCAGCAGCCTTGGATAGGGCATTTAAGGATGGATTTTCAAAACATACGATACTCTGGGCCAGGCGCTGTGGCTGACGCCTGTAATCCCAGCACTTTGGGAGGCCAAGGTGGGCAGATCACGAGGTCAGGAGATCGAGACCATCCTGGCTAACATGGTGAAACCCCGTCTCTACCAAAAAAATACAAAAAATTAGCCAGGCGGGCTGGCAGGTTCCTGTAGTCCCAGCTACTCAGGAATCTGAAGCAGGAGAATGGCATGAACCTAGGAGGCGGAGCTTGCAGTGAGCCGAGATCATGCCACTGCACTCCAGCCTGGGCAACAGAGAGACTCCATCTCAAAAAAAAAAAAAAAAAAGATATGATACTCAAGCTGAGATCTGAAAGAGTTAGCTGTGGAAAGGTTGACAGAAGAACATGTACAAAGGGTCTGAGGTGGAAACAATTCTGATGTCCTCTAGGAACAGAAGGAAGGACATCGGTAGGAGAGAAGATAGCCATGGAACAGGTTGTGTAGGACAGTGTAAGCTTTAATTCCCACCCCTTTTCTCCAGTTAACCAGTGTTACTGATATGGTTTGGCTCTGTGTCCCCACCCAAATCTCATCTCGAATTGTAATCTCCATGTGTTGAGGGAGGGACCCGTAATCCCTATGTGTTTAGAGAAGGTGGTGATTGGCTCATGAGGGCAGTTTCTCCCATGCTGTTCTCATGATAGTGAGTTCTCACGAGATCCAATGGTTTTTATAAGTATTTGACAGTTCCTCCTTCATACACTCACACTCTCTCATGCCGCCTTGTGAAGAAGGTGCCTGCTTCCCCTTCCGCCATGAATGTGAATTTCCTGAGGCCTCCCAGCCATGTGGAACTGTGAGTCAATTAAACCTCCTTTGTTTACAGATTACCTATTCCAGGGTAATATCTTTATAGCAGTGTGAGAAGGAACGGACTAATACAGTTACTGATAACAGTTTGTAACATTGAGTTACAAGCTACTGTTAGGCCTTCTCAGACTTACATTATATCTCATGAATCTTTATTTAAGTTATGTTGCAAAGCCCACCCACATTAGCATCTTCTGTTTACAGTCAAACTTTTAAGATGCTTTGCACACCACATTTATTTTCTCATCTTGTTGTCACAAAATGTCTTTTTTTCCCCCCTTAGAAACAGGGTTTTGTTCTGTCACCCGGGCTTGAGTGCAGTGGCACAGTCATAGCTCACTGCAGCCTTGAACTCCTGGGCTCAAGGGATCCTCTCACAGCCTCCCAAGTAGCTAGGACTATAGGCATATACTACCATGCCAGACTAATTTTTTATTTTTAAAGACAGGGTCTCACTGTGTTGCCCAGTCTGGTCTCTACTTCCTGGGCTCAAGCCATCCTACTGCCTAAGGCTCCCAAGTAGTTGGGATTATAGGTGCAACCACCACACCTGGTGAAATCTCTATTTTGATATTATAGTCATTTGGTTAGAGTTTATCTTCCATTATTTTCATCAAATACATTTGGGTGCTATACTTCTGGATCTTTGCAAGTCCAAAAATGTCTTCATTTTGCCCTATACCTATCTTAACTGGGTGTCAATTTCTTAATTTCTTCTTAATAGTTAGTAAATTGTTTGTCTTCTAGTGTTATAGGTGAGAAATTTGATGTTAGTCTTTTCTTGTAAGAAACTTGTTCTTTCTGTATGACAATGTGTAAAATTCTTTTCTTGTCCTCAAAATTTAGGATTTCCAGTAGAATGTACTTTCTTTTTTCTTCCTAAAATATTTCTCCTTATAATGAAGTAAGCTCTTGAAATCTGCACTTAAGCCTTTAACTCAAAAATTTTCTTCTAGTATTTATTTAATTACATCTCCATTTGTTTCTTTTTCTCCTTTTGGAACTTTAAAACTACCAGTAATTTCTTTTTCTCCTCTTGGAACTTTAAAACTACGTAAAATTTTACACTACAGTTTCAAAGTCTTATACGTTCCTTATGATTGCCATTTTCTTTGTGTTTTTGCTCTGTGTTATAAGCAGTAGGACAAAAATTGACCTATTGCAGCAACTTCAGCCTTTTTGACTGATTCACGGTAATAAATATATTTTACATAGCAACCCAGTTCACACACAGCTAATCAAAACAAAATGTCATGACATAATATTTATCCTAACTATAGGTGATGCACTCTATTTTTCTAGTTTATTCTATCTTTTTATTCTATTTTATTTTTAAAAAAAAAGATGGTAGTTTTTAAATACTAAATCAGTGGTTCTCAACCAAGGCAACTTTGTTTCCCAGGGAACATTTGGCAGTATCTGGAGATATTTGATTGTCACAACTAAGGAGGATGCTACTGGCATCTAGTGGGTAAGAGGCCAGAGATGCTGCTAAACATTCTACAATGCACAGAACAGTCCCCCACAACAAATTACCTGGCCAAATGTCAATGCTGCGAAGGTTGAGAAGCACTACACTATAAATTTATTTCATTACTCCTCAGTGTAATGATTCTCTACTCTGACTGTACATTCATAAGAATCACATGGGGAGATTGATTTCATAACTCAGATTAACTGGTGACTAGTAGTTTTTAAATGTTTCATTCTTCAGTGTTTTAAAAATATGTACCTATGTACCTATCGTATATGGCTATGACAAACATTCAGTCCTAATTTTATGTGGTAGTGGTGTTTTTTTGAGTAAAAGCTAGTGGTTAATCTGATAGTTCAGCAGTATAATTTTTGCACCTTTATTCAGCTTTCCAGTTAAACTATAAGTTAAAAAAATTCTTTTGTTAGGTTATCCTGTGTTTTTGAATGTTGTTGAAAATGAGGTAAATTTAACTAGGTTACCAGATATTATTTCAGGTAAGAATTTCCAGTAACATAAGGTTATTATATAAACTGTAATATTATATCTCCTATAAATTATATTTTAAAGTCCAGAATAAGCACCATTCCCAGGTAGTTTGAGCACAGCAGATTTCTTATGATACTGCGTTCTTGTAAGCCCATGTTTCTACGCAGTGATAGAAGTAAGATTATACTTCTTTAGACCACATAGACGAGGTCATACTTCGTAGGTCAGTCTTGTTACAAATAGAAGAGTCTAGCATGGAATCAGAGTAGTTTGCAAAGTTGAGCCTTTGGGTTTCTAGAATTGGAGGAGGAGACCTTCAGTTATAGAAGGGGTTAATTACAAATTGTATACGGATTTGAAGATCTGTGACGTTCCTTCCAAATCTAAATGTGCTTTTCTCTTGTCTGCCAACAGGTACAACTGTAACTGCTTTAAGATTATTTAAGAATCTACCTGTAAGAAAGCAGTTTTACTCAACTGCAAAAAAATGTAAAGATGAAATAAAAAAGATCCAAGATCTCCTCATGAGCTTTGGTATCCTTAAACCTGACTTAAGGATTGTCTTTGTACATAACAAGGTAAACATTATTTTATCTTTATAAGTTTCTGGGTATATGATATAATAAACAATGTATACTTTATAAATCAGTTAGATATGGGCTATGACTAAATGTTTGTGTGCCCTCACAAAATTTATTTGTTGAAAACCTAACCACCATGTGATGTTATTAGGGCATGGGGCCTTTGAGGAGTGAAATTCATGCTCTTAAAATAAAGGAGACCTCAGAGGGCTGCCTTCCTTCTTCTGCCATGTGAGGAGGCCACTACATAGTCAGAGGCACCACCTATGAACCAGAAAGTGGGACCTCACTAGATACCAAGTCATCTGGTACCTTGATCTTGGACTTACTCAGCCTCCAAAATTGTGAAAAATAAATTTCTATTGTTTATAAGCCACCTAGTTTATGGTATTTTGCTATAGCAGCCCAAAGACAACATGTAAAGAGTCTTTTTTTCAAAATGTTAGTCCACATTTATCTAGTTTTATCTTTATTACATAAAGAGTGTCTTTAATTTGTTGCCTAATATCTATATGATCTGATTGAACTTTTCATTTCTTAATCTCTGAAATCAGGGATTCCCCCAGCAGACGTTTTTCATCTAAGAAATGGCTTGAGTGCTTCCTTTTATCGGGTGCTGTGATAGATTCTCAAAATATGAAAATGAGTAAGACTGGTTCTTTTCCTTTAAAGACTTCACAATTTAGTGACATTTTTCACCCTCTACACTGTTGATTCTTTGGAAGAGTGTGTGTGTCAGGAGGATACAAGTGTAATTTTGTTACATGGATATGTTGTGTAGTGGCGAAGTCAGAGCTTTTAGTATATCCATCACCAGAATAACATACCTTTTACCTTTTAAATAATTTGTCATCATCCACCCTCCTCCCTCTCTACCTTTGTGAGTCTCCATTGTCTATCATTCCACACTCTATGTCCATACATGTGGTTTAGCTTCCACTTATAAGTGAAAACATGCAGTATTTGTCTTTTTCTGAGTTTCACTTAAGATAATGACTTCCATTTCCATCCTTGTTGCTGCAAAAGATGTGATTTCATTCTTTTTTATGGTTGAATAGTATTCCACTGTGTATACATACACATTTTCTTTATCCATTTATATGTTGATGGCACTTAAGTTGATTCTGTATCTTTACTATTGTGAATAATGCTGTGATAAACATATGAGCACAGGCGTCCTTCTGGTATAATGATTTCCTTTGGGTAGATACCCAGTAGGGAGATTACTTGGTCAAATAGTAGCTCTATTTTTAGTTTTTTTAGAACTAAAAATACTGTTTTCCATAGAGGTTATACTAATTTACATTCCCATCAGCAGTGAGTAAATGTTCCCTTTTCTCTGCATCCTCACCAACATCTGTTATTTTTCATCCTTTTAATCATAGCCATTCTGACTAAGGCAAGATGATATCTCATTGTGGTTTAATTTGCATTTTTCTAGTGATTAGTAATGTTGAGCATTTTTTCATATGCTTGCTGGCCTTTTGTCTTCTTTTGAGGAATGTCAATTCATGTCCTTTGCCCACTTTTTAATGGGATTATTTGTTTTTGTTTTTTGAGCTTCTTATACCTTCTGGATGTTATCTCTGTTGGATGCAGAGTTTGCAAATATTTTCTCCTATTCTGCAGGCTGTCTGTTCACTCTGTTGATTGTTTCTTTTGCTGTGCAGAAGCTTTTGAGTTTAAGGAAAACTCCAGCTTTCTTTCCATTTTTCAAAGCGCCGATAAGAGAAGGTAGTCATCTTGTTGCTTGGTGAATCTTAAAGGAAAGAAAGGTTTATATATTTTCTAATTATTCTGTTTATCTAATGAAATTTCACATGGGTATCCTGCAGGAAAGCAAACTACACAGCAATGTGGAAACCTGATGGGAAATAGGGAATTAACATCTATTGAGGGCCTACACAATGCCAGGACCTGTGCTAGGTGTATTAGTTTTCTGTAATCCTCACAGCAACAACCAAGTGATGTAGGGATTATATCAGTTTTGCAGTTGTTCTCTGAATGGAATTCAGATAGGTTTAATACTTTGCTCATTGTTGTGCGACTAGTAAATTGAGATGGGATTTGAAACTTAACATGCCTTCAGAGTGCTTTGCTCTCTACCATGCTCTCTTCCTTTTTTTTTTCTTTCCTTTTTTGAGAGGGTCTCGTTCTGTCACCCAGGCTGGAGTGCAGTGGCACGATCACAGCTCACTGCAGCCTTAGGCTCAAGCAATCCCTTCCACCTCAGCCTCCTGAGTAGCTGGGGCTACACATGTGTACCACCATGCCTGGCTCATTTTTAATTTTTTTTGTAGGGATATGGGGGGTCTCCCTATGTTGCCTGGGCTGGTCTCAAACTTCTGAGCTTTCAAGCAATGCACCCTCTTCAAGCAATACACGCTCCCAAAGTGCTGGGATTACAGGTGTGTGAGCTACTATGCCTGGCCCTTTTTCCTATTTTAATACTACTTTATATTTATATAGTTTTTTCCCATGTTTCAGAACAGTTACAATAACTTTGTGAGATAGAAAGCATTATCTCTGTTTATATGGGGGAACTTAAAGCTCAGAGCAACTAATGGAATTGTTTTATATTTTACAGTAATAGTGCTGAGGTCAGAACCCTTTTTGATCCAGTTTTCTTATTGTCAGGAAGATTCTTTATTAAAGCTATGGTAGAATGTTTTTGATCAAAATCTTTGATCATTTAAAATAAGAATAGCAACCTGTTCTTGTTGGCATAGAGCTCAACCAAATGATACCTTGAGATCCTTTCCAGTGCCACCGTGCTATGATTCCTTAGGATGTTGATGGATGGAGGCTCATCCTATTAATAAAAATAACCCTATGACCTCTGGATCCAGAGGATATTTAGTAATAAAAAGTTTGTCCCTAAATTAAAAAAAGACCAACATCAGAAGGAACATAATAATTAGGAAGGAAAAATAGATGAAAAAGGTAAAATATAAAGAGAAATAGGAATTATATATTTGTAAAAGAAAAGTGGGCTGGGCGCAGTGGCTCACACCTGTAATCCCAGCACTTTGGGAGGCTGAGGTGAGTGGATCACGAGGTCAGGAGATCGAGACTATCCTGGCTAACACGGTGAAACCCTGTCTCTACTAAAAATACAAAAATGAACCAGGCATGGTGGCATGCGCCTGTAGTCCCAGCTACTCAGGAGGCTGAGGCAGGAGAATCACTTAAACCCGGGAAGCAGGGAGGTTGCCGTGAGCCGAGATTGCGCCACTGCACTCCAGCCTGGGCTACAGAGGGAGACTCCGTCTCAAAAAAAAAAAAAAAGAAAGAAAAGTGAGTGGAAGAGAAATCTTTCGAGTTAGAAAATATAATAAGTGAAGGCTGGGTCCGGTGGCTCACACCTGTAATCCCAGCACCTTGGGAGGCCGAGGTGGGTGGATCACCTGAGGTCAGGAGTTGGAGACCAGCCTGGCCGACATGGTGAAACCCCATCTCTACTAAAAGTACAAAAATTAGACGGGTGTGGTGGCAGATGCCTGTAATCCCAGCTACTTGTGAGGCTAAGACAGGAGAATCTCTTGAACCTAGGAGGCAGAGGTTGCAGTGAGCCGAGATCGCACCACTGCACTCCAGCCTGGGCGACAGAGTGAGAATCTATCTCCAAAACATAAATAAATAAATAATAGGTAAAAACAAGATTATTACTTCACGTGATAAAAATGAATATATTAGAAATATTTGAAATGACAGAGTTCTTATTTCAAGTCAAATATGTATCTTCTAAGTTTTTTTGAGAGGTTTATATCATTTTCCCAACCAATGTAAGATTATCAATGTGGGTATTTTCTTTAGAAATTGGAAAGCAGGCGCCCCGCCACTCGCTCTCCGGGCGGGGCGGGTGGCGCCTCGGGCCTCCACCTCCCCCTGCCTGCGCGTGTCCTGCGTGAGAGGGCAGAGGCAGGGTGGAGGCGTTGGCACGGGACATGTGGGCCGCGGTTGCCGACTGTGGCGCGGGCAGTGGAGGAGGAGGCGGGGCTGGCGCTGAAGTCGGATCCGGATCCGTTGCTGTGCACCCTGGTCGGGGAGAGTCCGATGCGCCTGGGTAGGAGCACCGACTGCGGGGCCTCTACCGACCTTACTAGAAAGATGAAACCTGATGAAACTCTTATGTTTGACCCAAGTCTACTCGAAGAAGTGGACTGGAGGCAGAATACAGCTACATTTTCTCCAGCCATTTCCCCAACACATCCTGGAGAAGGCTTGATTTTGTGGCCTCTTTGTACTGCTGACTTAAATAGAGGGTTTTTTTTTAAGGTATTGGGTCAGCTGATCGAGACTGGAGTTGTCAGCCCTGAACAGTTTATGAAATCTTTTGAGTATATGAAGAAATCTGGGGATTATGTTACAGTTGTAGAAGATGTGACTCTAGGACAGATTGTTGCTACAGCAACTCTGATAATAGAACATAAATTCATCCATTCCTGTGCTAAGAGAGTAAGAGTAGAAGATGTTGTCGTTAGTGATGAATGCAGAGGAAAGCAGCTCGGCTAATTGTTAGTATCAACCCTTACTTTGCTAAGCAAGAAACTGAACTGTTACAAGATTACCCTTGAATGTCTACCACAAAATGTTGGTTTCTATAAAAAGTTTGGATATACTGTATCTGAAGAAAACTACATGTGTCTGTTTCTAGAGTAAAAATCTTATAAGAAAATTGTCAAAGGAGCTAATGCTACAAGGCTCCACTCTTCCTAGAGTTAAAATATTTTGTTGCTGCAGCAGAGTGACCTCCATAAATAGTAGACTGAGAAAACATTGTAATACTACAAGTATAATGACATCTACGAGATTACTTTGGGCTGGTGGGAAATGCTGTGAATTTAGATTACAAATGAATATTATAAAGGGGATTTTTTTCATCTCTTTTTTCTTTTTTTATTTTATTTTACATAATTCATGTCTTGATCTCTAAAACTAGGCAGTCACCTTTAAAACTTTGGATCTTTAAAAACAAATACCCCGTTACTCCTAAAATTTAACTGAAAAAACTCACAGATTTGGGTTTTTTTGTTTTGTTTTTTTGTTTTGTTTTGCTTTCTGCTTAGATTTTATTTTTATTTTTTTAATTTATTTTTATTATTGTACTTTAACTTCCAGGGTACATGTGCACAATGTGCAAGTTTGTTACATATGTATACATGTGCCATGTTGGTGTGCTGCACCCATTAACTTGTCATTTACATTAGGAATATCTCCTAATGCTATCCCTCCCCCTTCCTCCCACCCCCTCAACAGGCCCCGGTGTGTGATGTTCCCCACCCTGTGTCCAAGTGTTTTCATTGTTCGATTAAGGGGATGATTTTTAACCAAGGGAATATATTTTAAACTTGAATCTTTTCTTGCATTGTATTTTTCCAAAAGTTTGGCTTCATTTCTTGGTAGTTAAGAGTATGGGTAATAAGGAGTTATATGTCTGCCGTGTTGCTCATTTAAAAAAAGTATTTATTGAATAAGGCTGTTTTTTATCACAGGCATAAAATTTAATCTTTTTGTTTCAAAGAAACATCTCAGTACACTTAGGGGTGTATCGTTTCCCACATATAAAGTATTTATTGAATAAGGCTGTTTTTTATCACAGGCATAAAATTTAATCTTTTTGTTTCAAAGAAACATCTCAGTACACTTAGGGGTGTATCGTTTCCCACATATAAAGTCAGGCTGGATAAATTAGTTATTATAACTAAACACAGTGTAGTCCAACATTTGTTGATCCCAATACAGGCAAATAACCTGGTCAGCCTTTTAAAGAAGTAGAAGAAATGAAAATTATTTGACAAGATTAAAAGTAAAACAATTTAAATGTTTTACTAAAAGTTTATATAGGTCTATGTAGATAAAAAGTACCACTTGTCTTATCTGTGAATTATAACTGTTCCTTTGTTAAAAACACCTAAGAGCAATTATGGTGGGACATCTAAGGTACTTTTTAAACAGTGAATTAGCAAACCTCAGCATATGTGTTTCTACCTTGATTTTTTTCTTTTCATGGGTATCTGAAGCCTCCCTTCTGAGTAACAGGTTTTTCAAAAATGGAGTATCACAAAATTGAGTGAAATACAATACTGAAACAATACTTAAAAATATATTGTACCAGATTTGTCAAATTCATAAAATGTTGATGGAAGCTTTACTTTTTAGTGTGATTATAATGGCACTATTCTGGTCATTATCCTGTTTTTATTTTATTTATTTTAATTATTTTTTAAAGTTGAAGAATTAAATAGTTTAATGGTTCTAATTTTTTGCATTCCATGTTACATTAAACCTGTTCATATGATGAGTAATTTTCTGTTAGGAAATAAAAGAAATTGGAAAGCAGTATTTATAGTGTACTACATTTTATTATTTTCGGAGGACACTGTATCAGAACTTATATTTAGCAAACACAAGTTCCTCTATAGCCTTCAGTAATTTCAGATGCAGTTCAAATCCTGGAGAGTATGTTGAAATGATTATACTGTGAAAGTAATATAAAGTTTTTAAAAGTCTTTTTGTAAAATTAAGTATTAGCTATTATAGAGAGAAATCATGGACTGAATTAGAACAAGCTATTTATGTTCAAGCTTTTTTCTCATAGTAGATTTTTTTATTTTTATATTTCTTAATAGTGCTGTTGCACCTTTAAAATGTTAAAATATATTGTTAAACCTCCCAAAATAGCAATGACATGTTACTATAAATCTCTTTGAACATTGAGTCCTACTTTGCTCTTAGCCTTTTTCTTTTAAGCATGCCTACTTTCATCATTCTATATGTACTTTTTTGTAAAGAATTTTTTTGTCTGCTTAGAATTTAAACCTGACGATATTGTTGTCTTTATTTTTTTTCTGCATTAGAGACAAACAATCATATTGCGCATAATACGAGAAGTACTATTGCTATTTTGATAACTTGGATTAGATAGTGTTCTTTCTTTTTATGAAGGTTTAACCTGCCAAGACATTCTTTGAATACTGATAATGTTGATGTTCTTGCCAGTATGGTTATGTTAGAAAGAGGTATTTTTCTTCTTTCATCACCATGTTCCTTGAAAGCATAGTGAATAATGACACAGCCAAAGGGAAATAATTTACAAGTGGATTCAGTGAGTTTATTTAAAGTAGATATTATTTGGAGAACTGCTAGAGCCATTCCTTAGATGAGCACTACAGAAGCTTTAGTTGTAATAACTGAATCCCTGTGAGGTCCTACTGTAAATATTTTTATTTATAAAGTAGTTATTTTGCAGAATTAACAGTTTTTTCTCAATATTATAGTATCTGAAACCACTTTAGTATTCTTAGCTATTTCATATGACAATGCATAATTTCCTAGACCACTAGTTCAGAACATAATGTGAAATGTATGATTTCAAATAAGGGCTACTCCTATATACATTATAATTGCTGATTTGTGTGTGTACTTGCTTTTCCAAAAATATTATTTGTGGTTTTAAGAATTGTTTTGATTGAATTTTGTTTTGATAATTAGAGGCCCACTGGTATTGCAAAAGCTGAATTGGATGTCATTGATAAAAGAAGGTTTTAACTGTTACGAAAGAGAGACATGAATTAAAGAATGTTTTCCTTCCTATTCCCACTTCTATATCACATGAGCATTAAGGCTTATTGAGATGTTGGTTTTCAGTGTTGTCTTTGTTTTTGTTGTTGTTGTTGTTTCTTTGTATGTTTTGTGCTCTGTAAGAATGATGTCAGCTCCGAAGTGTTGAATATCTCTGAATTCAGTTAATCTGGGAAGATGCAGGCCCTTAACCAGGAACAGAGACCCAAAAAACTGGCCGTGGAGATTTGGCAGTGAGTGGTGGCTGAAGATTTGGTTTATAAGATGAAGATAAATAAGTGATGCCCTATAATATATATCCCCTGCACTCATGATATTCTCCATGGTCATTTTATCCTTCTCTAACCTTTTACGTGATCATCTTGAATGTCCCAGGTTTGTTTCGCCTGTGCTATGGGGAATCAAAGAAAAGTCTTTTGCCGCATTTGGACCAATGTTAAGGGTCAGTTCCCCTCCCGCAATCCCAGCCAGGAATGTGGAGTCAGTATAATCAGAGAGAGGTTCTAATTCAGGAGTGTGGCTCAAATGCCCCTTCCTTAGGAATGAATTATTCCAGTGCCAATCTGGAAAGTTTGGGTGTGTTTTGTTTTTGTTTCTTTTTTAATTAAAGAAGGCGGACATCTTTTCAGATATATTTTAAGATTAGCTTGGGGCTGATTATCAATATGGTTTGGTTTGGGGTCTTTTTTTTTTTT
Source organism: Homo sapiens (assembly GCF_000001405.40). Classification (NCBI taxonomy): domain Eukaryota; kingdom Metazoa; phylum Chordata; class Mammalia; order Primates; family Hominidae; genus Homo; species Homo sapiens. The sequence continues at coordinate 189,826,463 of NC_000002.12, forward strand.
TTGCTACTTACAAATTAATGATTACTAAATTTATTAAATGGTTTTCATGTGTTCCTCTTTTGTTAAGGATTACTTTTCACCTAAATTTTGTGAAATATAGAAAAGATGAAAGACATATAAGTCAAGTTTTAGTGTAGTTTTATGTTTGTAAGCACTATTAGGAGTCTCTGAAGTCTTCCATTATCCCTCAGTAGGACATTATTCCTCAACTGCTCTCATTTTGTTTTCCACGTATTTCTGTTATGTCATTTTGCTTCAGTGGCAGTGATTTGCATTCTTTCTTTCCTATTTGACAGCCTTTTATAGGAGGGAGGGCTGCATCTAGTTCATCTATATTCCCCTTAATAGTGAGTGCATAGTACAGGATGGAATATTAAATTAATTAGGTAGTGTTAAAGCCAAAATAGTAAGTGTATGAAACACTAGTTTTAAACACTCTGGCCTCTCTCAGACCTTATTCATAATATTTATTAATAAAATTCATTCTTTTGAATTCCTTGGTGACCTCTTATGTATTTAGGGAGTATATTTTCACTTGTATTCACATATACAATTCTAGTCCATTGCCCTTCCTGGAAGCTAAGTCACTGATACATCTTCTTTAGAACTAATAAAGAATCATATAAAGACTGCATGGATGGGGCAGTTGAGGGGAAACACTTGATGGACAGTCTCTAAGAGCTGTCAATTTAATGTATTTTGTTGCTATTAACAGTCAAATAGAACAACATAATTGTTCCTTTACTGATCCTCTAACCACATACATTTTATATACTTATTATTAACCCAAACACACATTTCTCTATTCCAACACTGTAGATTTCTCTTCCAAACAATAATACCCAGAGAATCCTGTACAAATGTAGCTTTTTGAGATTAGGCCAATGAAAGTCAATGACATGATCTCTAAGGCCCTTTTTAACTCTAAAACTCTTTGATTTTTAAGGATGTTTACATATGTATATCTTGAGCACTTCATTTCTTTCTTAGAAAATTGGAATTTCACATTTTTACTTAGAAGTTCTACTGAGTTCATATATGAAATCATAAAATAATAAAAGGTAGAAAGTTCTGCAATAAACATGGTTATGCAGATCTCTTTGACATACTGATTTTCAACCTAAATGCCCATCAAATGATGAATGGATAAAGAAAATATCATGTGTATCCACTGTATATACAACAGAATGCCATTTAGCCATAAAACAGACTGAAATCCTGTCGTTTGCAGCAATATGGATGATCTCGGAGGACATTATGTTAAGTGAAGTGAGCCAGGCACAGAGAGACAAATACCACATGATCTCACTTATATGTGGAATCTAAGAAAGTTGATTTCATAGAAATAGAGAGCAGAATAGTTGTTACCAGAAGCTGGGGAGGGGAGGGAGAAGGAGGAAAACTGGAGGGGTTGGTCCATGGGGATAAAGTTATGGTTAGGAAAAATAAGGTTTTGTTTGTTTGTTTGTTTGTTTGTTTGAGACAGAGTCTTGCTCTGTCACCCAGGCTGGAGTGCAGTGGTGTGATCTCGGCTCACTGCAAGCTCCGCCTCCCGGGTTCACGCCATTCTCCTGCCTCAGCCTCCCGAATAGCTGGGACTGCAGGCACCTACCACCACGCCCGGCTAATTTTTTGTTTTTTTTAGTAGAGACGGGGTTTCACCATATTAGCCAGGATGGTCTCGATCTCCTGACCTCGTGATCTGCCCACCTTGGCCTCCCAAAGTGCTGGGATTACAGGCGTGAGCCACTGCGCCCGGCCCAGGAAGAATAAGTTCTTATATTCTGTCACACCGTAGGGACACTATAGCAAATAACAGTGTATTGTGTATTTCAAGATATCTAGAAGAGCTTTTGAATGTTGTCATCACAAAGAAATGAGAAATGTTTGAAATGATAGGGTAATTGCCCCGATTTGATCATTGTATTATGTATACATGCATTAAAACATCACATTGTACCTCATAAATGTGTAATTATTGTGTGTCAATTATAAATTTAAAATCAAATGCTTTAAACACTCAATTGCAGAGTTCACTGGTAAATACTTCACTGTAATAAAGCATCTCTCACAATGTATCTCTGAAGAAACATTCTCAGATTTAGCTTTTCAACCTGTATATGTAAACTCTTCACAGTGTCACAGTGGTAAAATTAAAATAGTTAAAAATCATGCTCTAGATGAAAAAACTAGATTATAGGGTTTACTGGTAAACATTAAGTTCACTGTAATAAATAAGCTCACAATGCATCTCTGAAGAAACATGCCCAAACTTAGCTTTTCAACCTTTGTATATAAACTCTGCCATAAGTCGCAATGGTCAAAACCATAGTTAGAAAGCATGTTCTAAACATTTGATGACAGAGTTCACTGATTGGTAAACAGTTTAATTCACTGTGAGAAAGCAGCTCAAAGTGTGTCTCTGAAAAAAAAAAAAAAAAAGAGGACGTAGAAGGATCCTTAGATCTTTACATCTGAAAAGACCACTGAAAATGTTTTTTGTCCTGCCTCAAATCTTTTAGCAAATAGTGTTTTTAATCCTGTCCACCTCCCCTTTTACCTTTATGTGACCCCAAGAGTTTTAGTGGATTGCCCAATGACTTAAACATTGAATATAGTAGAGGATGAACTACAGTTCACATATCTTAATTTTTAATGCATCATTCATCCTCCCTTACTGTAGCTTCCTCCCACCAACTATACTCAGAGTACTGAGTAGGTGCTTTGGAAGGGTTAAGTGATGGCTTGCACTCTGAAGAAAGTTACGATGTAAATGAGGAGATAAGATGTGAAAGTGTGTAAACATAACATAAATATACCGTAGACCTTGTCATTGCCCAAAACCACACTCACTCCATAATTTCACTGTTAATGTGTTCCTTCTCTAATCACTACCTGATGCCTCTCTATCTTACTCTCTTCAACAATCCTTAGACTCTGTTGGACCTGTGATCCCTTGTTCCTACTGCTTTTTAACTGTTTCTTGCCCCCTGGTGTCCTTGGTTCTCTCCTTACCCTGCTTAAATTTTGTGGTCCATCATTATCATCCTTCTCTTGGGCACTCTGTCAGTTCTCTTGGTCCTTTCTCACTTAATTGTACTTGTTTGACTAAATCCTGATTAAATCCATCTGGTCATCATTTTGGTATCTGAGCCAGTATGTAGGGGAAGAAAACCCACACCCATGCTGAATAGTGCCTCTGTAAATTCATGAGCATTAATCTTCATGCTGCCAGACAGTCATACTCCTGTTTTTCCAGTCAGCAAACCAGAAGCCTTAGGGTTATTCTTCGCTACTGATTCTCTCACACTCTAATCTGATTCCAGAGTAAATTCCGTAGGTCTATCTTTAAAATATATCCAGAATCTAACGACTTTTCACCATGTCTGTGACTACCACTGTGGTCCAAGCCACCATTATCTGTCACCTGGATTTTTGTAATAGTATCCTAATGGACTCTCCCTGCTTACTTCTTATCCTCTTCAGTGTATTTTCAGCTCAGTGATTCTGTAAAAATGTGTCAGATCATATAACTCATGTTTAATTAGTTCCCATCTCATTCAGAGTAAAATCAAAGCCTTTATAAGCGGACTGTGAATTCTCTATTGGGGTCAGTATATTTTTTTCTGTATAGAGTCAGATGGTAAATATGTTAGGTTTTTAGGGCCGTATAGTTTCTCTTACAGCTGTTCAGCCCTGTTGTTGTAGTGTGAATGTAGCCATAAACAATAATACTTTATTTACAAAAACAGGAAGGCCATGGGCTGTAGTTTGCTGACCTCCGTAGATCTGATGCCTCCTTTACCTCTGATTTCATTAATCTTTTTCCTTTTGCTCATTTTGCTTCAGTTGTTTCTGGAACCTGCGAGTCATGCTTCCAGCTCAGGACTGTCGCATTTGTAGTTTCTTTGCCTAGAACATTTTCCCTCAAGTAACTGGTTCAATCCTCAACTTTTAGGTCTTCACTTAAACTTTCTCCGTGAGGCTTTCTTTAGCCTTCCTAAAATTGCAACCATTTCCCCTGTCCCCCCGCTTCCCCACTTTCCTGCTTTATTTTTCTTGAACTTATCAGTATCCAATATGCTATATATTTTATTTGTCTTGATTTATTCTCTCTCCTCCTCTAGAATATAATTTCCTTGAAGGGAAGGACTTTGGCTCTTTTTTCACTGTCATATCCCTAGTGCTTACAGTAGTGCCTCAAGTGGGTGCTCAAAAAACATGTCAAATGAATGAGGGCTGACAACAGGATCAAGGGCTGAGAACAGGAGCACTCCATTATGCTGGTGGCACCAGCCCAGCTGGACTGTAAGCGTAGGCCTTAAAGCACCTGAGATCCAGAAGCAGATGGTATCAGTGTAGATTAAAGGTAACAACTGGACAGAGAGATAGCAAAACAGCAAGTATTAGCTCTCATACTCTAGACACTTCCCACTTCTATTGGTTGGGAGACTTCTAGAAAGTCACCAAAAAGGGAGGGGTGAGCCTGGCCACTTGGTAGGTGGGTGGTATTCATTCAGTGGAGTAGGAACAACTCTGAACGTGATTTTCATCTAGGACCCCCAGGTGGTTGGGTTATAGGAAAATTTTGTTACAGCAGAATTTGGTTATGTGGATAAAATGGTCAAGATTATTCTAAGTAGAGATAGAGAAATAGTTTAAACATAAAATACATAGGCAGGAGAGCACATTTAGAGGCAGTGAAGAAGTTTCTTTAAATGAGTTGGTATTTAATATGAGAGAATAGAGGAAGATAAATCCAGCAATTTAAACTTTTTAAATGAGAAAATTGGAAGGCATTAAAAGTTTTTAAGTAGGGAATTGACATGATCAAGATGCTGCTACCTTTGAAAGTCAGTTTGGCAGTACTCTACAGGGAGGAGCTAGGGAGACCATAAACATTTAGGAAGCTGCTATAAATTGTAGGCTTTAAGGGCCTGAATTCAGACAAACACATTAGGTGTGAAAAGCACAAAGTGTCTATTTTCTTTTATAGCTATTATGAGGAAGAATCAATGGGACTAGCTGTGAGTGGCAAAGGACCAGAAAAGGTTTGAAGATAACTGATTTATTTAACTTATATGCCTAAGGAAATAATACTGCATCCTTTTTTAAACCCTGAATGCACACATTTGAGTTTCTCCTATAATGTATTACCTTCATGAATTACACTGACATAATTTTGATTTTACTCCTAAAAGAAGCTTATAGAAACAAAACTTTTAAAGTGAAATCATTACTGCACCAGTAGAGAGTTGTTAGTCAATTCAGAGAGAAAAGCTAATCAGCTCTAGGCTGGATAGTATTTATTTTTTAAAATTTAAAAATTTTTTTTTTAAGACAGAATCTTGCTCTGTTGCCCAGGGTGGAGTGCAGTGGCATGATCTCAACTCACTGCACCCTCCGCCTCCCAGGTTCAAGCAATTTCTGGTTATTTTTAGTATTTTTAGTAGAGATGGGGTTTCACCATGTTGGCCAGGCTGGTCTCAAACTCCTGACCGCAAATGATCCTCCCGCCTCGGCCTCCCAGTGGATGTTATTTGTTACCCTTAAAACTTGTTGCTTGTTTTGAAAAAAGGCCCAGAAGTAGAATAAAGAACCATATTGTTGAGATGTTTGCCTGAACAAAATAGGTTGTATGGGAAGGGAAATAACATTGGTTAGGTACCAGGGAGCTAGCTGATGGGAGTGTTATAAGCTCAGTGTCTGTGTGTTTGGTCTTAATTTGAAGGAGAATAACTTAAGAATCATGTAGAGGATGGAGTTGTAATGCAGAAGAGATGATTGGGATGGCTTCATTTTGAATGAAAAACAATGTAATCTATAGGGTGTTCTATTAAATGAAAATAGTAAAGGCTGAAATCAAATACTGCTATGTTGTTACAAAGCAATAGCAGCTTGATTTGTGAGTAACCTTTTCTGTAAAGTCAAATATGTTAGAAATGAGCAATTGCCTCAGGGTTCAAAGACTGAAGAACTTATCAGCAAGGCTGACCAGAAGGGTTTTCTTTTTTTTTTATTGAGATGGAGTCTCACTCTGTCGCCCAGGCTGGAATGCAGTGGCACAATCTCGGCTTATTGCAACCTCCGCCTCCTGGGTTCAAGCGATTCTCCTGCCTCAGCCTCCCGGGTAGCTGGGACTACAGGCGCGTGCCACCATGCCCAGCTAATTTTTTGTATTTTTAGTAGAGACCGGGTTTCACTGTATTAACCAGGATGGTCTTGATCTCCTGACCGTGTGAGCCACCACACCTGGTCACGTTTTCTTTAAACAGTATTAAGAAGTACAGATAATATAGAGGCAGAGAAGAGAGCTTCAAATATTGTCGTATTTACCTAACTTTAGTGCTGTTTGAAAGGTAGGTAGTGAACTTTAGAAGGCCAGTTATTGAAATATTTGTTACTTAAATAGTAGTCTCCTATTCCTAAATCATTTTATTATGTATTTTAAATAATAAAATACAAAATGGATACTACTGTATTGAACAGCTCCTGAATATTATTACTAGTGTCAAGACCAACCATCTCCCTCTGCCAGCTTTGTTCTTGAAAACAGAATGTTACACATTTTAATGTGGTAAGTGGGCCAAGAGAGTTCTAAAAGGTACGTTTTTAAAATTCATCCCCAATGTCTAAAAACACACATTAACTTCTTTTTCTTCTTCCTTTTCTGTGTGAAATTTGAGTAAACTTACTGTTGATTTGCTTCTCATAGAATAGTGTTGACCTTTTCTCGTAGTTGCAGTGACCTATATTTAAGTTAAAGCTTGAGCTGGCTAGTATAAGAAACAAAATTTGCTTTCCATTAGTTATTTAAATATAGTTAATATAAGAAGTAAATTTATGGCCGGGTGCAGTGGCTCACACCTGTAATCCCAGCACTTTGTGAGGCCGAGGCAGGTGGATCATGAGGTCAAGAGACCATCCTGGCCAACATGGTGAAACCCCGTCTCTACTAAAAATACAAAAATTAACTGGGCATGGTGGCACGCGCCTGTAGTCCCAGCTACTCAGGAGGCTGAGGCAGGAGAATTACTTAAACCTGGGAGGCAGAGATTGCAGTGAGCTGAGATCACGCCATTGCACTCCAGCCTGGTGACAGAGTGAGACTGTCTCAAAAACAAAAAAGAAGTAAATTCATTTTCATTTGGGTAATTAAATATTTCATATATACCAACTGATACTTTTTCATTAGGCTTTGCTTATAAACTTTAAATGTTATAATGATATGATTATTTTTAAAAACCTGAACCCCCCCTACTTCCCTGCTGGAAGAAACCATACCTGTAGCAGCACTATGTGGGAGACTTGTCTTGATGGATGAGAATAATTCTTAATTAATCTTTTTTCCTTTATTTGTTATAGGAAGTGCTTTAGATCTTCAAGATTTTTACTTTTGAGGAAAAAATTATAGAACTTTCAGAGACCACCACAATCTTCCTTTCATCCTTAGGAAGAACTTACTTAACTACATATCAATAAAATAGACTCTGGAGCATAGTTTCCAGTTCTGACCTTACATATTGTCACTAACTGGCTTACATTACGTGTCTAGGCTTCAATTTCTTTGTCTCTTTAAAATGGAATAATAGTACCTACCTTACAGAGTAAGGTTTTTAAATGAGAGCATTCACAGCACAGCGCCTGCTCCATAAGTACTCAGTAGAGGTTAATTGCTATTGTTATTGATGTGAATATTGTTTAAAATCTGATTAGAGTCAAAAAGGATTATTAGAGGAAGTGGCCTTAAGACTGGTTCTTCGGAAAGACTATGTGGGCAGAGGTATTCAAAGCAGGGAGAACAGCATGTGCAATGTCAGGGAGTCATCAGAGGTCAGAGAAAGCTTGTCTAAGAAATGAGATGAGGCTACGAAGCTTGCTTGGAGCCAGATTCTGAAGGACCTTGTGTATCTTACATGGGAATGTGTACTTCTTGTTGAAGTGACCAAGAGGGAACTAAATGAGACATTTCAGTAGGAGACTAACAAAATAAGATAATTCTCATTGCAGTTGGAGGATGGACTAAATTATGTTTAATTGTTGTTAAGAATGTGGAAAATGATCTCGTTGTCTGGCAAGTTACACAAGGAATGGAGAAGAGGGTCTAGGCAAGAAAAATATTTCCGATGTAAATAAGATTTGATTACGAATTGGAAATAATCTTTCTTGTTTTTAAAGACTGCAAAGAAATGAGTCTCAACAATATCCCTTTGAAAGTTATGCAGAGATTAACTTTATACCTTTACATTTTTATTAATGTTTTATTCTATTTCATTTTATTTTTAGAGACAGGGTCTCACTCTGTTGCCCAGGCTTGAGTGCAGAGGCATGATCATAGCTCACTTCAGCCTCAAACTCGTGGGCTCAAGTGATCCTCCTACCTCAGCCTTCTGAGTAGCAAGGAACACAGGTGCATGCCACCATAACTGGCTAATTTTTTAATTTTTTGTAGAGACAGGGTCTCACTGTGTTGCCCAGGCTGGTCTTGAACTCCTGCCTCAGCCTCCCAAAGTGCTGGGATTACAGGCCTGAACCAACATGCCCAGCTTATTATTTAATTTTTTAAAAGATCATACCTTTACATGGTTGAAAACCCAAAAATGTATGAAAAGGTAGAATGAAAAAATTATTCTTTTCTTTATCTTTCATCTGCCTAGCTCCTATAAACTGCCCCTTCTTTAGGTAAAATGTCTATTAATTTCTTTGCAACCTTCAGGAAAAATAATTATGCATGTTCTCTTTCAAGAAAAGAATATAAAATTAAATAAGTGTAAGAGATTTTAGAACTCATTTATACTGCATAAATTTTACCAAGACAATCATTTTTGAAAGTTTGAGGCTGCTTAGCAATAATCAATTCATATTAATGTTTATTATGTCAGTAGAATGTGGTTTGTTCTTTTAACAGTAGTATTGATACTGTGATGGAATAATCTATAATTTTATACTGAATTCAAAACATTTAGCAGTGTCTTAGTGGTAAGCTGCTGTGGCTCATATTGTTCCTGTGTTGCCAATGTGGGAAATAAAACAACCTTTTAAATATTGTGTTTGTGCCTCTGTACTTTTTGGAGTCAGAGTCAGTGCAAGTACATACGCAGGAGTAAATAATAATAGATATAGATCTATTTATAGTAACTTGTAAGATCTTAGAAGTAAACTTATGGTACTTAAGAAATTTGCCTGGGTATGGTGGCTCACACCTGTAATCCCAGCACTTTGGGAGCCCAAGGTGGGAGGATCGCTTGAGTCCAGGAGTTCAAGACCAGCCTAAGCAACATGGTGAAACCCTTTCTCTTCAAAACGTACAAAAAAATTAGCTGGGCGTGGTAGTGTGCACCTGTAGTCCCAGCTAATCGGGAGGCTGAGGCAGGAGAATCCTTGAGTCCAGGAGGCTGAGGCTGCTGTCAACTATGATCACACCACTGTACTCTAGCCTGTCTCAAAAAAAAAAAAAAAAAAAAAATTCATTGGTGCTGCTTCTTGTTTGGTGGAAAAAAAAAAATCCAAATATGAGCTTAGTACATCTGTGCCTACAATTTGCAAGAATTTTGGCTGCAGTCTAGGCCAATAATATATCCTCTTTATTTAGAAGGAGTTGACTTTGCTCAAGCAGTTTTAGCATTGTACTATTCACTTAACTATGCATCATCTGTGTGCAGCCTACATTTCTCTTTATCACAAATTGCCTTTACAAACAATTGAGGTTTACTAATTAAATATCGAGTATTCTCATCTAACTTCATTTTCTTCAAGTAGCGTATGTCAGTGAGGTAGGAATTAGGGGCAAGATATATTTGGCTAACTTCAAACCTAAGATGGTGTGCATGTAATAATATATTTTTGAGGTGTTTTTGCACTGTCATCATACTGACTAGAGTCAGATTCTTAGTTGGCACATCCAGGTGCTCCAACTTTGTGTGACCTAGATAGAAAACATATGGAGGTTTGTGTGTATTTTTAGCACATGTTAAGCTTTCGGCCTAAGGGCAAGATTTACAAAAACCTTCAGGAAGTGAAAAGAAAATCTCTGTTTTTGAAAATAACATAGAATTGATGAAACGGTAGAGAAAGCAAACTGAATACTGTATTCTGGATTCCCAGTATTCCCAGTTCTTATTCATCACATTTTATAGTTTAGTTTTTTAGTGATGGGTCCTGTTTTGAAAATGAATCTTAGTTGCCCAATGAGAAGATTTTACTTGTTGGCAGACCGCTATTATTTATTGCTAGCCCAAGTGTAACTAGTTTAGAAAATGCTCTTAAATTAGCCCCTCGATCTGATGCAATAAAAATTGCCTAGTGTGAAATAATGCTCCCAGACTCCTAGCATGTTTACTTTAAAGTGAAATCACATTGCATAGTTCTCATGTTTCACAGCTTTTTCTAGGACCGATTTCCTGAAGTGATCTTTTTACGGTTGTGTATACTAACTATTCAGCAGGTCAGGCAGTGAAATAGCATCCTTGCATTAATCAGCAGCTAAGATTTATATCTGTATCTAAGGCATCTAATATAAACTAAAATAAACAAGATGATGTTTACATTAGTAACACTGCAGGCTTTTTAGCTATATTCAGTGCAGGAATTTTAAAACATTAGTTTTTTGAAATATTTCCTTGAATGCTTTATTTTAAAAATGTCAATATCAGAGAGTTAGCATTCCTTTAAAGAGGTACACTTTTTGTGAATAAGTTTGGTGTTTTTTTTTTTTTCTTTTTAGGGAGGGGGTCTTGCTCTGTCACCCAAGCTGGAGTGCAGGGTGAGCCACTCCCACCTCAGCCTCCTGAGTAGCTGGGACTACAGGCATGTGCCACCATGCCCAGCTAATTTTTTATTTTTTTTTTATAGAAACAGGGTCACACTATGTTGCCCAGTCTGGTATTGAACTCCGGACCTCAAGTGATCCTCCCACCTTAGCCTTGTGAATAAGTTTTTATGGTTCAGCTATTCTTTGTCATAAGGAACTTCTGATGTGGAAAGTATGAAGCAGGGGACATTTCATTTCCTGTAATTGCAGATTATTCAGAACCTTATTTACTTCCTTTAATTTTGAACATTGTTCCTTAAATTATTAGCTGTTGGCTGGCTTAAAACTAGAGCCATAATAGCAGAAGCCAGTAGTTTGCCTTTCCAGAGTGCATGTGCACGCAAAGATTACAGTCTGGCAGTTCTTCAAAAAACATGGAGCTACCATGTGGCCCAGCAGTTCCACTCATAGATCTATACCCAAGAGAAATGAAAACATATGCCAACATAAAAACATGAACATGCATGTTTATGGCAGCATCAGTTATAATAGCCAAAAAGTAGAAACAACTCAAATGCTCATTAACTCATAAAAGGATAATTCAAATGTATTATCTACAATGGAATATTATTCAGCCATTTAAAAGGAATGAAGTACTGATATAAATAAACTTGAAAAGGTTATGCTAAGTGAAAGAATCCAATCAAAGACCATATATTGTATGATTCCATTTATATGAAACATCCTAAGTGGGCAAATTTTATATAGAGAGAAGATAGATTAGTGATTGAAAAGGGATAGGAGTCACTGATGATGGATATAGGTTTTCTTTTTGGACTGATAAAATTGTTCAAAGATTAAATCATGCTGTTGGTTGCACAGCTCTGTGAATAATAAAAACCATTGAATTATAAATCTAAAGTGGGTGAATTGTAGAGTATATGAATTATACCTTAAACTGTTATGTTAAGAGGAAAGAAAAGCAAAGATTGGTTTGGATTTCCTTAGGTCAAGTAGTAGACAAAAAGTGTAATTTTAACAGGTATGGTGGTGTGACAACTAGCAGCCTTATCTCTGAAAACAAAGAGCTAGTTTTCAACTCTACTGGGGTTACTTTTCCCTAGGGAAAAAAAAATGTGTTTATTTGCTCATTCCTTTAACGAAAGTATTTAGTATTTAGTGGGCCTTACTAGGTGTCTGGTACTGTTCTTGGTACCAGAGACTCAACACTCAACACTGAACAAGCTGAACTCATCATCTTCCTGCCACCAATCCTGCTCTTCTGAGTTTCTTATCTTGTTGAGTGTTACTACCACCATTCCAGTTTCCCAGGTCAGAAATCTGGGAGGCATTCTTGATTCTTCTCTTTTTATTCCCTCTCCACATGGAGTCAGTCATCAAGCCCATTTCGTACCCTTTAGTCTGTCCGTTTTCTCTTTTCCTCCTACCAGAGTGTTGGTTCTGTTAACACAGCCCAGTAATTCTCAGCCGCAGTATATTAATACTAGTAAAGTACCAAAGTTTGCAAATGGTTTATCTTAAAAAGCAAACGAAAAAAACCTAAGGGAATAATCCTGTCAACATCAGTTTCACTGACTTGCATTCCACCGAACTTTTGCAAGAGGAAGAGAAAGCTGTAGCATGATAGCTAGTATATTAGGAATTAATTACACATAGTCCTCAGGTCACCTATCGGAATATTTTTTGAATGTGAACTTTCAGTTTTGCATGTCTTTCGTAAAAGCTGAGAGTCTCTGAGTTGGAGGAATACAATCACTTTTTTTTTTCTTTTTTTGAGACAGAGTCTCTCTCTCTGTTGCCCACATTGGAGTGCAGTAGCGCGATCTCAGCTCACTGCAACCTCCATCTCCTGGGTTCAAGTGATTCTCATGCCTTAGCCTCCCAAGTAGCTAGGATTATGGGTGCCCGCCACCATGCCTGGATAATTTTTTTGTTTTTAGTAGAGATGGGGTTTCACCATGCTGGCCAGCTGGTCTTGAACTCCTGACCTCAAGTGATCCACCCGCCTTGGCCTCCCAAAGTGCTGGGATTACAGGCACGAGCCACCACACCTGGCCTATGATCACATTTTATAAAAATCATATTGCTATAGTTTCAGTTCTCACTAAGTCATTCTTGCCAAAGATCTTTTTCTAATATCTATCTCTGATCATGGTATTTTCCCAATTAGATTTATCCAGTGACTCTACATTGCACGTAAGGGAAACTATAAACCCCTTTGCACGATGTGCCAGGTCATTCGTGATTTAGCCCCTATCTGTCTAGTTTCATCTCTAGCAAGGCATTCTCTCTATATGTTCATGATTTGGCATGTACTATCCTATTTGTCAGGAATGCACTTCTTGTGATTTGTCTTAGAGACAAACTCCTGTCAAGTCTGATTGTACTTGTGGCTTCTCTGTGCAACTGACTTAGGTTTCTTCTATGATGCTCCCACTGTGCTATGTAATAGTAGTTTTTATAATGTATTATAATTATTTTAAGATTTTGCTTTCTTTTTATATTTTTAGCTCCTTTAGAGCTGGGACCTTGTCCTTTTATCTTTATATTCCCAGATTTTAGTATGGAATCTGGAACAAAATTGATGCTCAATATGTATTTGTTGAACAAACTCAAAATTAGTTACTTTAAAATTTTTTATTTAACCAAAATATGTTATAGTATGAGACGAAATTAAGGGATTAAAATATGCTTATGGTGACTCTACATCCCATTTCCTGGAGCAATTCCAAATTTAAATAGTCTACTTCATTGGCCTTGAAATGTAATTAACAAAACACACCATAATTTTGTTTAGAAATGCAATATACACATTGAACCTATACCTTATATTTAAAATTGTATACAATTTATTTTTATACTTTGATTTCATATACTTGTTAAAAGAAAAACTTTAGATAAACTAAATTTAACAGTGTTTATTTGAGCAAATAACAGTTTACAAATCAGGCAGCCCCCAGAGCCAGAGTAATTTCAGAGCAAGTCCAGGGCTGCTGCATGGTCAGATGTTATTTCTGGACAAAAAAAAATGAAAGTGATGGACAGAAAACCAAAGTGAGGTGCAGAAACAGCTGGATCGGTTATAACTTAGTGTTTGCCTTATTTGAACACAGTTTGAACAACTGGCTGCCTGTGATTGGCCGAAACTTTGTGATTGGTACAAGAGTAGGTTACAGCCTGTTGACACATCCATTTAGGTTACATTTCACTATGTATGGAGAAACTTATAGGCCAAATGTAAAATATACAAGGAGGCAACTTTAGGCTAAACTTAATTTAACATACTTTATGTCTTTTTTCTTATACAGGTCACTTTGAAAGCAATAATAGTGAAAAGTTGAAATTTAGGATGGAGAAATACCTGAATTATTTTTTAGCTCTGCTATTTTGCTGTGCATTATGATACTAATTATTGCATATCTGTATGAAAATGAATGCAAATTTTTGAGAATTTATAAATCCTTAGGTATAAGGATCTGCATAATATGATTAAGGTTGTTACCAAGAACTATATTCTCAAAAATATTCAGACTTTAGGATGCTAGAATAGTAGCTTTCAATCTTTTTGGACTTTACTATTCTAATGTGCTTTTTTTGAGTTGAGAACCCCAGTGTACTCCTTGCCCTCCTAAAAGCAGATTATTTATTTGAATAGGATAAAAATAATTTTGTTTTGTCTTCACTGGTACCCTCAATTGGAGATTACACAGCGTATCACAAGGCCATGGGGGATAATCATACATGAAAAATGCATTTGTCAGTCAGACCCTTTACTTTTTGAGAATTCCCAATTAGAGTCTGGAGTTGGTTCTAAATTGTTGTTGTCATTGACTAGACAGGGGATAAATATTGGCAAAGTAAAAGGAGTGAATGTTTAGAGCCAAAAAGATTGAGTATAGATCTTGGTTCCATGACCTACTATTTTTGTTTCTTTGGGTGTAACAATTTCTTTTGAGTTTCAGTTTCCTCATCTGTAAAATGAGATAATAATACCTACCTGAAATGATTGTGAAAATAAACAGTAGTTTCTAGAACAGTAGTACCTAACAAAGAATAAGGTTTTCATAAATTTCAGCTCTTATCTGATTGGTATCAATACAACTCTAGGAATAGGTAAAAGATCTTCCTGTTAAACTAAATGTTGAGTTATTTGTCTTACTGAGTAGTTGTTACACTATCTCTGCTTTCCCAAGCAGGTTGCTGTTTGAGACTCTAAAAACAAAGTGGTTTGCAGATGGCACAGATCAGCAAGCAGAGTCATTGATTATTGTCACCTTTTCCAGGAGAGTGCATTCCTTCATTTCTATTCCTGATGTGCTAGTTAGAGAACATGAGTCTGTTTACTTCACCTTTCATCTTATTATACGTAATATCATTACCACTACTTCCTGACTACATAGATTCCTGGTTATGGTTAAGGAGTTCCTTTGGCCAGAATCCTTTGGTCCAGTCTCCTCTCTCTTTCTCTGTTATAGACTTCTGCCTCTTTTAGACTGTAGGAAAACAAGACTCTCCCAAGAGTGTGCTGGACATCATTGGTTTTCAAATGGTTAAACAATGCAACTTCACACATGTAGAATGGGAAGCAGAATTTTATACCTCCTCCATAATCATCAAATATTTAAATCACTGTTATTTTGCTTTCAACAAAAGACCTCCTTTCTGCATTTTAGAACAAAGGGGAGCTGTCTCAGCCTCCAGCCACTGAGTCTCCAAACCTGCTTGCTAGTGTACCCATTCTTCCCCTTCAGTTTCCTGGTCAAATGTGTCCTATTCCTGCCTCGTTATTTCCCTGTCTGCTTGCATTTCCCAGCCAGACTTTCTGAAACACTTGTTTCAGAAAAGTCCTTTTTTTTATATCCTCCCCATAGTCACTATCCAAATTGGTTCCATTTACTTCTCTAGAACTGTTCTCACACTCTTGATTGCCGTTTAGCCAGCCACGTCTGTTCCTACCATACTCACTCAACATTGGAAACATATGATGACTACTTTCTTCAAAAACGTCCTTATTCTGTGTACCACACTTTGCTGCTGCTCTTTCTGCCTCTGTGACCACTCCTTATAGGTTCCTTTTCTTCTTGTGCCTGCCCCTTTAATGCTGATATTGATGTTTTCTCCCAAGCCCTTTGGACAGTTTCCTCCAGACTTAGGAATTGCTAAGTGAATTTGTTGAATTCTACCTGTACTGATGATTTCTCAAGGGATTTGACTGTAATTGGACCTTGTTGAACTGAAGAAATTGCAGTATGTCAAATCTGATTATGTACTTCACAGCCAAACCTTGGTCTAGTCTCTCTGGACCATGATTGTCTTAAAATCTACCCCATGTTGACCTAAAAGGAAGAAGCTGAGGCAGAATTAATATTGAGAGTTTATTTGAACCAGTGTTGAGGACAGCTGCCTCAGACACACTTCCAAATTACTTTGGGGAGTGCTCCATTAGGCTTCTGTTACAAGCAGGTTTTTAAAAGCAAAAAGGGAGACAAAGAGTGAGTTGATAGAGTTGTTTGTCAGGAATTTTGATTAGTAATTAGCTATACATCATTGAGCTATAGGGCATGGATTATGGTGTCTGGTGTGTGGCATTGTTAGGTCAGTGGCTACTTGTGGCAATAGCAAGCAGTTTTCAATAAATACTTAGCTCAAGGGGGGAAATTACTATCATTTTAATGCCTCTCTGGGCCTGATAATTTAAAAGGGCTCACATTTTGCAGATACAAAGTATTTATATATATATATATACACACACACATATATGTGTGTGTGTATATATATATTTTTTTCTTATTTTCTTTTTTTAAGACAGAGTCACGCTCTGTCACCCAGGCTGGAGTGCAGTGGCGTGTTCTCGCCTCACTGCAACCTCCGCCTCCCCAGTTCAAATGATTCTCCTGCCTCAGCCTCCCAAGTAGCTGGGATTATAGGGGCATGCCACCACACACAGCTGATTTTTGTATTTTTAGTAGAGACAGGGTTTCACCATATTGGCTAGGCTGGTCTCGAACTCCTGACCTCAAGTGATCCGCCTGCCTCAGCCTCCCACAGTGCTGGGATTACAGGTGTGAGTCACTGCAAACAACCTATTGTTTCTCTCTCATCTCCAACATACTCGCAGTGAAAAAATCCAGCCTCATTATTCAGCTTTTATGTTTACAGATTCAGTTAACATTTTGTGAATTCTCTATTTCAAAGGTACAAAGGTAATTTTAAATTATGATTTAATTAAGAATGCTCTTTCCGAAATTTTTATACCTGTTTGACTGTTTATGTAAATCCTGTAACATAGCTGATCATCCTCAGTAAAACAGTAATACCTTACTTGAAGCAGCAATTTGTTTTTAAATATACACGGAAGTCTATGTTTTGAATGTGAGGATTGGAGGTGGAGAGAGAATCGATATTTAGTGAAACTGTTTTATGCCAGGCACAGGCATATGTGCTTGTCTCCATATGGATTTTTATCTTCCAACAACTCTGAGAAATCTTGTAAAGAGGAGAAAACCAAGGTAAAGGGAAGTTAAATAGATGGTACACTGCAACATATACAGCTTTTAAAATTCAGAACCAGAGTTTCTTCTGTCAGACCTCATAGCTCATGAATCTCTTCTAAGTGATACTGAAATTTTAAGCTGAGGATGAATGCAAAATATAGGAATAAAATACTGACTTCTTGAGTTTAGTAAATCTAAATTGTATTAAAAGTTATCTATATCATTTTTGTCCCTAGGCAGTTATTTGGCAGAAAAGCAGAGTATCAGATCACAAGATGGCTCTCATGTCAGTTCTGGGGACTGCTGTTATGAACAATATGGAATCCTTTCAGTACCACTCTGAAGAATCTCAGGTATACTGCAAAAACATTCTCAGATAATTCTGATTTACTCATGAAGCTGTTCACATATTTCCCTTTGGGGGAGTTACAGTGGCAAGAGGTTAGTCTTTTAATATTTTAATCAAATATGTGTGTAAGGTAAAACAGTCAATACAGAGCTTATGTTAAACCTCTTTCCCCAGCCCTGCTTCCCTTTTTATCTTTTCTGTTTGTTGCTTACATTGATTTTCAAAAAAATTATGTTCAATTTAGAATCTTTTCTGTTTACTTTCTACTATAAAAGAAAAATAGTTGGCTGGGCATGGTGACTCATGCCTGTAATTCCAGCACTTTGGAAGTCCGGGGCAGGCAGATGACGTGAGGTCAGGACTTCAAGACCAGCCTGGCCAACATGGTGAAACCCTGTCTCTACTAAAAATACAAAAATTAGCCAGGTGTGGTGGCACATGCCTGTAATCCCAGCTACTCGGGAGGCTAAGGCAGGATAATCACTTGAATCCAGGAGGCAGAGGTTGCAGTGAGCCGAGATTGCACCACTGCACTCCAGCCTGGGTGACAGAGTGAGATTCCATCTCAAAAAAAAAAAAAAAAAAAACTGTTTTCCCCCACCTTTCCCATTCCAAATATGTACTTAAAACTTTTTCTTGATCTATCAGTTTAGATAGTACTTTTTTACTCCCTAATACTGGATGACGTTCTTAACTCAAACTTTTCTTCTTACTCCTTCCTCTTTCAGTCATATCAGCAATAGTTTTATATTTTCAAGCTTAATTATATATATAATTTTTTTCTTCTTTCTTTTTTTTTGAGACAGAGTCTCACTCTGTCACCCAGGCTGGAGTGCAGTGGTGGGATCTCAGCCCACTACAGCCTCCATCTCCTGGGTTCAAGTGATTCTCATGCCTCAGCCTCCCTAGTAGCTAGAATTACAGGGGTATGCCACCACACCCAGCTAATTTTTGTATTTTTAGTGGAGACATCATTTCACTATGTTGCCCAGGCTGGTCTCGATCCTCTGACCTCAGGTGATCTGCCTGCCTCAGCCTCCCAAAGTGCTGGGATTATAGGCGTGAGCCACCACGCCCAGCCTCATAATTTCTTATGTAGCCATTTTTTAAGTCTTCTATCTTTTGTCTGAAGATTGATTCTAAAAGTTGAAAACTTGTATGGACTATAAAACAATCTTCGTTAAAAGCCCAGTATTGTAGTGGGATTACATTTTACCTCTAAAGATCCATTGTTGTATCTCTTATGCCATGCAAATGAGAATATTCCTAGAGCCCTGATTAAATGGAATCTCTGTTCTTGTACTCCCATCAGTTGCTCAAAATTTATCATGTTTTTCTTTGCTTAATAAATGGACTATCTTATGTAGTTTTTCGCTTTTTCTGGGATTTTCAAAAGTTTTTTTTTAATGAAAAAGTTTTCTTCATCATGTTAGCAATAAAATCCAACTCTTAGTCATCCTAACTGTAGTTGGTAATCCAGTTCATTACGTCTTTTTGAAGTCATTGTTCTTAGACCCCACTTATTTCTTATTTGGATCATATCTTAGGCCTTCTGCACAACTCTCATCTTCAGATATCTTTTTATAGGAATGATGGTTGGTTGCATTATTACTGGTATGTCATGCCTTCCTCTTTCTTGGCACTTATACTCATTTTTCTTTTTTTTCTTTTTGAGATGGAGTCTCGCTTTATCACCCAGGCTGAAGTGCAGTAGCGCAGTTTTTGCACACTGCAACTTCTGCTTCCGAGGTTCAAATGATTCTCCTGCCTCAGCCTCCTGAGTAGCTGGGACTACAGCCACAACACCCGGCTAATTTTTGTATTTTTAATAGAGATGGGGTCTTACCATGTTGGCCGGGCTGGTCTCAAACTCCTGACCTCAAGTGATCTGCCCACCCCGGCCTCCCAAAGTGCTAGGATTACAGGCGTGAGCCACTGCATCTGGCCCCATGCTCATTTTTCTGAGGCATATCTTTAAGTAACTTCCACAGAAAGAGGGGACATGAGAGGTAATTTTTCATGTCTGTGGCTGGGCGTGGTGGGTCACACCTGTCTCAACACTTTGGGAGGCTGAGGCACTTGGGGCCAGAAGCTCAAGACCAGCCTGGGCAACATAGTAAGACCCTGTCTCTAAAAATAAAAATGCAAAAATTGGCCCGGTGTGGTGGCTCACACCTGTAATCCCAGCACTTTGGGAAGCCAAGGCGGGTGGATCATCTGAGATCAGGAGTTTGAGAGCAGCCTGGCCAACATGGCAAAACCCCATCTCTACTAAAAATACAGAAATTAGCCGGGTATGGTGGCAGGTGCCTGTAATCCCAGCTACTTGGGAGGCTGAGGCAGGAGAATTGCTTTTGAACCCAGGAGGCAGAGGTTGCATTGAGCCCAGATCTTGCCACTGCACTCCAGCCTGGGCAACAGAGCAAGACTCCGTCTCAAAAAAAAAAAACAAACTAGTCAAGCATGGTAGTACGTGCCTGTAGTCCCAGCTACTTGGGAGGCTGAGGTGGGAGGATCCCTTGAGCCCAAAAGTTAAAGGTTACAGTGAGCTATGATCATGCCACTGCACTCCAGCCTCGGCCAGAAAGAGACCGTGTCTCAAAACAAACAAATGTAAAAAATAAGTCCAAATTTTCATGCCTGAGAATGATTTCATCTTGCACTTTCGCTTGTTGATAGTCTGGCAGACATAGACTTTTAGATTGAAATTAATTTTTGAGGTCTTGAGTATTTTTTTACTATCCATTTTTGCTAATGGGAAACAATACATTCCACTTCTTTTTTTTCTTTTTTTTTTTTTTCTGAGACAGTCTCTTGCTCTGTCACCCAGGCTGAAGTGCAGTGGTGCAATCTCGGCTCACTGAAACCTCTGCCCCCCGGGTTCAAGTGATTCTCCTACCTCAGCCTCCTGAGTAGCTGGGATTGCAGGTGCGCACCACCACATCCGACTAATTTTTGTATTTTTAATAGAGATGGGGTTTCACCATGTTGAACAGGCTGGTCTTGAACTCCTGACCTCATGATCCACCCGCCTCGGCCCCCCAAAGCGCCCATTTCTTTTTTTCTAGATGATATGTTTTCTTCTATTTGAAAGTTCTTAGGATCTGTCCTTTATCCTTACAAGGATGTGTCTAAGTGTGTGTCTTTTATTATTTGTTTATTGTGCTGAGCATTTGATGTGGATCTTTTGAATCTGAAGGGTCATTTCTTTCTCAGCCCCAGGTTATATACTTCCATCCATTATCACTTCGATAATTTCTATTTTTTATGAACCTCCCTATTGTTATTAAGACCTCCTGTTAATTTTCTCCTATTGTTTTTTCTCAGGTTTCCCGTCTTTAATTTTTTCCATAAGTTTTGAGAGATCTGATTTTTAAACTGTCTATGGATTTTTTTTTAATTATGTTTAATTTCCAAGAGTATTTTTTATTGCTTTTTTATACATACTGTTTTATGGATACAAAACTTGGGTCTCTCTAAAGATAATTGTTTTTGTTTTTAAATTATTTGTTCCTTTAATAATTTCTGTTTATTAGGAGGTCAGTTTTGTTTTACTTGTCAGGTCTTTTTCCTCCAGTCCTCTAATTCTCTTGTCTTTCTCCATGAATAGGAAATCTAATTGGGAACAGGGTGTTTGTGGCTGGGCTTATTCACTGTCAGGTTCCACTTGAGTGTTGAGTAATTAAGGTCCTAATTCTGTTCCTGGAGTTGTGCTAAGCAGTTGGCTTCTTTTCTTCTCTTCCATTTTTTTTCATAATTTGTTGAAACCTCCTCTGCTACTATGTCCCTTCCCATTCTCTTTGTAGTATTGAGTTCTTAATATTGCTTATCATTTTATTAAAATCTTGGATGGAAGCTTGTACTCAGGTAATGCTTGGGATTTTCTTGGCCGGGGGAAAATTCAGGCCAACCTTAGTGGCCAGCTACAGTGTTAGCCATGATGTGACATGGGTCCTATTTTTCAGAGCTCCCTGAAGAGTTGTTTTCTAGTTTTGACACACTCCAGTGCTACTTCAAACTGGTTACGGTCGCTGACTTGGGATGGCAAGGGTACTGTCTGAATTCTGCTGGATTCCTCGTAGCTTCGTGGTACTTTGTTGCCTACAGTGGTAACCCAGGCAGCTTATGGCAGGAGATCTAGACTTGATACCTTTACCATCATGCCCTGGATATTCTAGCTATCATAATTTAGTCTGAAGACTAGCAGTGTTGGCATCACCTGGAAGCTTATTGAAAATAAAGAATCCTGGGCTTCATCCCAGATCGACTGAATCAGAATCTGCATTTTAACAAGGTCCCCAGGTGCACATTCAAGTGTGAAAAGCACTGATCTAGACTTTGGTCAGCTATGATTTCATGAGTGAACGAGACTATTGCATGAATCAGTCCTGTACTTGGAAATCTTTTCCTCCCATCTGTTTTGAGATGTGTTGCCAGATCTGTGCTTACCCATTGAATTTTTATTTTCAATGGGCAAGCACAGATAGAATTGCATAAAGAGTCCTAGTAATCCATCATAGATATGAGAATTTTTGCTGCACCTCTATGTGGTTTTTTTTTCATGGTGGATTGAGGGAATTTGGTAAGCATGTGTTAATGTTCCAGTTCCATGGGCTGTCAGAATGATAAACTTTTGAGTGTCTCTCTGGTGAGAGTGATCATCTAACCAAATCCCTCTTCTGTTATTGCACTGTGTGTCTAAGGTGTTGTATTTATGTTGCCACCAGCTACCCATTATCACTCCATTCTTTCTGGGCTTATATGGTTGAAGGAGAATGGTCCTGTATCACAGTTTCTTTGAGCCCTTTCTCCATCCCTGGCCAAAAGCAATCTTAAGTTATTTGCCACTGCTGGTTAGTGGTTGTCCTCACTCACCTCACTTCTGTCCCCATTATATGCCTTTAAGTTGTGCAACTTGGCCACCAAGGCCTCTTGACTAGTCTGGGATGACAGTGCTATTGGCCATTAAGGAACCTTGGATGTGGAGAATCTTTATATATCTCTTCCCATAATGTGAGGGTAACTTTTTTTTTTTTCCTCCTGCAGGGACCCCACATGGGAAGAACTAATTATTGGTGGTGATCTCAACAGGGCCACTGCTCTGGTGGCTTTTGTGAGGCATTTCCCATCGTGACTTTGTGGGCTTGATGGAGCTCCTGAAGTTATCCTTTTTGACATCTGTCTTCTCTTTGAAATTTCCATCTCTGCATTAGTTTATGCTAAGTTCTGAATAAATTCCTCATCATTGCCTGATTTTAATTCTCAAAACTATATATTTTGTTTCTAGGATTTACAATTTATTTGTTTTCATATTCTTCTCTTCTAAACTTGATTTATAGCTACCAATTCTAATTTCTTTACCTTTTTTTAAGTGTACGCTACTTTTCTTTTTTAAGAAGCATGTTACATATACTAATAATTTCAAAGTCCTTTTCATATTGCTCTATCATTTCTGCTTTCTTGAGACAAAATTATCTAATTCTCTGATATTTCATATGCTTTGAAAATTTAATTTCAAAATCATCTTGAATGCAGGTTTATTGTTTTTGTTGCTTTGTTTTTGCTTTCCCCAACTTCCACTTCTTTCCCATAGTTTGGCAGATAATTCACTCGCCAGCCCCAATTTGACACCAGGTATCATATTAGTAATGCATGCCTCATCCTGCCAAGCTTTTACAGGCCCCTTTTCTTAGCCAGTTTGGCTCAGCCTTGTTCTTGGTTTGGAGTTGTCTCTGTTCTTTCTTGTGACTCTGGCAAGCAGCTCCAGACAGTGGCCACGGTATTTTTAAACTTTTTTTTTTTTTTTTTTTGGAGAAGAGGTGCTATATGAGCCCCCTTTTTTAAATGGAAAGACAGATTTCAGTCCCCTGTCTTGAATGGGGTGTTTTCAGTCCTTATTTCTGTACCAGAATTTAATTTCCAGCTGACACATCTTGTTTCTGATCCTAGACCACATAGGACATTTGACCTTAGCCGTCACTCCCTGTTAAATGTTTTGCAGTCATAACATCTTTAACTACTTTTATGTGGGTGGCCTTTTGAAAATTTGTATTTTATCTATCACTGTTATATATTTGCAGTTGGAATGGCAGAGAAGGGGATTTCACATGAACTTGTTTCACTGTCCTGAACAAAAGTGCTTAAATTACTACTGTAAAAATGTAACTTCTTGGTGTTGTGGAGGTTTACTGAAAGAGGAGAAGGATTAGTGTTAGGAGACCAGCCAGGGTTACATCAATATAATCAGGGTTAAGAAGAGGAGATGGGTTTAACAGACTAGGTAGCTGGCAGAGCCCTTATCATAGTAAAGGAGTATAGGATGAGCTAGCAGGATAGAAGTAGGATGAAATATTTTACCAAGTTTTGAATGTGGTGAGATTGAGAATATTTTTGTGACAGCCAGTTGAAGATGGTAAGCACTGGGGAGTGAAATAAATAGCAGCTATACAGCTATATCTTAGCATCACTGGTGTATGGGTAGTTGTTGAAACTATAGGTGTGAATGAAATTAGGAAGAGTAACTAGAGAGCAGGAAAAAGGGGGCTGATAATGGAACTTGGGGACCATCATCATTTATACGGGATAAGGAAAAGGAGAGAAACCAGCAAACCAGAATGAAGAGGAGGCATTAGAGAGGAAGCAGAAAGACCAAAGGAGAAGGATGAAACAAATTCATTCAGTGAGACACTTCCCAGATGAGAGAATTGTGAGGGTGTCGGGCTGCAGGGAGTCAAATAAGAGAAGGGCTGCGTAGTGTCCCTTTAGTGTCCCTTGGAGTTGGTTATTGAAGTAGAAGCCTGCTTATACGGGATTAGAGATGAAGGGAAGAGAGGGGCGGACCATAGTTGAGAAGCAATTAGGGAGGAGAGGTATTTGTATTTTGCCTTCAATTTTTGTTATGCTTTTTAGGAAATTGAGGAATACATTTGGGTACAGAATTTTGTAAAGTCTTATCTAATTTTCAATTTTGTTGCACTGATTTGGTGTCTCAAGTTATTTTTCCATGAACTGGCCTGATTTTCACTTTTTACAGCATTTTATGAGTCTACTGTTTTATTTTACTTTGCCATGTAACTTAAACATAGTTTGTTCTTAAGATTATCCTAAACCATTTTTAAAGCTCAGTATCTAGAATAGTAATTATTAAGTGGCCAACCAAGGTGGTGTGAAAGGAAATCACTAGCAATATTACATATTTCTTCTTCATTTTATTATTTATTCTTATCCTCTCAGGGCAGACTTTTTTTAAAGTCACAAACCCAATAAGTCTTTCAGAGGCTAAACAGGTTCTCCCTGATGCCCAGCAGGTGCTTTAAGAAGGGTCTCATGTTACCTGGTAAATTATACAACCATTTTTAAATGCTGTGAAGTTTTGCAGTTAATTAAGTAGTATCATTTTATAATGGATTATACAGATTAATTTATTTTTTCAAATTGGCACAATTTGGCATTGTGACAATAATGCACTTAGTGTTCTAAAACTGGTAATGCATCTCCTTAAACACTTATTTCCAAGGGCAGGGATAGCCATAGACATAGGTGGTGGCTTACAGGCTATGTTAATAAGGAGCCCCACGGTTCCTGCTTAACTAAAAATAGTACCCCCAGTGACTTGCTTGTTTTTCTCAACCTAAGCTAAAATTTTACTATGAGTGTTCCTTGACAGATTAATAACACATCTAGTTCTAGTTGTTTCTGATAAGAGATTTTAAGCCTATATTTTAAATAACTTAACAAAAATCACATAGCTAGTGGTAGAACTGGGATTCAAACCTTGTCAATCTGGCTCTGTCTTATATTCTTAACAGTATAGGATGTTGTCTTTAGCTGTGTTCATTAACTAAAGATAAAAGTGGGAGCATGTTCTCTGCTTCCTATCCCTTCAATATCTTTCTCTTCTCTCTGGTATTCTTTTCTAGTATCCTTCTTCATTTTCTCTTTCTTCTTTATACATTTGTAAAGTAGAGAAAGATAGCATATAAATATTCAGTAAAATTTTTATAGAAGAGTTTTCTGAACAAAAATGAAGCTAAAGTACAACAGTGCAATCAGTATTTAGCCCTGAGGAAGTTAATACAGAGTAAAAGAGTTTTTTTTTTTAACTCAGAAATGAAAACCCAGTAAGATTGGCTTTATATAGCATACTCAGAATGAAGATAGAAACAGCAACTTCTTTATAGGAAAAGATGGTTAAAGACAAAAGGACAAACAGCCAGAGAAAAGTCACAATGTGAGGAAAGAAACTTTTAAAAGACAGAAAAAAGGTTGAGTATAGATTGAATGCTCTATGTCCTATGACAGTTAAATATCTGAAAGTATAACCATTCATGAAGATTTTATAAATGCCAATTTTTCCTTAGAGTTGCCAACAAAAAGAGGCAGACAGCACCAGTGTAGCATGCTTTACTATTTTATTTAAAGTTAATACTTAAGACATGATTATCAGGAAGTATATGGCTTTTTAGACCTTAAGATGAAAATCTGTTTTTTAATTTTTTTATACCTTTCAAAGTGTTATATATAGCCAGACCCGTGGAACTACATTGTTGACATTGCATATTCTGTAATTATTATATAGATTTATCTCAGTGGATTTCTTCCAAAGTGTGATGCAGACCACTCTTTCACTAGTCTTTCAACACCAGAAAGAAGTTTCATCTTCATAAACAGTCGACCAGTACATCAAAAAGATATCTTAAAGGTAGTATGCTTTAGAAAAAAAAAATTATTTGAATTGGAAATTTGTCACATTGTAACAAGGACTGCTTCCAAGAATTTGCTCTAAAATAAAAAAAAAGAAATACAATGTCATTTATTAAACATTATGCATGATAGAAAGACATATGATGTCTCTCTTATTCTTCCTGGCAATTCTGGACTGCATTATCATCCCCATTTATAGTGAGGAAACAAATGTTCAATGTTTCTCTTAGGCCACATAGCCAGGAAATTAGAGAGTTAGTAGTTTTTTTTGTTTTTGTTTTTGTTCTTTTGAGATGGAGTTTCGCTCTCCAGGCTGGATTGCAATGGCGTGTCCCGTGATCTTGGCTCACTGCAACCTCCATCTCCTGGGTTTGAGCAATTCGCCTGCCTCAGCCTCACAAGTAGCTGGTATTACAGGCACCCGCCACTATGCCCAGCTAATTTTTTTTGTAGTTTTAGTAGAGATGGGGTTTCACCATTTGGCCAGGCTGGTCTCGAACTCCTGTCCTCAAGTGATCCGCCCACCTCGGCCTCCCAAAGTGCTGTGATTACAAGCCAGAGCCACCATGCCAGAGTTTTGATTTGAACCCTAAGCCTTCAGAACTTCCATGACATTGTGATGTTTAATTATTAAGCCAGTTTTATTGCATGTTTGTACTTGTTTTGAATGCTTGTGCTTCATTTAGGTTCAAGGCCTCCAAAGGAGTATTACAGATAATGCTTTTCTTTTCTTTTCTTTTCTTTTTTTTTTTTTGAGATGCAGCCTTGTTGTTTTGCCCATGCTGGAATGCAGTAGCATGATTTCGGCTCACTGCAACCTCCATCTCCCAGGTTCAAGCAATTCTCCTGCCTCATCCTCCCAAGTATCTGGGATTACATGTTCCTGCCACTATGCCCGGCTAATTTTTGTACTTTTTAGTAGAGATGGGGTTTCATCATGTTGGCCAGGCTGGTCTTGAACTCCTGACCTCAAGTGATCCCCCCACCTTGGCCTCCCAAAGTGCTGGGATCCCAGGCATGAGCCACTGTGCCGGGTCATGATAATGCTTTTCCTAATAAGCAGTTGCATCTACTCAATTTCTCAGTTGAATTTGCTGGGTTTTATTGTACTTTTTAATTACATATTATTTTTTCTTTTATTTATTACATGTATTTCTAGTTAATCCGACATCATTACAATCTGAAATGCCTAAAGGAATCTACTCGTTTGTATCCTGTTTTCTTTCTGAAAATCGATGTTCCTACAGCTGATGTTGATGTAAATTTAACACCAGATAAAAGCCAAGTATTATTACAAAATAAGGTAACTCTTTTCAGATAATTTTTTCTTATGCTATTTATAAACATATATTACTGTTTTCATATAAAAAGATTTGTTTATATTTATCTTTTTTATTATTTAAAATCTTGTCTATTATTTTCATAATTTCCCCTAACATTTGTTAATTTGTATTTTTAGGAATCTGTTTTAATTGCTCTTGAAAATCTGATGACGACTTGTTATGGACCATTACCTAGTACAAATTCTTATGAAAATAATAAAACAGATGTTTCCGCAGCTGACATCGTTCTTAGTAAAACAGCAGAAACAGATGTGCTTTTTAATAAAGTGGAATCATCTGGAAAGAATTATTCAAATGTTGATACTTCAGTCATTCCATTCCAAAATGATATGCATAATGATGAATCTGGAAAAAACACTGATGATTGTTTAAATCACCAGATAAGTATTGGTGACTTTGGTTATGGTCATTGTAGTAGTGAAATTTCTAACATTGATAAAAACACTAAGAATGCATTTCAGGACATTTCAATGAGTAATGTATCATGGGAGAACTCTCAGACGGAATATAGTAAAACTTGTTTTATAAGTTCCGTTAAGCACACCCAGTCAGAAAATGGCAATAAAGACCATATAGATGAGAGTGGGGAAAATGAGGAAGAAGCAGGTCTTGAAAACTCTTCGGAAATTTCTGCAGATGAGTGGAGCAGGGGAAATATACTTAAAAATTCAGTGGGAGAGAATATTGAACCTGTGAAAATTTTAGTGCCTGAAAAAAGTTTACCATGTAAAGTAAGTAATAATAATTATCCAATCCCTGAACAAATGAATCTTAATGAAGATTCATGTAACAAAAAATCAAATGTAATAGATAATAAATCTGGAAAAGTTACAGCTTATGATTTACTTAGCAATCGAGTAATCAAGAAACCCATGTCAGCAAGTGCTCTTTTTGTTCAAGATCATCGTCCTCAGTTTCTCATAGAAAATCCTAAGACTAGTTTAGAGGATGCAACACTACAAATTGAAGAACTGTGGAAGACATTGAGTGAAGAGGAAAAACTGAAGTAAGTTTCCAGAGCTTGCATGTGACTTGAATGTTCAGCTATTTCCATTCTATATGACTCACTGTTTAAAAAGAATTTTTTTCACTTCTTATTTATGGAAAAGCAGATCAGAAAATACCTTTGGCTTGGATAGAGTACCTTTTTTGGTAACACTTTTTTTTTCTGCTAATTTAGGTTTTTTGTTGGGGCGGGGGCTTGTATTATTTTGTTTTTTTTTTGTTTAAGCCTTAACTGCTTTCTGATATTATTAAATTTTTTGCTAAAGGTTTTCCATTCATCTTCTCAATTTCAAACCACCATTTATCTTCTATTTTTTTTTTGTTTTATGTTTAATAACTTTTCTGTTGTAGAACTTTTTAAAAAAGCTTTTGCATTGGAACAGTTGTAACTGGTGTTTTTAATATCTTAACTATTCCCTTTCTTAAATTGGTCTCCAAAATATGTAATACAACACAAAAAAATTTGTATTATTGGCGATTCAATTTAGTGTTGTTCATTTATACTGTTTCTATTCAGTATAACTTAAGGCTTGCTTCTAAGATGTATTATTTATTATAACTTATAAACTATAGTGGGTATTTTTATTACATAAATAGGTGATTTGATCTGTCTTTGATTAAAATAGTATTTGCCATATTTAAATTAGATTTTCTGAATAAATGTTCCAAAATAATATGATGAATGTTTTTAATTGACTTAGGACACTTAATATAAACACAAAATATTATGTTCTGGTGATCTAATCCAGCAGAAAATGAGAGTGAAATTATACCTCCAATCATATACAGGTATCTGAGTATCTCAATATTATGTCAAATGTGTGGAAAAAATTTTAAACGTAATCCATCATCTGGAGTTTATATTTGGTGATAAACTACCTAGATACTTGACCAATTTTTTTTTTCATTCTTTCCTTAGCTTATTCAGTCTTATAAAAACAATATCAATTTAAAATGATAAAGACCACTATTAACACCAAAATGAAAAGCCTCCATAAAGCTTTTCTCTTCAGCCTTTTTTGTCATCTTTTTTTTTTTTTAAGTGGGAATGGTTATTATATTTTGTTCTTTTGGAAATATCCACAAAAGTAGACATTTTGAAGTATAAAGCCATTACCCCATTTCACCACCAATCATCTCATAGTCAGCCCTATTAGTCCTGTTTCATCCATACTTCCATTCACTTTCTTTCCCTTTGTTTATTATTCTGAAGCAAATCATAGGCATATCATCTATTTCAGTATGTATCTCTAAGAGATAAAGATATTCATATTTTAAACATAACCATAATTGTCATAACTTTTTTAAAGGTATAGATTCCTTAATATATCAAATACTCAGTGTTCAAATTTATAATTGTTTCATAAATGTCAGATTTTTAAAGATTTGTTTTGAATTATGATGCAAATAAGGTTCACACAATTGTGATTGTCTTTAGTTTTACCTAAATGACACAACTATGCAGTTTAAAGGTGAGGGGACTTAACTTTTAAATACAGTAAGCCCACAAAAGTTGAATTGCATTGCCCAGGGAAATGAATTGAGAATTGTCTGAGAATAGGAAAAAACCATAGATGTTTCAAGTTCTCATGGAAATAGGGACAGTGTACAAGCTTATGATGGAAACTTATCTTGCTGACTGTTCCTTTGCAGCCTCACAACAGCAGGTATCATTCCAGTTGCTTTTTGGGGAATGTCTGCATTGTTTCTCCTTGTGGGTCCCAAGGTGTCAGGTTACTAGGATTATGATTAATAGGCCTCATCTAAAAATCCATTTACCATCAATTACCGGAATATTCCAGGTAATATTCTGGAATCAAGCTTACTTTCTCTCACATTGCCATAAAGTAGACAAAAGAGGCTTTGATGGTCAAGACCTCTGAAGCTTCACCTGGATTCTAATCACAGTTCTTTGTTAGCTTTGTATTTAAAAGTGTGGACAGTCTCTCATGGATTGTTGTGAGGATTAAATAAGATATTGTGTGTTATGATACAAGATCAATTACTAACACATAGTAAATGATTGCTCACAATGTCAATATGATCAGTTTTTAATCTATGAAAGGGAATTTTTCTGTTGAGAAGAACATTTCTCATTTGTTGAGTCAAGATTAAATTGAATTTGGAGGCCAGAAATAGAAACCTATGAAGAAAATATAGGTATCTTGGGATCAGAGTTCTAATTGTATGTCACAGAGTGCTGTGTTAGAACCTTTCAGAGCCAGGGTTCCTGGGACCATGATCAGCTGAGTCTAGTTGCATCATGATTAGTGAGAAGGTAGAGCAAAAATGATACAACACCCAAGAATCGTACTAGCTACCATTTCTCTTCCTGTCTTTATCTTGGAGTTCTGTCCATGATCCTAAATTCTCTAAGGTATATTAAGAGATATGAGAGTAGACGCCTCTTCTATAGACCTTCAGTCCATCCTTTTCTTCCTTCTTCTTTTTTTCTTCCTTTTTTCCTTTTCCTTTCTTCTTCTCTCGATTCCTCCTTTCCCTTCCCTTCTTTCAACTAGGAAATATTAAGGGTTTTCTGCATATAAGGCCTGAGGTACTCTAGCTAGTCACAGATAAAACATACTTTCCCAACTCATGAATGGTGTAGGCTAGTAAGGAAGATTCAGTTAAACAAGAATGTGATGAGCTTTAAGATACAAGTTTTAAATATAAGGAATTAGGGGAAAACTTGGCAGTTGGACTTAATATTATCTGTGGGACAGGTAATGCTTCCCTGCATAGAAATTAGCCAGAAGGATTTTAGGGAATTGTGTAGGTTGGAGGAACAGTATATGAGAAGGCCCAGAAGCTAGAAGGAACATGGTGTTATTAAGGAAATAAGATTCTATGACAGGAACAGAATATGAGGGAGTATGTGTAAAGAAAGTTGGGGGAAGGTGAGGGATGGATAATGGAAGGTTCTCAAAGCTATAACAAAGAGTTTGAATAAGGAGTAGGATCAGGATTGTTCAGTTTTCTGATGAGAGCTTGGGACAGATTTTGGAGTCAGGGAGTTACTGACATTGTTTTAGTTCTTCCTTTCTGGAGTTTGTTTGTTGTTTTTTGTTTTTTTCCTTCCTCGCCTTTCTTCTAGTGGATTAAAATCCAGATTTGGGCCATGTGCCCTACCACTGGGGTCTCACTCAGTTGACGTTAGCTTGAACTTTTCATTTGCAGTAGTTATGAATATATTGCTATTTAAACTAAAAAAAAATTGCAACTAGGGTATTATGAAAATGATAAACTTTATAACTAAATGCAATGTTTAGTCGCAAGAACATTATTTGACTTGACTTCTGGTCAAATCAGGATTAATATTTTCCATTCAAGTTACTAAATCCCTTCTTGACATTAAGTACAACAGTAGCAGCTGCTTTTACTTAACATTTACTTAATATTCCTTTGGACATAACTTTTTATATTTCCCAAAGATGAGTACCATATGTGAAAATTTGCACATTATAATTAATTACAAATGGGGACCTTTGTTTTGAACTCATTTTACCACTGCACAGGAAAAATCTTTAATTTGAATGTCTAAGAGCTAAAAATACTATTTCTAGGACCTGTTGAAAGTAAACTATTGAAAATCATGTGTTTTGTATAGCTAATCCAGAACCTCAGATTCTAAGTAGAAAATAACTTTAAAATTGTGAATATAGCAAGGTAAGTAACCAAAGGAGCCATTTTTTTAATGTAGTTTACAGTGAAATAAGGTCTTTTTTTAACACTCTTATTCAGGTAACATTTCTTCATTCAGCAGACAGGTACTGAGCACAAACTACATGCCATGCTGTGATCTCCTGTCTTTTAAATCTCACTTTTAACAGCACTGTTCTCTCAATAATATTTTTATTTCTTCACATTCCATATTTTTCCTTGAGATTATTATATGCAGATAATGAAATTCAGTTAGTGTTTGAAGAGTATGAGACTAGAAATAACCTTAATTCTCTAGTCCCAAGTTTAAAACTTTCTTAAAAAGTAATCTTTTAGCAAAGTTACTTAATTTCCAACCATTACTCGCCCCTTTGTTGTGAGATTTGTGTTTCTTGGTAGAAAATAATGAGAGCAAAACATTTATCACCACTTACTCTGTGCTAAGTAATATTCTAAGTACTTGGCACACTTTAACTCATTTTATTTCTCACAACAAAACTGAAGTAGATGTGTATTATCCATAAGTTACAGTTGAGCATGAGACACAGAAAGATTAAATAATTTTCATAGGTTTACAGAACTACTAAATGGCAGAACCAAGCCAGGCTGTCTTCAGAGTCTGTGTTATTAATCACCACACTTTGCTGAACAAATTACAGTAGTTTCCAATTCTGGGTATGTACTGGAATCACCTATGGAGCTCTGTGACAGCAGCTGCCCAATCTCAACCTAGGCCTAGAGAATTAGAAGCTCTGAGGATGGGATCCAGGTATCACTTTTTAAGAAAAGGGGTGACATAACCGCTGTGCTAGGTCTTTGGCCCTGGAAGTTTCATTTTTCTCATATTGTTGACAAAAAGATCTCTTAACTTTCTACCCAGTGTAATTTTTTTTTATTCTTGAGTTCTTAGAATCTATCCAGTATAATTTTTCGAACATCCATTATCTTCTACCTTTGAAATTGAGTTAAATTAGATGGTTTGGGTGTGTTTAATTTATCCAAATTTGTCTTTTCATTGATGACTAAAATGAGAATTAAAAAAACTAACAATTAGCTAATCACATACTTTCTGTTTTGTGATTATTGTAGTGACTATAATTTCACTAGCAGTTACCAAATGAAGTATTATATACAAAAAATTTTCCTTAATGTTGTTCAGGAAATTGTTTATTCCATGTTGATGTTAAAGCAGATATATAAGGAATGCTTCAGATCTGGAATTGATCCATTTCTTTATTCATCCTCTCTTTTTCTGATTGTTTGTGGCCCCACACTTTCTTAAATGGTTTTTTTAACTGGGTAAAATTTACCTAATGTGAATTGCAGAGATGTTAATGGTGTAATTTGATGCATTTTCATACATGTGTACACACACATAAACATCACCCCAAACAAAATAGAGAACATCTCCATCATCCCAGAATGGTTCCTCATGCCACCTCTCAGCCAGTCTCCACAGGCAGCCACTCTTTTGAGTTTTGTTACACTAGTTTGGTTTTGCCAGTACTTGAACTTCACATGTGTATAAAATCATGTGATGTATACTCTTTCATATCTGGCTTCTTAGGCTCAACAAAGATATTTTTGTGACTCATCCATGTTGTTGAATCTATGTGTAGTAGTTTTTTTTTTTAAATCAAAGAATAATATTCAGTTGTATAAATATACCAAAATTTGTTTAATCAGTCTCCAGTTGATGGACATTTGGGTTGTTTCCAGTTTGGGGCTATTATGAGTAAAATTGTGTTGTTTACTTTCCAAATATTTGGGGCTTTTCCGGATATTTTATTTCTAATTTAAGTGTTTCATGGATAGAGAAAATGCTAAGTTAGATTTCAATCTTTTGAAAAGTAATGAGAATTAAAGCCCAGTATATGTTCTGTCTTGACAAATGTTCCATGTTCACTTAAAAAGAATCAGGATTCTGCAGTTGCTAGATGGTAGTGTTCCAAAATGTCAGTTAAGTCTTAAGTAGGTGATAATATTGCTAAAATCTTCTATATCTTTGAGGAATTTTTTTTTTTTTTTTTTTTTTTTTTTTTTTTTTTTTTTGAGGAGGAGGATCTCTAGTTCTGTCAGTTACTGAGGGAGGAGTATATACTGTTGCAACTCTGGCTTCTTATGCTTACTATTTGCATGGTATATCTTTTTTTCAGTCTTTTAGACTATCCTCGTCTTTACATTTAAAGTGTAGACAAAGTTCGTTGTTACTTTTTAAATTCAGTTTGATAATCTTTGCCTTTGAATTGCAATATTTAGTCCATGTAATATAATAATTGATATGGTTGGGTTTAGGTCTGCCATTTTCCTGTTTTCTGTTTGTCCTAGCTCTATTTTGTTCTTTTGTTCCTCCTTTTTGGGGGGAGAGGAGCCCTTTAGGGTTAAAAGAATATATTTCAGTATCTAATTTTAATTTCTTTATTGAGTTTCCATTAGTTTTTGCTTTGGTGATTACATTATGCATCCTTATAATCTACTTGGAGTTAATGTAAAAACCCTGTAAGTATAATTTCACTTGTATTTGGTGTCACTTTCCTTAATTGTGCACATATACTGGCAACTAATTCTCATCTTAATCTGAAAACATCTATTTCATCTTCATTTTTGAAGGACTTTTTTTTTTTTTTTAATGATATAGCCAAATTCTGGGTTCTTTTGCCACTGAAAAGATTTCACTGTTGGCCAGGCGCAGTGGCTCATGCCTGTAATCCCAGCACTTTGGGAGGCCAAGGCAGGTGGATCACCTGAAGTCAGAAGTTTGAGACCAGCCTGGCCAACATGGCGAAACCCCATCTCTACTAAAAATACAAAATTAGCCAGGGGTGGTGGTGCACCCCTCTAATCCCAGCTACTCTGGAGGCTGAGGCAGGAAAATCGCTTAGAACCTGGGAGGCAGAGGTTGCAGTGAGCTGAAATCGTGCCACTGCACTCCAGCCTGGGAGACAGAGAGACTCTGTCTCAAAAAAAAAAAAAAAGATTTCACTGTCATCTGGCTCTGCATTGCTCTTTACAATATCCATTATTTTTGCGGTTTCCTATTTGTACTGTTTTTTTCCTCTTTATTTTCAGGATTTTATCTTAATCTTTGGTTTTCAGCCTATTATACCTACCTGTAAATTTATCTAATATACCTACCTGTATATTAGATATAAATATATCTAATATACCTACCTGTAAATTTCTTTGCATTTATTCTCTTTGGAGGTTTGCTGACCTTCTTGCATCTGTAAGTTGTATTTCTCCAAATTTGCTGATTATCAACCCTAATTTCTTCACATTTTATTTTCTTTCCCAGTTTTCCATTGTTTATCTGGGACTCCAATGACATATATATTAGATTGTTTGTTTTGCCTTAGGTCACTGCAATGCTTTTCCAGTTGTCTTCACTTTTCTGTAAAAACAACACATTTTATCATTTCTATTGATCTGTCTTGAACTTTACTGACCCTTTCTTTTGCCATCTTTTATCTGCTGTTAAGCCTACCCGGTGAATATTTAATTTCTGATATTGTATTTTTTAGGTCTAGAACTTCCACTGTATTTTTTTTATAATTTCCACTAATCTGTTGAGATTCCCCCTTCTATTTTCTCATTATGATAATCTTTTAAGACCTTAAACATTTATTAAACCTGTTTTTAAGTGGTTTTTTGGTAATCTTGACATCTGGGTCATCTTGAGGTTGGCTTCTACTGACCACTTTTTCTTTTGACCATGACTCTCATTTTCCTGTTTTGTTAGAGTGATAACTTTTGATTGTATAGCAGGCATTGTGGGTGATATGTTTAAAACTCTGGATTCTGTTATCTTCTTCTGAAAAGTGCTGATTTTTGTTCTACCAGGTATTTAAATTACTGACAGATCACCTTGAGCTTGTAGAGGTTTTGTTTTATATTTTGTTAGGGAGAAGCTGTTTCAATTTTGTTCTTGGACCCAGGGCAACTTCCTTAGTTTAGGACGTAGGTTTTTTATCCTAAGATGTGGCCCTCTTCCAGTTTTAACTGAAAGCCCAAAGTGTTCACCCGGCCATGAAACTGTGGAATTCAGATTCCAAACTTTGTTTCCCTGCAATGGGCAGCAGCTGAAATCTCTGTTCAGCTCATTTAGCCTTCTAATGGTTGTTTTTCTTTGGGTTCCCACACATGGAATTTTCTGGGATTTTCTTTCTCAATTTTCAGTTGTTCTGGAAGCAGACAGCTCTGTGTCCTGGTGACTCAGGCTAATAAGAGTGCAACTTTCTGACTGAGTTCTGGCCACCCTGCTCCCCATTAATACTGAGGACTGCCCTCTGGTTAAAAGTCCTATAAATGTGGGTCTCTATTTTTTTCACCCCTCAAGGAGTGAATCCATTCTAATTTCTTCCTGCTTTTGGCTGTTCTTCAGTGCCTACTTTAAATAATTGAGGGTTTTTTGTTTGTTTGTTTGTGTGTTTGTTTGTTGTTGTTGTTTTTTCTTTTTGGTGTTTTTTTTTGGTTTTTTTTTTTTTGAGACAGAGTCTTGCTCTGTCGCCCAGGCTGGAGTGCAGTGGCACGATCTCGGCTCATTGCAACTTCTGCCTCCTGGGTTCAAGCAATTCTCATGCCTCAGCCTTCTGAGTAGCTGGGACTACAAGTGCACACCAACATGCCTGGCTAACTTTTGTGTTTTTAGTAGAGACAGTGTTTCGCCATTTTGGCCAGGCTAGTCTTGAACTGCTGACCTCAGGTGATCTGCCAACCTCAGCCTCCTAAAATGCTGGGATTACAGGTGTGAACCACCACTATGCCCGGCCAATAATTGATTTTTATATTTTGTTCAGTGTTTGTCATAGTTATATGCAGGAGAGTTAGTCTAATACATGTTCCTTTGTCATTACTATATCTGGAACACCAGTACTTTATTTTTATAAAATTTACTTCAGATGGTTAATATATTTCTGATTATGATCTCATTAGTTCTATTTTATTTCTATTCTTAGATATGAAGAGAAGGCTACTAAAGACTTGGAACGATACAATAGTCAAATGAAGAGAGCCATTGAACAGGAGTCACAAATGTCACTAAAAGATGGCAGAAAAAAGATAAAACCCACCAGCGCATGGAATTTGGCCCAGAAGCACAAGTTAAAAACCTCATTATCTAATCAACCAAAACTTGATGAACTCCTTCAGTCCCAAATTGAAAAAAGAAGGAGTCAAAATATTAAAATGGTACAGATCCCCTTTTCTATGAAAAACTTAAAAATAAATTTTAAGAAACAAAACAAAGTTGACTTAGAAGAGAAGGATGAACCTTGCTTGATCCACAATCTCAGGTTTCCTGATGCATGGCTAATGACATCCAAAACAGAGGTAATGTTATTAAATCCATATAGAGTAGAAGAAGCCCTGCTATTTAAAAGACTTCTTGAGAATCATAAACTTCCTGCAGAGCCACTGGAAAAGCCAATTATGTTAACAGAGAGGTATGATGATACAATACTTTTTAAGAGTAAAAATATTTATTATAATAGTTCATACTAGATTAAAATCGAAGGTAGAAGGTTGGGAATGTTTCCTAGTAAGGATTAGTGGTATTTATTTATTTTAATCTTTTAAACATTTGATTTCTAGGCCGGGCGCAGTGGCTCATGCCTGTAATCCCAGCACTTTGGGAGGCCAAGGTGGGTGGATCACGAGGTCAGGAGTTTGAGACCAGCCTGGCCAACATAGTGAAACCCTGTCTCTACTAAAAATACAAAAGTTAGCCGGGTGTGATGGCACGCACCTGTAGTCCCAGCTACTTGGGAGGCTGAGGCAGGAGAATCGCTTGAACCTGGGAGGTGGAGGTTGCAGTGAGCTGAGACGGTGCCATTGCACTCCAGCCTGGGTAACAGAGCAAGAGTCTGTCTCAGAAAAAAAAAAAAAAAAAAAAAAAAAAAAAAATATATATATATATATATATATATATATATATATATATATATATATATGATTTCTAATCTTTAATGGAATTGTTTAGAAATAGTATCAGAATACTCTAGATAGTTCACTTCTACATTTAATAAGTATGAAGCTCATTTCTCTGGTACATTAGTGACTTCTCTAGGGTAATTTTGAAGTTAGATTGCCATGTCTTTATTCCATTATGTACTCATTGTTTTGACATTTTCAAACACATAATAAAATAGAAGTATACGATGCATACCTTTATCAGTAATTATCCAAGACTTTGCCACATTTGCTTTACCTTTCTATACAGTATATACACGTACATTTTCTTTCCTTCGCAAAATTAGTTTAGAACAATTCCCCCTCCTATATCTTTCAATATCTCTCTCTCAAAAAATGGCTGTTTTCTCAACTAAACACAATACCTTTTTCATACCTTAAATAATAATAATTCCTTGGAATTTTTCCTCATTATCTCAAAATACCTTTTTTTCCAGTTTTTTAAAAAATTTATATTTAATTTGTATCTAAACAAGATCCACATACTACATTTGGTTATCTTGTTTATATATCTTAAAAATCACTCTATTATTGTAGATTCTGAGTCATTTGTTCAGTGGAATGTTCTGTTGTCTGTATTTGCTTTCTTATGTTGTTCAACTTCTCTCCCCTATGTTTAATTGGGGGTTAATTAAACATGGAGGGCTGAATAGATTTAGATTCTATTTTCTGATGAATCTACTTAATAGGTTGGCTATATGCTTCATATTTCATCACATCAAAAGGCACTATCACTAGGTTCAGGTAATGACAGCCTGTCTTTCACTGGAAAGTTTCCCATCAACCTTTCCATGCAATGGTGCCAATCATTGATGATTTTTGCCTGAAATAATTTTATTATTGGTTGTAATATAGGGTATTTCCTTTTCTTATTCTATATGAGCAAATTGCTTTCTGTAAAAATAAATAACCTTGGATGACAAAGCCTGGGGAAACAAAAATAAAAAAGATTAAAAAATAAATAATGACTAACCTATTAACATTTCCCTTTTTTAACTTAATATTTCTTTTTCAGTCAGACACAGGTAGAAGAGAATCATGACAAAAATAATAAAAACCTGAAGTTTAAAAAGATAATTTGTTCCCTAGGACACATCGTTAGATAATTCTGTTTCAGAACTTCCAAGAATAAAGCAGAAATCATTTATAAAATGTGTTAAAACTCTTGTTAAAGACACTGCCATCATTGGAGGAGAAAAAAACAGGGACAGAACACAGAAAAACATCTGTTAAGTCTGTCTTTTTAAATAAGGAAACAGCAACCACATTAACCAAAATCCAGTATGTTTCATAGTATTCTCTTGAGATTGGCTTAGGAAACTGTCAGAGGAACAATTAGAAAATAGTGTCTTAGGCTACATTCAAACAGTTTAAACATCTGATGGTGCTTTTCTCTTTCTTACCTAAAAGAGCTAGGGTACATCTGAATTTTTAGACTTGACTGCTTTTCTGAATGGCATTTTGTAAACTTCATTTAAATTTCAAAAATCTTTTTGAGCTTTTTCAAATGATAGGTTTTTAAAAATATTTTTCTATGTGATGTTCTGTTCTTCAAAAAACAAATACATTAAAAACTATTATTGTGGGACCATATTGGCCTGAAAAAAAAATCTTTCTTAATTGAGCATAAACAGGAATAAAGATTAATTCAAAATAGTTTTTCCTCCTTCTTTTGGAATGTGGCATCCCCATCACAGTTAATGATGTAAGTTTTTCAAAACTGAGTCAGGGACTAGTTTATCCCACAATGCGACAATGTGGGCAGGGTAATTGTAGGTTGGGCTCAGTTTTCTTGCCAGAGTTCTAATGCTGTTTGTGTAACTTACCTCTAAGTGGAATAATTTAGGTACCTATAAAGTAAGGGCTCAATAACAATAACCTTAATGATGGCTAATATTTATTGAACATTTACTGTATGATAGGAATTTGGCAAAGTTTTTTCATGATCTTCACATCAACTTTATGAGGTAGATAATATCCACATTTTATAGCTGAGGAAACTGAAATGTAATGGTTAAATAACTTAACTAGGCTCACACGGACAGTAAATAAGCTGTATGTCCAAGATTACAATCTAGACAGTTTAACTGTGGAGCCTGCACCATTAATTGCTATACAGTATCATAATCATCACCACCACCACCATCCCTACTGTCTCTCAGATCGATTTTTAGGATATTGGTTAGATGAAACAGAGTACATGTGATATATAGCCAAAGCTCTCTTCTCTATAATATTAGCTCTCACAGCCATTGGGGTCTTCAACCATTCAGAGCTGATAAGCAAAGATATCAGCGTACTGGAACACAGAACAGTGCCTTGCATACATACCTAGGACAATATCTGCCACAAGGTAGGCACTCAAATATTCATTGAAGGAGTGGCAAGATGGTAACTATTCACATCAACCCCGACAGACACCTTTTTGCAATGACTATAACGCGTCCTGACCAAGCCTAAAACCAATATGTGTGGTTGATTTGTACCCTAGGTGATCTTTGGCTTCCTCAAGTTTTTGCACCACTCAGAATCATTTCATATACCACCTTTGGCAAACATGCCAGACCTGCAGTAGACTGAAGGAAGCTCTCCCAAGCTCTAAATTGATTAATTTATTAGTTCCTAGAAGAAAGAGATTACATGTTTATCTTTTTGTTACAGAAGAAACTTTGAATAGCAGTTGAAAATTTGGCAGGGTGGACCACCTAACTTGACAGTGTATTATTGTGTCTGTTTTGAAGGAATAAAATGGAATTATTTATAAAGTTTTCATTTGTATTAGAGAGAGCCATTTTTAAAATTTCACATTCAATTTGTAACATTCTAGAAGACAGATTATCTTCTTTCTGTATACTGTGTGCAGTAGGTATTTAATAAAATATTAACAGAAATGTAAAACAGTGATTTCTCATAGGGCTACTTATACCTTTGTATTTTGGTTAATGATGATAACACTTGTCAAAGGGCCCTAGGATTAACTTTTTCCCGTAAACCCCCTTATTTTGTGTTTTTAATAAGTTAAAGGGCCATAATTTCTTTTTCAGTCTTTTTAATGGATCTCATTATTTAGACGTTTTATATAAAATGACAGCAGATGACCAAAGATACAGTGGATCAACTTACCTGTCTGATCCTCGTCTTACAGCGAATGGTTTCAAGATAAAATTGATACCAGGTATGATAGTGTGGTTTAATATTTTCTGATGTGGAAAAATTAGTCTTGTTCCAAGAGTTACATTTGGGTTTCATGATTTACAGATATGGTGGTATATTTTTGTCTCACTATAAGTACAGTGTCAGCTATGTTAAAACATTTTTTTCAAAACATCACCTCTGCCTGAAACAAGTAAGTTTGGCATCTCTTTCAGTCCAATGCTTTGCATTTGCATTTTCATAACTAATCAAATAGTTTTATTGTAATTTTTGTCATCCTTTGACACAATATTCAAACTGCCTGCTTTGTTTAAATTATTAAAATACTCCTTTAAATGATAAAACACAAACATGTAGGATATTGGAATTGCCTAACAAAAATGGACATCTTTGCTTTTCAAAAAACATTTGCTTGTTTTGCCAATTAGACGTGTAACATCAGCAGTTGTACTATATGGAGAATGGATGATTTGGTTCCATGGCTTTGGTAAAAGACTGATAACCCTCTTTGCTCAGTATGGAAATTCATTGGGTGGATTTAAAAAGAAAAAAGAAAATCCATCTGGCTAGAGACTTCAGTTTTCCTGGCTGGCCCCTTCTCTGTTCCTTTATAGTTTCCATACTCAACTGCCTTCTGCCCTATCTTCTGTTACTTTCTCTTCATCTGGTATCAGAGAGGTACATTGGAACCATGAGGAAGGACTCCACTGTCTCCCTTCCTGCCTCTAAACTTGTCATGCCCAAAGTATAGAAAAACAGAGCTCGACCAAAATAGTGTTTGAAGATTTTTAAAGGAATGCTTTACTGAGATATGAAAATAAGTAAAAACAATGTACAAAAGCATGGAGCTGGGTATATACAGAAAATACTTTGGTGTCCCAAACATAAACTAATTTTACTTGATTTTTGTGATTTTTAAGGATACCTAACCTAAGCTTCTTACCTCCTACCTCAATTCTATTAGTCCAAATCCCAGCACTGCCATTTAAAAACAATGTGTTTTGGGGAAAGTCACCTGGCCTCACTGTGTCTTCATTGAAAACAACTAATAATTATTGAATAATTATTATGTACAGGGCACTATTCTAAGTATTAAATGTATTAATTTAATCTCCCTAATATCCTTGTAAAGTAGGTTCTATTACTGTCCCCATTTTACAGATGGAAAAATTGAGGCACAGAAGTTAAGTTTGCTCAAGGGGACACAGTTATTGGTAAAACCAGAATTTGAACCTAGGCAATCTGCCTTTAAAGCCTAGCTCTTAACTCATTTATTATATTGCCTTCCTGTCAAAATTTAGATATTTACTCCAGGAAGTATTGGTGAGCATTAACCAAAGTAACAATTAAATCAGTGAGCATGGTACTTGGCAATGGGAGATGCTCACATATTCTCTTTTCTTACCATCCATTAGCCCCCTTTAGCAGGCTTGCAGTCATCTGTTTTAGTCTTCCTAGAAATATTTCTTGCTCAGGGTCCCTGGCATCTTAAAATTTATGTGAAGTGAATTTACTTGAAGCAAGGGATGGGTGGGGGTATATGTGTTTTATTCTCAACTTAATCTGTTTTTCTAATTATATGGCGTTGGTGGCAGGTACTGGTTTTTTTCATGAAAGATATTAAACAGGCCAGGCACGGTGGCTCATGCCTGTAATCCTAGCACTTTGGGAGGCCGAGGTGGGTGGATCACCTGAGATCAGGGGTTCAAGACCAGCCTGGCCAACACGGCGAAATACTGTCTCTACTACAAAATACAAAAATTAGCCGGGCATGTGGCAGGTGCCTATGATCCCAGCTACTTGGGAGGCTGAGGCAGGAGAATCGCTTGAACCCAGGAGGTGGAGGTTGCAGTGAGCCAAGATCACGCCACTGCACTCTAGCCTGCATGACCGAGTGAGACTCCATCTTAAAAAAAAAAAAAAAAAGATGTTAAACTGCAGGTTGTTGTTGTTTTAAGGATAACTGTCCTTTCTTACCTGCCACTCAATTCCAAGAGCATTTTTTTTTAACTACCCAGTAAGTTTATATCTCACAGATGCTTTCAGCTCTTAGCTTGTAAGTAGTATTTTTTTAAATCTTATTGAATGCCTAATACTTTCCATAGCATCAAAGATGCAAAAATGATTAAGTCACCTGTAAACTGACTTGATTTGATTGGAATTAACTTTACTTAGATTATCATCAGCATTATTTCCCTTGTCAATAACAGAGCAAGTTAAAGATATTTATGTTTTCTTTCTTCATTTCTTTGTTTTTTTATTTTTTTAATTAGGTTGTATTTTCTTAACAGTTCTGTCTTGTGTGAGAGTATTGTATTTTACTAACTTTGAATCAACAGTTTGCCTGTAGTCACAGTACTTCTTTGGATAAGGATAAAAACATTTGAAAGAGAAGGAATACATCTGGCTTTGAGAGAGAAGATTCTCAATGTGACTCTAAGAACTTTGCATGCTAATAGGAATAGCTTTTTGTCCTGCATCAATAAGAATTCCATATTTTAGGAAGTGAAAACTTGTCAAACCACTTACTCATTTGATGTATTTTCCCTGAAAATTGGTAAGCATTTCACAGTATTTTATGGAAACTTTTCAAGGGTTATTGTTACATAGTTCCAATGTCTCTAACTTTTCCATATCTGAATTTTACAAACACAGAAGTTAAAATATTGCTCAATTTCCTTATTCGTTGCCAAGTACCTTTTACCCATTTCCACTAGTAATTCTGTGAAATGTGTATCATTTTCCAGGGCAAATGTAGTTAGTATTAGACTTTTCATTCTAATCATACTGTAAAAGATTTAAAACTACCAATAGTGAAAAATCACTTAGACTGATATTTTTGGCAATTTTCATATCTATATAAATAGTTAAAAGAGATGTGAACTAGAATATTCTGCTACTGCTTTTTGCCTACCACACACAGTTTTGAGTTTCATTTACGTTTCCCCTATTGCTCAAACTCATTTCGTTTCCACTGTTAGTTCGTTTGTGTTTCTATAAAGGAATACCTGAGACTGTGTAAGACTCAGGTAGACCTGAGACTAAAAGAAATGACCACAAGCCTTCCTTACAAAGAAAAGAGGTTTATTTGGCTCATGGTTCTGCAAGCTGTACATGAAGCATAGTGCCAGCGTCTGCTTTCCTTTTACATATAAGTTCCAAGTTTAAGTCATTTCTTTGCTCTGATGGTAGCCATGCCACTTCTTGAATGATTTGCTGCTTAGGAACTTCTTTCGCTAGATAGTGAAATTAAATAGTGATGACCTGGGTCATCACTCTTAAGTTCAAACTTCTACCGATCCTAAGGGCAGAGGTGTCCAATCTTTTGGCTTCCCTGGGACACATTGGAAGAGTTGTCTTGGGCCACACATAAAATATACTAACACTAATAATAGCTCATGAGCTTTAAAAAAAAAAATTGCAGAAAA
Organism: Homo sapiens; assembly: GCF_000001405.40. Classification (NCBI taxonomy): domain Eukaryota; kingdom Metazoa; phylum Chordata; class Mammalia; order Primates; family Hominidae; genus Homo; species Homo sapiens. Next base: position 189,871,336 of record NC_000002.12, read on the forward strand.
AATCTCATGATGTTTAAAAAAATTTACAAATTTGTGTTGGGCTGCATTCAAAGTTGTTCTGGGCCACATGTGGCCCACAGACCACAGGTTAGACAAGCTTGCCCTGCGGCATGGATACAGTGCAGCCAAAATCCTTGCGGGGACATAAAAAGGATGACCTTTACTCCAGTTTCCAATAAATTCCTCAATATCATCTGAGACTTTGTGAGCCTTTCACTCTGCGTATTTCTATCAGCATTTTAGTCACAACCATTTAACCAGTTTCTAAGAAGTTCTAAACTTTCCCTCATCTTCCTGTCATCTTCTGAGCTTTCAAACTCTTCCAGCCTCTGCTCTTACCCAGCTCCAAAACCACTTCTACATCTTCAGTTATCTTTATAGCAGTGCCCCACTCCTCAGTACTAATTTTCTGTGTTAGTTTGTTTGTGTTGCTATAAAAGAATACTTGAGACTAGGTAATGTATAAAGAAATGAGGTTTATTTGGCTCATGGTTCTGCAAGCTGTACATGAAGCATAGTGCTAGCATCTGCTTCTGGTAAGGGTCTCAGGAAGCTTACAATCATGGCAGAAGGCAACAAGGAGCCAGCATGTCACATGGTGAAAGAGGGAGCAAGAGAGAGATGCCAGGCTCTTTTAAACAACCAGCTGTTGTGTGAACTACCACAGAGACCTCACTCATTACCATGGGGATGGCACCAAGCCATTCATGATGGATCTGCCCCATGACCCAATGCACCTCCCACTAGGCCCACCTTTAACAGTAGAGGTCACATTTCAACATTAGATTTGGAGGGGACACACATCTAAACCATAGCATCTCACTTCATTGAACTCTGTATCTCATCCCTTAATGCTTGATAATATAATATTATATATTATTCTCCAGTTGTTCTCTGGGAAAAATGTTTAGGATACCATCTCTGTAGTCTACCAGCATTGCATCTGCCAACCAGGTCAAGGATGTAGTCTGTAATTGGGAACAGGTAAGGGATTGGATTATTGAAGTCTCAGGATCTGAAACTCTTCAAGTTATATCACATCTCTTTTTTTAAATTAATCCATTGATAGCTACTACTTATCCAAGATTGGACTGTCTCTTTTCCTTTAATTCCAGGTAGCATTATGTAGACTTCATGAAAGAACACTGTTACACCGATACAGCCAAAGAAGACACATCTTTGCTATGTTCCAAAAATATGCATTCTAAAGCCAAATCTGATGCTTTGAAATATGTGCTGTTATGGATTATGTACCCAGTTATACATCCAATCCTTTAGCTAGTTTCTAGTTTTATTTTATTTTATTTTATTTTTTGAGATGGAGTCTTGCTCTGTTGCCCAGGCTGGAGTGCAGTGGCACGATCTCAGCTCACTGCAACCTGTGCCTCCTGGGATCAAGTGATCCTCCCATCTCAGCTTCCCTAGTAGCTGGGACTACAGGCACGTACCACCACACTCGTCTAATTTTTTTTGTATTTTTGGTAGAGACAGGGTCTCACCATGTTGGACAGGCTGGTCTCAAACTCCTGATGTTGTGATCTGCCTGCCTCGGCCTCCCAAAGTGCTAGGATTGCAGGTGTGAGCCACTATGCCCAGCCATTTAGTTTTATTTTAATTACTAAGAGTAATTTAAGTAACAGTTAACATGTCAGTTTTATTTGTCCTATTAAAATATTTTGAACAAACAGTATTTTCTTCTAATTAATAATATCTCCATAAATTACTATGTGACTGCTTTTATAATTCGTAAGTTAAAATCACAGAAATAATTCAGGCGTTTAGATATTGAAATGGTAGGGTAGAATTTGAAGAGCAGCAGTTGTTAAAACACTTAAACCAGTTTTATTTTCATAAATATCATGGGACTCCATTTTCTCTCCAAAGCAAGAAATGATCTAAACAAATTTAAGGAACAGAACAGCAATAACTGGGATTAAGTTAAATTATATAAAGCACATGTGGTGTCAGTGAGCACTTATGACTTAATGTGAGACCCTATGGGAAATTACTATTTGTTCTCCAACTAAGGAACAAAACTTTGTCCTGACTGTATTAAATTTGAATGAGGGTTCACTAAATGTTTTAACAGCAATTTTTGTTTTTAATGGACATGTTCTGGAATATGAACTTAACTATGTGTTTTTATTTTTTTTCTTTCAGGAGTTTCAATTACTGAAAATTACTTGGAAATAGAAGGAATGGCTAATTGTCTCCCATTCTATGGAGTAGCAGATTTAAAAGAAATTCTTAATGCTATATTAAACAGAAATGCAAAGGAAGTTTATGAATGTAGACCTCGCAAAGTGATAAGTTATTTAGAGGTACGCATTATTTTATATATATGTTATTGTATACAGGGGTCCCAACTCCCGGGCCAAGCCGGTTAGGAACCAGGCCACACAGCAGGAGGTGAGCGGCCTCCTAGCGGGCATCACCACCTGAGCTCTGCCTTCTGTCAGATCAGTGGCAGCATTAGATTCTCATGGAAGCACAAACCCTATTGTGAACTGTGTATGCGAGGGATCGAGGTTGTGCACTTCTTGTGGAACAATTTCCTGAAACCATCCCCACCCGCCAACTGGAAAAACTCTTCCACAAAACCGGTCCCTGGTGCCAAAAAGCTTGGGGACTGCTGCTGATTCTATATATAGAGGTATTATAGATTGGCCAGACTTTAAGATACTTATTTCTTAAAATAGTAAATTATTTCCAAATAGTAGAATATTATCTGTAAGTTTTATTATGTATTTGCAAGAAGAACACTATTAAAAAAAAAAAGAACACTCTATTAAGTTTCACATCATAGACTGACTGTGGTAAACTCTATCATGGATTCTTACCATAACATTTTCTTGGGTACATATTGAGGAAAGACTTTATAAATGAGATATTTTGCAGTGAAGTTCTTTTTTAAAAACATTTCATAAATAATCCCCTCAGAAGGGGTTTAAACTAATGCTACCTTTATATTACATACTTGTCTAAAAAGTATTGTAATATAATTCTAAGTCCTGATCTCATCAAGAGGAGTAGAAGGGAAGGAAAGTGAAAGATGGGAATCTTTGAATAAGCGGAAATTTTCATTTTTGTGACAGTATTCACCACAAAAGAGAAATGTAAGAGTGGGTTAAAAGAAAAGGATTAAGGAAGGTTATAAACTTTAAAATATAAGATAGTAGCAGGAAAACAATAGTGTTTCCATCTATATATCTTGTTCTAGATATCCCTCAAGATTGGTATTATTTAAAAAACAAACCTGAACTCTAATGAAGTTTTTCTCCCTTTTTAAAAATGAGCCATTTTTGTTTACAGTTGGTAGTGTGCCTGCTGTATTCTGAAGGTCGGACTTCCTTAACAGGAAAGTCTGCTTGTTAAACCTTCTGAAGAATGTATTCAGTAATGTTCTGTGAATCCTTTAGGAACTTTGTCATGTGGAAATTCCCAGCCTATTGTGCGGGTAGCTTAACATTGATAGTTTCTAGAGACTTCAAGGGAATATTTTCTTGTGAAAGAGTTAGTATGAACTTAAAGGTTGAGGGAGCTGTGGGTTGGAAGAACCATGTGGGGAGAAATAAGAGTTCAGAAATAACAGGAATAAAGTAAATTGGGACTGGTTTTAAATATTTTTTTGCTAATACTTTACCTTTCAGTATGTTAAGGTAATAGTGGTATAAGTGTTAAGAAAAATGGGCTAGGAAAAAAAAAGAGAGAACTTAAACCACGGGGATGCTTCCATTTAAGGTCAATAAGATGAATCAGAGAGAAAGGAAAGTGAAAGGAGAACCAAGAGAGGGGTGGATGTAAAAGTCAAGGAAGGAAGTAAATTTAAGAATAAGTAGTATCATGTTCTGTATAGGGTAATAATTGCTAGAAGACTATCAGATATGGCTACTAGATGACATTGGTAACCTTGAAGAGAATCGTAATGGCAAAGTACAATTGTCCTTGTATATACTCAGTGGATTGGTTCCAGCACCACCTGTGGATACTAAAATCCAGGCATGCTTAAGTCCTGCAGTCAGCCCTCCAGAACCCACATATATGAAAAGTTGGCCCTCCGTATATATGGATTTCGCATCCCATGGTACTGTATTTTCTATCACAGTTGGGGTCGGAAAAACATCCATGTATAAGTGGACCCACACAGTTAAAACCAGTGTTGTTCAAGGGTCTGCTGTGGTAGGAATAGACGACATTTGCCAGTAGTTAAAGAGTGTAGTAGTGGAAAAGTAGGCAGCAAGTCGTATGATAGTGAATAGTGAAAGGAAGGAAAGAGTATGTTAAACATGTCTGTGTTGAACTGGTGGAAGACTGACAATAAAAAATTGCAGAGGAGGCCAGGCTTACTGGCTCATGCCTGTAATCCCAGCACTTTGGGAGGCTGAGGTGAGTGAATCACCTGAGATCAGGAGTTTGAGACTAGCCTGGCCAACATGGTGAAGTCCCGTCTCTACCAAAAATACAAAATTTAGCCAGGTGTGGTGGTGCGCACCTGTAATCCCAGCTACTCAGGAGGCTGAGTGAGGCAGGAGAACTGCTTGAACCCAGGAGGTGGAAGTTGGAGTGAGCTGAGGACGCACACTGCACTCCAGCCTGGGCGATAGAGCTAGACTCTGTCTCAAAAAAAAAAAAAAAAAAAAAAAAATTGCAGGGGAAATGTTCCCCAAAAGGCAAGAGGGAAGATAGGATATGAATTTAAGGTTTAGAAAGAAGAAACTGAATCAAGAGCAGAAAACAGAAAAGGGGAAAAATGAAAATAATATTTTTACGTAAACTTTAAAAAAAAATTTCTTAATCATTAGAACCTGTGAAATTTTAGGGGAACTTGAGAGAAGTCATGTTGATATATGTGGTGAAAGAGTAGAAGTTACCTGCTGAGAGTGGAGGGGTTGTGGGAAGGAGTTGGTAATTTTAGTACAGTAACAAAGATCTGAAAATAAGAGCTGTAGGTACTATAAGAGAAGGTTAATTAGAGAGGAATAAGAAGATTTCCAGGTGTCACTGAGGGATCTTAAGAGTTAACATTTGTATTGGATCCAGCCAGGACAGTTTTATGACTCAACGATGCTCAGTAGAATTTGTCCAAGGGTAAATCAAAACACCAATTCCTCACCCTGTCCTAGAGGGTGATCTGGCCTCTGCCTAATTTCCTTTTCTTGTTCCTCTTTTTTTTAACAACTATGATGCACCCACACTGAACATTTAGTTCTTTCTCTTCTGTCTGCGTGAGATGCTTTTCTTTGCCCATGATCTTTCCATTAAGGTTTCTTATTTATTAATTTTTATTTATTTATTTTGAGACAAGGTCTTGCTCAAAAGCTGGAGGGCAGTGGCATGATCACAGCTCACTGCAGTCTTGACCTTCAGGCTCAAGTGATCCTCCTGCCTCGGCCTCCCATGTAGCTGGGACTACAGGCATGCCCCACCGTGCCCACTTTTTTTTTTTTTTTTTTTTTTGTGGAGACTGGGTCTCACTGTGTTGCCCAGGCTGGTCTCGAACTCCTGGCCTCAAGCAGTTCTCCTGCCTTGTCTCCCAAAGTGTTGAGATTACAGGCCTGAGCCACTGCACCCAGCCTGGTTCCTTATTTAAATTCAAGCTTAAAGTCATCTCCTCAAGTAATCTTTTTCCAACTCTACAATCACTCTATCATGTGGCCCAGTTTAATTTTACGCATTATTTATTGACTAAAATGTTCTGTCTTTTGTCTGTTTTCTGTTTCTCTGCACTAGAATGTAAATTGCACAAGAGCAAGTCTTGTTTTTTGGTTCACCACTACATCCCGAGAGCTGACAACATAGTTGATACTTAATAAATATTTGTTGAGTGAATTCATAAAATGAAAATAATCAAGATTCTGTCTTCCTTTTTGCCAGGATAACATGTTTTCAGCTTCAGGGTATATCATGGTAAAATGTGTGACTTTCCCTTTGGACAGGGAGAAGCAGTGCGTCTATCCAGACAATTACCCATGTACTTATCAAAAGAGGACATCCAAGACATTATCTACAGAATGAAGCACCAGTTTGGAAATGAAATTAAAGAGTGTGTTCATGGTCGCCCATTTTTTCATCATTTAACCTATCTTCCAGAAACTACATGATTAAATATGTTTAAGAAGATTAGTTACCATTGAAATTGGTTCTGTCATAAAACAGCATGAGTCTGGTTTTAAATTATCTTTGTATTATGTGTCACATGGTTATTTTTTAAATGAGGATTCACTGACTTGTTTTTATATTGAAAAAAGTTCCACGTATTGTAGAAAACGTAAATAAACTAATATAGACTATTCATTTGATTCTCAAGAACCAACCATCATCATAATTATGAGTTGTAGGCTCAAAATTGGAAAATAGGTAGTATTTTTGGGTGGTTATTTACTAGGTCCTCTGTGCAGGGAGAAATCAAACATCACACATACTGGCATATCTGACAAACAGTGTCAATATTTTTTAAAGTACAATGGAGAGTCAGAGTGGGAGAAAATGAGAAAACGAAGTTTAGAGGAAGAAGAAAACCAGAAATCCTTCCTTTAACTTCAATTTAGGGGGTAACAGATTAGATGTTGCTGTCTCTTTATTATATGGTAATTATTGGATTTGGGGGTCAACTTTTGTTGGAATACATGGGAAGACCTAGATTTTTAACAGAAAACTTAGGGGAATTTTTTTTTTTTTAAGACTCTCGCTCTTGTCACCCAGGCTGGAGTGCAATGGCACAGTCTTGGCTCACTGCAACCTCCACTTCCCAGGTTCAAGCGATTCTCTTGCCTCAGCCTCCCGTAACTGGGATTACAGCCGTCCACCCCACACCTGGCTAATTTTTGTATTTTTAGTAGAGATGGGGTTTCACCATGTTGGCCAGGCTGGTCTCGAACTCCTGACCTCAGGTGATCCATCCACCTCAGCCTCCCAAAGTGCTGGGATTACAGGTATGAGCCGCCACACCGGGCCATTAGGTGAAAATTATCTATTGTACATATGCCCTTTCAAAAACCAGGTCCCACAGTGCACCAAAATACCTTTATAAAAAGTTGAAACATGATTTTTAATGAACATATTTGTTGTGTAAAATAAGACATGTTATTCTGGATACGATGTCCCCACACTCACACCATCTCCCATAACTCTCAAAGATCATCTTTAAATTCCTAAGATCCTTGTGTTAAGTACAAATTGTGAAACCTGGATTCTGCCTTTTCTTCTGCCAATATCATCCTATTTTGCATGACCCAAAATACTGCTTCCCCTGACTCTCCATTTCCCCTTTTATAAATGTGAGGTCCTGCTCTGGGAGAGCTTTCTGGGAGTAATCCTTTTAAATTAACTGGGTAAACTGAGGGAAGAGAGGCTCACAGAAGCTATCAAAGATGAAATTTGCATCATACATTTGCACTCACCGTAAGTAAAACTGTAGACTCATTTTTTAGCCAATATAGTCTGTACTGGTCTTACAACTATCTTGTAGATGAAGAAACTCATTTCTCACCAGTTATGAATTGTGTCAAAGCAGGTTGGTAGGAATGGCAGTAGGTATTTACCACTTATTTGCTAGACAGGTTAAGCACTTACCTTGGCTAATCTCATTTAATGTTCACAGCGAATTTAAATTTGTAGTTACTGTTGAGATTCTAATCCCAGAGCTCCTGTTCTTAACCACCATTATACTGCCTGCCATGAGAAATGGGCCCTAAAGAGTTATTTGGGTCAACTAAACATAGGTAGTTAGGGAGTATAAAACACTCCCTGACACCACTTTAACGAATGCTGGAGTAAATCAACTTTAGGATGCAACTTTTTTTTTGAGACAAGAGTCTCGCTTTGTCGCCCAAGCTAGAGTGCAGTGGGGCGTTGGCTTCCTGCAACCTCCGGCTCCCAGGTTCAAACGATTCTCCTGCCTCAGCCTCCCCCGAGTAGCTGGGATTACAGGCGCCCGCCACCCGCCACCACGTCCCGCTAAATTTTGTATTTTTTGGTAGAGACGGGGTTTCACCATGTTGGCCAGGCTGGTCTGGAGGTCCTGACCTCAAGCGATTGCCCCGCCTCAGCCTCCCAAAGTGCTGGGATTACCCACCGCGCCTGGCCGGCAACGTTTTCCTAACGGTGACTGGAGTAGCAGACTGGCGTGAACAGGAATGGGCTTCAGGTGAGGGTCTAGCGTTGCCCCACGGACCAATCCTGGTTGACGAGGCTAAGGGAAGCCTAGCAACCACGCAGAAGCCCGGCAATCTTCCGCAGCGCTCCCATCCTCCACAAGTCCTTACAACAGCCCCAGCACCACCCGCGGGACCAAATGCTGAAGCTGGGAGCGGCGACAGGGAAGCGCTGGCTCCCAGAATGGAGGTAACGGCTGCTGCGGCCTGGGAGGCTTACCCGGAATTAAGGGCGAGGCGAGGAGATCCGAAGGAAAAGGAAAGCTTCACCCCAAGTTACCCATTTGCCTCTTTAGGCTGGGTTGCCAGAGCCCTTGGCCTGGGAGAAGGACTTTTAAGGTATGAGTTCTAAAGTGCTCTTTACACCCAAGTATGTTGCTTAGGATCCCAGCCTTCGCTATAGCCACAGGGCTGACCCAAAACCCTACGGAAGTCAGACCTGCAGGCCCCTCTTGAACATGTTGCTGAGAAGGTAGCCATCTATGGTCTGGCCAGACCTAGGAGGTTTTAGATATTTAACTTATCGAAAAATGTTAGACCTGTATTCAGATGAACGGATTTTTGTTACTTTCATTGGCTACGTGATTCTCTGTGATTTTATCCAGATTTTGTGGCTCAGTTTGTAGGAATTGCAACCCAACCCAGCACAGCCCGCATTTCTCAACTAAAAGTGTAAATAGGAGCCACTTTTCCCTCTCCAAATTCTTACCTGTTTTATTTTCATCTTATGTTCTTATGTCTGCAAGCTTCCTCCAGCATTTTTTGGTGGTTTTTTTGAGGGCAGGAGGGAGCAGAAGCCACTAAATAAACTTGGGCTTGGGTCTACACTGAAAACCAAAAATAGATTTAACTTTTGCAAACCAAAAAGCATCTGAGATAGGTCTCAATAAATTTAGAAGTTTATTTTGTCAAAATTAAGGACATACCCGGGAGACAGGTCTGTATGCCTTTCTCCAAAGATGATTTTGAGAGCTATTTAATGGTGAAAGGCAGGCTGGAAGGGAAGGAGGGAGGATATGGTCACATTACTGAATCCACATGTTGCAAGAGAAAAGGAGCAGGTAAAGGAATAGTCAGTGTATTGTCTGACGCTCAGTAAATTCACACTTCACGTAAGATACTGTGAGATGTTTAACCTTTTATCTGTAGCTATCTGCTTAGGAACAAAGGAAGGGCAGTTTCTTGGATGACTCAGCTTTCAGCTTAATTTTTTCCTTTTGGCATAGTGAATTGGGTCCCAAGTTTTTATTTTTGTTTCACACTCTTTACAGTACCTAATTAATGCAAAGGAAATAATACATTTGGGGACCCCAAATGTTGATCACTAACTTAAACCAAAGTTACCAGGCAAATTAAAATACCAGTAATGATACTAAAATATTTAAATGACTAGACTTGTTCTTGGAGTGGAGCATTTCGGGCAAGCCAATGTTCATGGATTTATAGTGGCTAAAAATAATCTTGAGGTGAGCCAACTAATTTTACAGATGAGAAAATAGAAGGCCAAAGTGACATACGTGACATACATACATGACATACGTGAGCACACACAGCTAATCTAGTGCTCTACTAGTTCCACTTTAAATGTTTATATTACTGTAAACAAAGATAAGTACTGAAAAAAAACAAATTTTACTGCAAAGCCAAATGAAAAATGACTTGAGATTGTCACCTTTCTCCCTTTACAAACATAAATAATCAAGAGTTAACTGTTAACCTTGTGAAAGGAAAATAAATCTTGGGGCTCCTAAATCACTAAGCTAAAGGGAAAAGTCAAGCTGGGAACTGCTTAGGACCAACCTGCCTCCCATTCTGTTCAGAGTCACCCGTCTGCTCACTGAAATAAATGCATATCTGATTGGCGTCTCCAAAGGATTGTTCTCCAAATGATGTTTTTTTCCTAGATGAGTAGATCCTGAGTTATTAGGAAAGCTCATTTTAGCAGGTTTGTGAAGTCTCATGTCCTATGAAGAGAAAATAAGGGGAGGAAGGCAGAAAAACAATAAACAAAAGAACAATCCTGGAAAATCTATATAGGCCACATTGTTCTGAAGTCCATAGATCTGTAGGCAGGTATGAAAGTGGCTTATGTATGTAAGTAGGTTGCTGTTATTTTCTTCTGAAGTTTAAGTTGTCTAGCTTCACTTTGCAGGGCTTTACGAAAGCACAGCTTAGTTTTCAGTGACTGAAAATTAGGAAAAATGGGGAAAAAGAAGGAAAAAAATTGAAAACATTATTTTGCAGTCTTGTAGCCTGCAAAATAGAAAGATTAGAATTCAGTCCAAAGTAGAAAATAATAAAAATTGAAAAACATTAGGCAAGACTAGAATCTAAGAACAGATGTACTACAGTTTTTGAAACATAATTTTTCTCCAGTTTCCCATTTTTATTAAAGACAAATCATGGTAGAACTGATTCACTTTATTAAACTTGTTCTGACTATTTGTATACAGTGCAGCAAGAATAATTATTTGTTTTTACATAGGCTTTTAAATTGGCTTTGATGGAACTTTGTTCCATAGAAGGAATCTCAGATAAAATTTTTTTAAAGCCAAGCCCAGCCATGGATTTGTACCATCAAATACCTATGAGTTGGGTGAATTCCTCTCTGAAGTTCCAAGATAAACTTGGGGCTCCTGGGCCTGTCAGAAAGTGACATTCTTTCTAAATTAACTGAGACCTGTCTCAGATTTTCGGAGTTCACAACTTTATTCTAGAGCTTTCATTTAATCTCACCTAAACGTGATAAGTTTTATTTTTAAACCCTTCTTCACTGTTTCCAGTAATAACTAGTATGAACCTGAGAACATATCTCAATCAATTTAGAAAGTTTATTTTGCCTAGGTTAAGGATACACTTGTGACACAGCCTCAGAAGGTCCTTACGACGTGTGCCCAAAAGTGGTCAGGGTACAGCTTGCTTTTATACATTTTAGGGAGACATGAGACATCAATCAATATGCGTAAGATGTATATTGGTTCAGTCCAGAAAGGCAGGACAACCTGAATCAAGAGGCTTCCAGGTTATAGGTAGACAAGAGACAAAAGGTTGCATTCTTTTGATTCCTTGATCAGCCTTTCATTGAATACACAATTTAATCTGGCTCAGTGAGTCTCAATTTTTATATAAACAATAGGGCAAAGGAAGCAATCAGGCATTTGTCTCAGGTGAGCAGAAGGATGACTTTCTGTCCGAAACCCGTGAGGATAAGCTATCAGTTTACATTGCCAGGGTGAAATTCAACAGAACTGTTTTAGGGTAAAGATCTTGAGGCCCACAAGGAATTTCCTTGTGGGCAAAATATGAGGGAGGTACATAGCTTTTAAAAATCTTTGTAGCCATCTTATTTAGGAATAAAATGGGAGGCAGGTTTGTCTGATGTATTATAGTTCACAGCTTGACTTTTTCCTTTGCTTATTTTGGGGATCCCAAGGTTCATTTTTTTTTTTCAGACTAGCAACACACTATTGGACTGTCACAACTGCTCTCAGAGGTTTTCTCTGCTTACCTGATTTTTGGTCACAATTCCTATTCCTCCTTAAAACACTACAAATTAATGTAGAGATATTTTCTCTAGCTTTTAAAAATTCTGTCCCAGTGGTTATCAACTTTGAGCATAATCAGAATCACCTGGAGAGCTTATTAAGCGCTGATTGTTAGACACTGTGCCCACAGTTCCTAATCTTGAGAGTCTGGGGTGGGACTGAAAATTTTCACTTCTAGTAAGTTTCCAGATGATGCTAATGCTACTTGTCAGGGAGCCACACTTGGAGAACCACTGCTCTATCTCATGTATCAAAGTTCCCCTAACAGTCAATCTCAAGTCAATTTCTATAAGCCCGTATTTCTTACTGACTTCTACTAAAATCTGCCAGACAAAAAACAAACCAGGGCTTAGAAGATCTCAACCTGACTATGCTGTTATAGACATCCATTTCTTCATCTCTGAAATCAAGATGCTGAACTTGATCTCCAAGTACACAATCGTTTCTAACATTCTGTTATTTTGTTTCTTCCTGTTTTTTTTTTTTTTTTTTGAGTGTCAGCAGGATTTGGAACAACCTTTTTCCCCTTACTTATGTCTACTATTAAACATATTTAAATACCTCTGAACTAGCTCACTTTTTCATAAAATCTTTTAAACTAAAGCCGGGAGGGGTAGACTTCTTCCACTCTACTTTAGTTGGACACAAAATCACTATAACAAACTCCTTCATCTCTATCTCCTTTACTTATAGCTACATTTCTTAGTTTATTCAGTGATATTTATTATTACAGCACTCAGTACTACTGAACAGAGAATATAGAGAGAAGACATTCCTTGCCCTCTAGAGGAAACAAAATAAGAGCAATATAATATAAATGTTTTGGTGAGGTTTTGTAGTATTGTTAATCTATATGGGTCTGCAGAACCCTCTTGGAAACCAACCTAAAGTTTCTAGTTGTTCCTTAAATTAAATAGTTTTTTAATTTATAAAGAACTTAAATATTCAGATAGAATTTTCTAGTTAACATTTACACCCAGATGCTTAATAAGACAAAGTAATGACTGGTAATTTAAAATGATCTTTAATTTTGAACTTATTTGATATTTAAGAACTTTCTTATAGGTATTTTAGTTATGTTTTGTAATTTAGATGATAGAAATGAATGAGTTAAGAAACAGGCAAGAAATTGTGAATGGAGCGAACATATTTATGGGGAAAAATGGTATGTTTTCATGTTCTTTCTTTACAGAGGCATTTTTGTTTTTAAAGTGGCTTTAATTTTACTTTAGACACTGGTAAATTACAGCATCTTAACTTGCAAGATGGTGATGCTGTACTGTCAAAAATATATTTTAAGTAATTCACTAATAACAATAGCAAAAAAAAATTCTACATTTTTACATGTAAATTACTAAATACGTATGATACTCGTTATCTATTTTGAAGTTATTTGCACTCTTTTTTGGTCTTTTCTCCTTAGTTTTCTTAGTCAATAGCTGTTGTAGAAGAAACACTTCCCCATATACATAGTAATAATTCTTGATCCCAGATGAAAACAAGATTCCCAGCCACACACACACATTCAGCTTTTAAATTGTCAAAGACTTTATTGAAGCAATTCAGTTTTAGCTGTATTCCCCCATAAAAAAATAAAATAAAATGTCCAATCCTCTGCCCCTAAATTGAAAGGACAGTACTTCATGTTTTGTAGGTTTCTTTGTTATGAGTTTGAGGATACTCTGTTTATGCTAGTATATGAGTATGGGACTTCTCCAACTTTAATGTGCATATGAATCTCTCTGGGCTTCTCTGATTAAGTAGGTCTGGGGTAGAGTCTGATATTCTGCATTTCCAGCAAGTTCTCTGGTGATGCTGATGCTGCTGGTTCAGGGATAACACTTGGATTAGCAAGAGTGCACATAATCCTGAAGCGCTAGATTCCTGAAATAGAATACAGATAGATTTTTAATGCAAATATACACTGAAAATAAAATAATCAGATTAATGAATCTGCTTATGGCTCTCTATTTGGGAAGTCAGATTTATGTTTTCTCATGGGACATCATTCTTTATTTAGAAAATCAGATTTATATATCTCAAAAATGTTATGAGGTAGCTGGATCTGCCATCATTTCTTTATTGTACACATAGGCATACCCCCCATGAAGAGGTGGGATCTGTTCCTCCACTCTCGAATCTGAGCTAGTTTATGATTACTTTGCCCATTAGATTATAACAGACGTGATGCCATACAACTTCCAAAACTACGTCATAGAAACCTTGCAGCCTTCCTGGCTATCTTGAAATGGTAACTGTGGGGAAGCTAATCACCTTGTGAGAAGTCAGTCTACCCTGAGTCTGCCATTGTGTAAAAAGTACAAGCTAGCCAGATAAAGAGACTATGTGTGGAGAAAGAGATATTTGACTAGTTCCCAGTTGTTACAATCATCTCAGCTCTGGTGCCAGACATTGAGTAAAGACATCTTTGGATAACTTCACTCTCAGCAGCCATCTGATTACAACTATATGAGGTAGCTCAAGTGAGAACCACCCAGCTGAGCTCGTTAACCCCCAGAACCATGAAATAAAAATTGCTGAACCATTAAATTTTGTGGTGATTTGTTTTGAAGAGATAGATAAGCAGAACACTTACATTATGCTAATTTGAGGAGTTTTATTACTGAAAGGCCTTTTTGGTCTTCCAGAAAATGATCAGTATAGGGATTGGAAATTCATCTGACGTTTTCTACAAATAATATTATGGTCTTGATTTTTTACATAAATATGTAGCATTTCATTTTTTAAATTAAAATGTTCTAGCATTAATTTTTATTTTATTTTATTTTATTGAGATGGAATTTGACTCTTGTCACCCAGGCTGGAGTGCAATGGTACAATCTCGGCTCACTGCAACCTCCACCTCCCGGGTTCAAGCGATTCACCTGCCTCAGCCTCCCCAGTAGCTGGGATTACAGGTTCCCACCACCAAGCCCAGCTAATTTTCGTATTTTTAGTAGAGACGGGGTTTCACCATGTTGGCCAGGCTGGTCTTGAACTCCTGACCTCAGGTGATCCACCTGCCTCAGCCTCTCAAAGTGCTGGGATTACAGGCATAAGTCACTGTGCCCAGCCTAAATGTTCTAGTATTAATTTATGTATGAGTCATGTCTTATGATGCCTTGGAGATTGGGGATACCAGTATTTTTGAGGCTTCTTTATAGATCTAATTTGTTGCTTTGTCACACAACCACTAGGGTTTTCCATTTTCACCTATCCAGGCAATCAAACTAGGAGTGAGAAAACAATTAATATACTTTATTGAACATTAGCTTTTCTTTTAACTTTGATCCATGTCATGTTTTGTCTAGATATTGCTCCCCACAGTAGTTCTTGAGGCACTCTCCTTTGAGCATTACTTCTTTCATAAGGAATGATTTAGTCCCATTTATAAACTTATTTAGTTACTCAGTATTTACCAAACATCTATCATAAACATCCTGGGAGATTGAAGACACAGAGCAATTCAAAATTAAAACATAATCTGTCCTCAAGAAGATTTTGGTCTTAAGTGAGAAAAGTCCACAAATAACCATAATAAACCAATGTTAAGTCGGAAGAATAGAAATGCAGGAGGGATCAGAATAAATAAACGTCATATCAGCAAGGTGATCAGCTTCATGAAGAAAATGGCACTTGAGCTCAGCAATGAGGGCTGGGAAGGTTTTCTTTTTTGTTTCTTAATTAGAAGTTAAGGCATTCTAGACATAGGGAAGAAAAGGATAGAGGTACTAGGTATGAAACATTCAGAACTGTGCCATAGCAAACATTCAGAACTGTGCCATATGTGCCATAACAAAGCTATGGCAGCAAGGTGTGAGGGAGAAACTCAAGTCCAGTTAGAGGCCTGTTGCAGTAGTTAGAGCACACACACAAAAATGCAGGCCCTGAAAATTAGAAGGAAGAACAAAGATTAGTGGAGATGAACTCAATAAGACTTGTTCTTGCTTTTTTTTAAATTTTTTTTATTATTATACTTTAATTTCTGGGATACATGTGCAGAACATGCAGATTCGTTACATAGGTATACACGTGTCATGGTGGTTTGCTGCACCCATCAACCCATCATCTATTTTAGGTATTTCTCCTAATGCTATCCCTTCCCTAGCCTCCCACCCGCTGACAGGCCCCAGTGTGTGATGTTCCCCTCCCTGTGTCCATGTGTTCTCATTGTTTAACTCCCACTTATGAGTGAGAACACGCAGTGTTCCTGTGTTAATTTGCTGAGAGTGATGGTTTCCAGCTTCATCCATGTCCCTGCAAAGACCATTAACTCATCCTTTTTATGACTGCATAGTATTCCATGGTGTATATGTGCCACATTTTCTTATTCCAGTCTATCATTGATGGGCATTTGGGTTGGTTCCAAGTCTTTGCTATTGTTGACAGTGCCGCAATAAACCTACATGTGCATGTGTCTTTATAATAGAATGATTTATAATCCTTTGGGTGTATACCCAAAGTAATGGAATTGCTGGGTCAAATGGTATTTCTGGTTCTAGCTCCTTGAGGAACTGTTCCACAATGATTGAACTAATTTACACTCCTGCCAACAGCATAAAAGCATTCCTGTTTCTCCACATCCTCTCCACCATCTGTCATTTCTTTACTTTTTAATGATCTCCATTCTAACTGGTGTGAGATGGTATCTCATTGTGCTTTTCATTTGCATTTCTCTAATGACCAGTGATGATGAGCTTTTTTTCATGTTTCTTGGCCACATAAATGTCTTCTTTTGAGAAGTGTCTGTTCATATCCTTCACCCACTTTTTGATGGTTTTTTTTTCTTGTAAATTTGTTTATTTGTAGATTCTGGATATTAGCCCTTTCTCAGATGGATAGATTGCAAAAATTTTCTCCCATTGTGTAGGTTGCCTGTTCACTCTGATGATAGTTTCTTTTGCCCTGCAGAAGCTCTTTAGTTTAATTAGATCCAATCTGTCAATTTTGGCTTTTGTTGCCATTGCTTTTGGTGTTTTAGTCATGAAGTCTTTGCCCCTGCCTGTGTCCTTAATGGTATTGCCTAGGTTTTCTTCTAGGGTTTTTATGGTTTTAGGTCTTATGTTTAAGTCTTTAATCCATCTTGAGTTAATTTTTGTATAAGGTATAAGGAAGGGGTCCAGTTTTAGCTGCATCTGGCTAGCCAGTTTTCCAAACACCATTTTTTAAATAGGGAATCCTTTTCCCATTGCTTGTTTTTGTCAGGTTTATCAAAGATCAAATGGTTGTAGATAGGCGGGATTATTTCTGAGGCCTGTTCTATTCCATTGGTCTATATATCTATTTTGGTACCAGTACCATGCTGTTTTGGTTACTGTAGCCTTGTAGTATAGTTTGAAGTCAGGTAGTATGATGCTTCCAGCTTTGTTCTTTTTGCTTAGGATTGTCTTGGCTTTTCAGGCTCTTTTTTGAAATTTAAAGTAGTTTTTTGTAAATCTGTGAAGAAACTCAATGGTAGCTTGATGGGGATAGCATTGAATCTATAAATTACTTTGGGCAGTATGGCCATTTTCATGATATTGATTCTTCCTATTCATGAGCATGGAATGTTTTTCCATTTGTTTGTGTCCTCTCTTATTTCCTTGAGCAGTGGTTTGTAGTTCTCCTTGAAGAGGTCCTTCACATCCCTTGTAAGTTGTATTCCTAGGTATTTTATTCTCTTTGTAGCAATTGTGAATGGGAGTTCACTCATGATTTGGCTCTCTGTTTGTCTGTTATTGGTGTTTAAGAATGCTTGTGATTTTTGCACATTGATTTTGTATCCTGAGACTTTGCTGAAGTTGGTTGTCAGCTTAAGGAGATTTTGAGCTGAGATGATGGGGTTTTCTAAATATACAATCATGTCATCTGCAAACAGGGACAATTTGACTTCCTGTCTTCCCATTTGAATACCCTTTCTTTCTTTCTCTTGCCTGATTGGAGAACTTCCAATACTATGTTGAATAAGAGTGGTGAGAGAGGGCATCCCTGTCTTGTGCCAGTTTTCAAAGGGAATGCTTCCAGCTTTTGCCCATTCAGTATGATATTGGCTGTGGGGTTGTCATAAATAGCTCTTATTATTTTGAGATATGTTCTATCAATACCTAGTTTATTGAGAGTTTTTAGTATGAAGGGGTGTTGTATTTTGTCAAAGGCCTTTTCTGCATCTATTGAGAAAATCATGGGTTTTTGTCATTGGTTCTGTAAATGTGATGGATTACGTTTATTGATTTATATATATTGAACCAGTCTTGCATCCCAGTGATGAAGCCGACTTGATCGTGTTGGATAAGCTTTTTGATGTGCTGACGCATTCGGCTTGCCAGTATTTTATTGAGGATTTTCGCATTGATGTTCATCAGTGATATTGGCCTGAAATTTTCTTTTTTGTGTCTGCCAGGTTTTGTTATCAGGATGATACTGGCCTCATGAAGTGACTTAAGGAGGATTCCCTCTTTTTCTATTGTTTGGAATAGTTTCAGAAGGAATGGTACCCTCTCCTCTTTGTACCTCTGGTAGAATTCGGCTGTGAATCTGTCTGGTCCTGGGCTTTTTTTGGTTGGTAGGCCATTAATTACTGCCTCAATTTCAGAACTTATTATTGGCCTATTCAGGGATTCAACTTCTTCCTGGTTTAGTCTTGGGAGGGTGTATGTGTCCAGGAATTCATCCATTTCTTCTGCATTTTCTAGTTTATTTGCATAGAGTTGTTTATAGTATTATCTGATGGTAGTTTGTGTTTCTGTGGGATCAGTGGTGAAATTCCCTTTATCATTTTGTATTGTGTCTATTTGATTCTTCTCTCTTTTCTTCTTTATTAGTCTGGCTAGTGGTCTATTTTGTTAATCTTCTCAAAAAACCAGGTCTTGGATTGATTGAGTTTTTAAAGGGTTTTTCGTGTCTCTATCTCCTTCAGTTCTGCTGTGATCTTAGTTATTTCTGGTCTTCTGCTAGCTTTTGAATTTGTTTGCTCTTGCTTCTCTAGTTCTTTTAATTGTGATGTTAGGGTGTCAATTTTGCATCTTTGCTGCTTTCTCCTGTGGGCATTTAGTGCTATAAATTTCCCTCTAAACACTGCTTTAGTTGTGTCCCAGAGATTCTGGTACTTTGTGTCTTTGTTCTCATTGTTCAAAGAACTTATTTATTTCTGCCTTAATTTTGTTATTTACCCAGTAGTCATTCAGGAGCAGGTTGTTCAGCTTCCATGTAGTTGTGTGGTTTCAAGTGAGTTTCTTAATTCTGAGTTCTAATTTGATTGCACTGTGGTCTGAGAGACAGTTTGTTATTATTTCTGTTCTTTTGCATTTCCTGAGGAGTGTTTTCTAATTATGCGGTCAATTTTAGAATAAGTGCAATGTGGTGCTGAGAAGAATGTATATTCTGTTGATTTTGGGTAGAGAGTTCTGTAGATGTCTATTAGGTCTGTTTGGTCCAGAGCTGAGTTCAAGTCCTGAATATCCTTGTTAATTTTCTGTCTTGTTGATCTATCTAATATTGACAGTGGGGTGTTAAAGTCTCCCACTATTATTGTGTGGGAGTCTAAGTCTCTTTGTAAGTCTCTAAGAACTTGCTTTATGAATCTAGGTGCTCCTGTATTGGGTGCATATATATTTAGGATAGTTCTTCTTGTTGCATTGATCCCTTTACCATTATATAATGCCCTTCTTTGTCTTTTTTTAAAAATCTTTGTTAGTTGAAAGTCTGTTTTATCAGAGACTAGGATGGCAACCCCTGCCTTTTTTGCTTTCTATTTGCTTGGTAAATATTCCTCCATCCCTTTATTTTGAGCCTATATGTGTCTCTGCACATGAGATGTGTCTCCTGAATACAGCACACTGATGGGTCTTGACTCTATCCAATTTGCCAATCTGTGTCTTTTAATTGGGGCATTTAGCCCATTTACATTTAAAGTTAATATTATGTGTGAATTTGATCCTGTCATTATCATGCTAGCTGGTTATTTTCCCCGTTAGTTGATGCAATTTCTTCATAGTGTCGATGGTCTTTCAAGTTGGTATGTTTTTGCAGTGGCTGGTATCGGTTTTTCCTTTCTATATTTAGTGCTTCCTTCAGGAGCTCTTGTAAGGCAGGCCTGGTGGTGACAAAATCTCTCAGCATTTGCTTGTCTGTGAGGGATTTTATTTCTCCTTCACTTATGAAGCTTAGTTTGGCTAGATATGAAATTCTAGGTTGAAAGTTCTTTTTTTTTCCTTTTTTTTTTTTTTTTTTTTGAGACAGTCTCATTCTGTTGCCCATGCTGGAGTGCAGTGGTGTGATCTCGGCTCACTGCAACCTCTGCCTCCCGGGTTCAAGCGATTCCCCTGCCTCAGCCTCCCAAGTAGCTGGGACTACAGCCCCATGCCACCATGCCTGGCTAATTTTTTGTATTTTTAGTAGAGACGGGGTTTCACCGTGTTAGTCAGGATGGTCTCAATCTCCTGACCTCATGATCTGCCCACCTCGGCCTCCCAGAGTGCTGGGATTACAGATGTGAGCCACCAAACCCGGCCGAAAATTCTTTTCTTTAAGAATGTTGAATATTGGCCCGCGCTCTCTTCTGGCTTGTTAGGGTTTCTGCAGAGAGATCTGCTGTTAGTCTGATGGGCTTCCCTTTGTGGGTAACCCGACCTCTCTCTGTGGCTGCCCTTAACATTTTTTCCATTATTTCAACCTTGGTGAATCTAATGATTATGTGTCTTGGGGTTGCTGTTCTCAAGGTGTATCTTTGTGGTATTCTCTGTATTTCCTGGATTTGAATGTTGGCCTGTCTTGCTAGGTTGGGAAAGTTCTACTGAATAATATCCTGAAGAGTGTTTTCCAACTTGGTTCTGTTCTGCCCATCACTTTCAGGTACACTGATCAAATGTAGATTTGGTCTTTTCACATAGTCCCGTATTTCTTGGAGGTTTTGTTCATTCCTTTTCACTCTTTTTTCTCTAATCTTGTCTTCACACTTTATTTCATTAAGTTGATTTTCAATCTCTGATATCCTTTCTTCTGCTTGATCGATTCAGCTATTGATACTTGTGTATGCTTCACGAAGTTCTCATGCTGTGTTTTTCAGCTCGTCAGGTCATTTATGTTCTTCTCTAAACTGGTTATTGTAGTTAGCAATTCCTATAACCTTTTTTCATGGTTCTTAGCGTCCGTGCATTGCATTAGAACATGCTCCTTTAGCTCAGAGGAGTTCGTTATTACCCACCTTCTGAAACTTACTTCCATCAATTCGTCAAACTCATTATCTGTCCAGTTTTGTTCCCTTGCTGGCGAGGAGTTGTGATCCTTTGGAGGAGAAGAGGCGTTTTGGTTTTTGGAATTTTCAGCCTTTTTGCAC
Source organism: Homo sapiens (assembly GCF_000001405.40). Taxonomy (NCBI): domain Eukaryota; kingdom Metazoa; phylum Chordata; class Mammalia; order Primates; family Hominidae; genus Homo; species Homo sapiens. The sequence goes on from NC_000002.12 coordinate 189,892,347, forward strand.
TGGGTTTTTCTCATCTTCGTGGATTTATCTACCTTTGGTCTTTGATGTTGGTGACTTTCGGGTGCGGTTTCTGTGTAGACATCCTTTTTGTTGATGTTGATGCTATTCCTTTATGTTTGTTAGTTTTCCTTCTAACAGGCCCCTCTGATGCAGGTCTGCTGGTATTTGCTGGTGGTCCATTCCAGACCCTGTTTGCATGGGTATCACCAGCAGAGGCTGCAGAGCAGCAAAAATTGCTGCCTGTTCCTTCCTCTGGAAGCTTCGTCCCAGATGGGCACCTGCCAGTTGACAGCCAGAGCTCTCCTGTATGAGGTGTCTATCAACCCCTGCTGGGAGGTGTCTCCTAGTCAGGAGGCACAGGGGTCAGAGACCCACTTGAGGAGGCAGTCTGCCCATTAGCAGAGCTTGAGTGCTGTGCTGGGAGATCTGCTGCTCTCTTCAGAGCTGGTAGGCAGGAATGTTTAAGTCTGCTGAAGCTGCACCCAGAGTCACCCCTTCCCCCAGGTGCTCTGTCCCAGGGAGATGGGAGTTTTGTCTCTAAGCCCCTGACAGAGGCTGCTGCCTTTCTTTCAGAGATGCCCTGCCCAGAGAGGAGGAATCTAGAGAGGCAATCTGGCTACAGCAGCTTTGCCTAGCTGCGGTAGGCTCTGCCCAGTTCCAACTTCCTGGTGGCTTTGTTTACACTGTGAGGGGAAAATCGCCTACTCAAGCCTCAGTAATGGCCGTCGCCCCTCCCCCTACTGAGTTCAGGTGTCCCAGGTCGACTTCAGACTGCTGTGCTGGCAGTGAGAATTTCAAGCCAGTGGATCTTAGCTTGCTGGGCTCTACTGAGCTAGATCAGTTAGCTCACTGGCTTCAGCCCCCTTTCCGGAGGAGTGAACAGTTCTGTCTCATTGGTGTTCCAGACACCACTGGGGTATGAAAGAAAACTCCTGCAGCTAGCTCAGTGTCTGCCCAAACAGCCGCCCAGTTTTGTGCTTGAAACCCAGGGCCCTGGTGGCGTAGGCACCTGAAGGAATCTTCTGGTCTGCAGTTTGTGAAGACCATGGGAAAAGCATAGTATCTGGGCCAGAGTGCACCATTCCTCATGGCACAGTCCCTCAAGGCTTCCCTTGGCTAGGAGAGGGAGTCCCCTGACCCCTTGCACTTGCCGGGTGAGGCGATGCCCTACTCTGCTTCAGCTTGCCCTCCATGGGCTGCACCTGCTTTCTAACCAGTCCCAGTGAAATGAGCCGGGTACCTCAGTTGTAAATGCAGAAATCACCTGCCTTCTGTGTTGATCTCACTGGGAGCTGCAGACCAGAGCTGTTCCTGTTCGGCCATCGTGCCAGCCACCTTTGTGCTTGCTTTTATCTGTACAGCTGGCCCTCTCTAACCATGGGTTCTGCATTCGTAAGTTCAACTGACTGCAAATCAAAACATTTGGGGAAAAAAAGGCAATAAAAAAATAACAATATAGGAGTATGTACATATGTTATATGAAAATACTCTGCCATTTTATTATAAGGGACTTTAGCATCTGTGGGTTTTGGCATCCACTATGTGGATTGGTCCTGGAACTAATCCCCTGGGCATATCAAGAGATGACTGTATATATAAATTTCCAGACATCATAGGCATTACGGGTGACTCAATTTGCATCTATCTGCATACATTATAGTACCATTAGGAAAGGCCACATTATACGGATGGGCACTGGTGGAAGGGTCTGGCTTCAATAAAAACAATTATCTCAGAAAATGTGTTTACCAAATATATATCCTTGTACATTAGGTAATAGACCAAGAATCTCTTTAGATGCTGCTTTTAAAAATAAAAATTAGTGTGATATTCATGTCTTAGAAGAGCAGAATGAATACTTCTACTATCAGATACTTATATACAGAATCTTTGAAAGATAAATGAACTTTGCAGCTTAAGGGTAGATTAAAATAATTTTCTTTATATTATAACACATTTATGAAGTAATATTCAGTTTAATCTCCCTGATCAAATGCCCCTTTCTCTTAGAATGGATATCTGAAGTTGTTTTTCTATCTTACCTATTTCTTCCACAGGTAGAATTTGCATCCACATCTTTTGGGCATCCTCAAATAAAATCTTGTTTATTATTGAGTTAGAAACAAGAACTAAAGCTCACTGAACTCACTGAGTTTCAATAATGCTTGAAACTACCTAATCAATTTTAGACTTTTTTCTTCTCGGATCACCTCATCTGGTCTCTGTCTTCTCATGACCATATCAGACAATTAAATTTTATTTACATAAGTTTCTTTCTACTTTTAGTTTTCCTCTTAAATATTATTATATAGTATTGTTATTTGTTACTACATTATTATATAGTATTAAATGTTAATATATAGAAAAATTAATACATATCATTATGTTATATAAACAATATTTCTTATGCTTGAAATAGTCTCATTTTCTTAATGTGAAAGTTTTTGATGTCTTTTCTTAAAATGCCTCTCATAATATCTTATTTCAAATATCAGGAAAGATTTGTTTTTGTGATTTATATATTTAAAATGTAAAGGCCATACTTAAAAACCTTAACCAAAAAGTACCAATTACAATTTAGAAAATTTAGAATCAAATATAAAATATTGAGTATTAAACATTAATATTAAATATTTAAAACTTCTCAGTACTGAATTCTAGACAATTGAAAGAACAACACTAATGAAAGAAAAAAAACAAAAAAGTGACTTGAACACTATTTGCAAAAAGGACATGCAATTGGTTACAATTAATGAAGAAATAAAATTAGATCACAACCATTAACATAAAAGAAAATATTAAAATGAAAGAGCAAAGGAAAGAGAAAGTGGAAGAAAACAGTCTGATTAGAGAAGAAGAAAGGGAGTGAAAAGGAAGATCACCACGAAACTTCCACCGTTTTCTCCTCTACTTGCATTTTATAAGGTTCTGCACTAGTATGTAATCCTAATGCCTGGATACTCCAGCTGGCCAAAATCTCCTATTTTTATTTTTAACACTGAACTCCTATACCCTAGCACTTGTGTTGACCATTCATTCAGTGCTTATATTAAAGTCAGTAAGTATTGTGACTTTTCTTATATTGCTTCACTTCTCTTTATCTTTATTGCCTAGCGATAATCAAACTAGTCTCTTCTAGTACTACTGGAGCCTAACCCAGAAGGCAATCTATTAATATTTGTATTTTTGAATAAAATACTTTATTTAGCTCTCTTTTTCTCCAGTTCTAACTCTGCAGGTGTTAATGTACCAATACTGGTCTTACTGCCCTTGCTCTCCAAAGGAGAAGCATCATGGGAAATAGGATTAATGTTTTATTTGGGACCAAATATTGAGGGGACTTGAATATCAGGCTAAAGGTTTTCAACATTGGAAAGAGCAACTAAATGTTTTTGAATAGGAAGGTAACACAATCAGAACTATATATAAGGAATATTAGTTTAAAAGCATGCTTAAGATGAATCAGAATGAATAAGAAGAGAGGTGGGAGATCAGTTTAGAAAATCATAGTGCTATTACCCAGTCACGGTGGTACATGCCTATAGTCCCAGCTACTCCAGGGGCTGAGGCATAAGAATCAGGAACTCAGGAGACGGAGGTTGCAGTGAGCCAAGATCGTGCCACTGCACACCAGCCTGGGCAACAAAGTGAGACCCTGTCTCAAAAAAAAAAAAAAAAACATACTGCTAAAATTTCATTTATGTATGTTTTAGTCATCTCACATTCATTGTGTTCTTTCAGTATATTAATAGAAGTTTCTTTAGAAGAACTTGAAGAAGAATTTGACTTTCTTGAGATATACAAATATATTATTTCTAAACTTAAATTCAATCATAGTAAAATTTTAAAGCATATATATTTTTTCAGTTTTCTAGTTCTGATACTTGCCAGTAAAATGTGTTAGTGACTTTGGAGGATGACAAAGATGGAACTTAACAAGAATGTTGAGTTTATGCTATACATGGACAAAAAGATGCTTTAAATTTAATTTTATCTTGATTTTCATAACAACAAATATTCTTATATTTGCCTAGGGGAAAATGTACATTTTGTTATCTTTCTTTGTGTCATGGCTTTCTAGGTTCCTTGTACTTATTCCTGTCTCTGTACTTTTTCCCGCGTTCCATATGGGCCTAAATGTTTCCAGATTATCTCTTATTTGTTCTTTCCCAACTACCAAATATACCTCCCTTTTTCTGAATTTGGTTGATCTTGGCTAAACGTTAAAGGAAAAGGAATCAGATAGAAGTGGTTTATATCAATGCAAATGATATAAAGATGCATTCTATCATAAAGGGAGAAAACATAATATGAATGACTGGAATATTTGGATCTTAAGATTCAGTCTCTAATTAATTGAATTTTAGGCAATATAGGGATATATTTTTGCTGTTTGGAGAATATTATCTACTTTCATATGCATGTAAGATGGGTCCTCATATTACATTTTTCTTTCCCCAAAGGATAAAGAAAGAGAAACTATAAGTGAAGATGGTAGTTCAAAAGAAGCACATGATATGTCAGTGAAATATATTTAATATATATTTTTTAATTTTAACTTTTATTCAAATATAAGGCATATATGTCCTGAATTTCAAAATCAGTAATGCAATATGATGTAAGACTGTGGACTTTGAGGCAGGATAGCTTCAGAACTGAATTCCAGCTCTATTCATTACTAGCTGTGTTACTGTAGACTGTTAACTTTTCAATGAATGTACTTCCTCTATGTTGAATGGGGATAATGTTTACTTTGAAGAGTTTGTAAAGACTGAGAGAAAATGTAAAGCAACTAGTGCAAAGCTTGGGATATAGCAGATACTCAACAAATATTACTTCGTATTTCTTATTTCTTTTTATCTATTTCTTAAGGGAATTTTACAATTAAAAAGCAAATCATTTTTAAAACACAGAGTCTGTCTCTGTGCACCTAAGTATAACAAACCTTGTTATATATAATTTTTGGTAAGCTATTCATCATGACAGTGTTTTAGAATTAGGTACCATCTTAATTATTAGATATTGACAATAATTTGATACTGTAAATTACAGTTAACTTTCTATTAAGCTAATGAAAGCCCCTTTTTAACTACATAGTTAAAATATTATGTATTCTGTGAAGTTTGCTTTAGAATATGAATATTTTTGGTCTGATTTTTTACAGTTCTTCAAAGACAATAATAAGAACATTTTGGAGACCCATCTTAAGCAAATCTGGTAATTTACTGAATTTCTCTATCCTTTCTTCTTAGATCCTTCTCTTACAAATCTATTTTGGAAATAGTTTGCATCAGCTTTCAATGGCATAAAATATCTTTCTAAGGTAGATCTGAAAAACTATCAGTGTAATATCTACTTAGGTTGGTTAAGTTTTATATATTTCTTGGGGCAAATTAATTAAATTAATGAAAGCTTATCTTCCAACTTCTCTTTGTTTTGAATAAACAAATAATCTTTATTTCAGCAAAATGCTCTGAATGGGTAACAGTGTTGAATAATTTAGAAGTTATATGTACCCCAGACATTTTACTAAATCCTCTCTAGAACTTATAATTGAATGAAATAGAAAAGTGAGAGTAGGGCTGGCCTCAGTGGTTCACACTTGTAGTCCCAGCACTTTGGGAGGCTGAGACGGTGGATCGCTTGAGCCCAGGAGTTTGAGACCAGCCAGGGCAACATTGTGAAAACCCCATCTCTACAAAAAATATAAAAATTAGCCTCCCATGGTAGCACACATGTACTCAGAAGGCTGAGGTGGAAGATCTCTTGGCTTGAGCCCTGGGAGGTTGAGGCTGCAGAGAACTGTGATCATGCCAGCCTAGGCTACAGAACAAGACCCTGTCTCCAAAAAATGAAAAAAAAAAAAAGTGAGAGAATAGGAACTAAAGCAGCTTTTGGATGATTCAGGGTAGTAATATAATAGCTAACATCCATTGAAAACTTACTATTTACTAGACACCGTTCTAAGCCCTTTGTATAAACTCATGTAGAGAGCTAGGCATTGCCTGAATTTTAAGTACAGCTTATTGGTGATTTGAAATGAAAATAAAGGCTTCTATTTTTTTTTAAAGCATCCCCACAAACATAATTTCCCACCTACTTTCATCTTTTCTCTCATCCACACATTATTTGTACTGCATTTTGCATATTGCCTTTTTCATTTCCCAGTGTGCCCACATGCCTCTCTACTCATATCTTCTTTTGGCATGTGTATATATGCTTTTAGTTCACATGCACTTATATACACATAATCACCATTATAGAGTCCACCCAAGCTCTCAAGTTGGGAACATGGGAACCATTTTAACATCTCCCTGATTATCTTGTCAGTTCTACTTGAAAGTTTTTGAGTCTCTTTCCTCTTCTCAACCTATACTGCCACTGCCCTCATTCAAGCTCTAATCACTTCTGGCCTCAGTCATTTTAAAAGTCCTCGAACTAGTCCCTTCTAGTACTACCCAGGTCTTGTCTATATCCCATATTGCAACGAAAGAACCTTTCTCAAATGCAAATCTAATCAAATCACTCTCTTGTGTTCCTTGTTATAGTCAACCTTCTTAGTATGATATATCAAGCACTTTATAGTCTGACCTCCATATACATTTTCAGCCTTATTTCCAAATACTTTTTTATCTTCTACATGAACTTTGACATGTTAAGTTGCTTGAACTTATCTAAAATAAGCCTTGTTCTTTCCTGCTTCTGTATACATTCCTTGCTTTAGAATATACATATCCAATTTCCACCTACCTAATCCCTCCTCTACACCATGTCAGTTCTAGAGCTACCCAGCAAACTTCTATTTATCTTACAAGACTCAGAATTAATATTACTTATTGAGAATTCTTTCTTGATTTCCCTAAACAAATTGAGCACCCTCTTCTTTATGTTTTATAAGCTAGTTATTGTTCTGGGCTGACCTCAGTAACACAGTTTTTATAGCTTAGTGATAATGTCACTGCTGTGACTCTTAGCAGTTTGCAAAGTATTTTCATATGAATCAGCTAGCTTAGTAATTCTGTTTTGTATTACCTTTATGTGATCTCCTCTCCTTCATATAGATTCCTTGGAAAATATTAACTCTAATGTTTCCTAAGCTACTCTGTTATTATTTTCATTGAGATAATTGGTAACCATCTTGTCAGAAATGGGGTAATAAATGGTTGTTCAGCCTCCACTCTTTCTTGCTGCATGGTCTCCTTGAGGATCTTTGTCAATGGATTCAAACTTGTTTCTGTAATAAATTTGATTTTTTTTCCTATGGCCCAAACAGTGTATGAATGTGCATACATAAATGTGTGTTTTTTCCTTCATTTGGCTGTTGCCCTTTTTCATCTCTGTTGTCTATGCGACTACTGTCTGCCTTTTGTTTTTTTCCTCATAGATTACCCCTTTGACTATTACCCTCTTTCCTTTCTTTTATATTCTGTTATTATAAAAGTATTATCTATATTTCTTTACTTTTTACCTACTATTTAGTTTTTAGATTAATTCATGAATTGCAAAAATGTTGCTATTTATTTTAGAAATGGTAGAAAATTTTAAAGGAAAACAAATCTAAATCCCTACCTAGATACAATTTCTATCCTTTAAAAAAATTTTGTTTCTGTGCACATATATAGTATTCATGGAAATTATAATAGTATTAAACATCCTCGTCTGCATATTGCTTTTCTGGTTTGTCAATAAACATGAACAGTAAATATAGTCATATATTTTCATGTCATTAATATAGACTAGAATCACTATCTTGCTTGCAGCATATTATTTCATTATATGAATTTGCTAACAACTTAAAACAGTATTGAATTGTTGCAATTTAGTTTGTTTCCAATATTTTTAATTATAAACAATTGTTTATAATGAAATGCATTTTTCAAAAATATATGCCCATTTGTTTGTTTCTTCGGGATAAATTCACAAATGTGAAATTTTTAGAACAAAGAATGCGACTTTTTTTCAAGTCCAACAGAGCCTAAAGGTTAAAAAAAAAGGAATGTGACTTTTTCAAGAAGATGTTTTGCATATTATCACATGTATTCCCCCCCAAAATGATAGTTCTTAACGGTCAGTGGAGATTTTCTTGCACCTTTGCCAACACAAGCTATCTTTGCTCAGCAAGCAAATAAAATATCCAAATAAAATATCTCAGTATTATTTTAATATGCATTTCTTTGATTACTCATGAATATGAAAATATTTTAGTATGTTAATTAGTAATTCTATTTTTCTTGTGAATGCTGTGCTCTGTCTTTACCAGTTTCTTTTTTTTCTGTTTAGAGTGTCAGTATTTTATTATTTGTTAGAACTACTATACTGGGGAGTAAAACTTTGTCCCATATGTTGTGGGTGTCGACTCTCTGGGGCCAATGTCATGTGGGCAGTAAAAAGAATTTACCAAGACAGTTCCAGATAAAGAAAGGCAGGTTTATTAGAGAAAGTATGAAAATGCGTTGCAAGGGCAGTGGGCAAATGGGCAAGACAGGAGCTGACTGCAAGGAGACAAAGGCTTGCTGGGGATTTTATGGGATGATACTTGTGCTTTGTGCTGGAGAAGGCTACGTACGCTACTGATAACACCAAGGTTGCAGTGAGCTAACTTGCATTTTTCTATCAGCCAATGGTCTGGTGATAAGTCAGCTGCAGGACGATTGTGAGTTATTTGCACGGGAGGTCTGTGTCCTGGACCAGAGGAAAGGCAGACTTAACAGCTTATCTGCTTTCTCTTTTTGCTTTCCCCTGCTCCTGTCAGCCTGACCCCTTTTCTCTTATTAGGACTCTACACTATATTCTGAAAAAAAAATTACTAATTTATTATGTGCATTGAACTTGATGGTGGTATATTTTGCCATGTAGATGTTTTGGGGTTTTTGTGTCATCAAATATATTAGAGAGTTTTTTTTTTAAACGATTTTTGCTCTTGGTGTCCTTCCTAAAGAGAATAATCACAATTTAAAATTACGTAAGTAGATATTTATGTTTTCTTGTTCTTCTTTCTTTTCTTTTTTCTGAGACAGAGTCTCACTCACTTGCCCAGGCTGGAATGCAGTGGCGTGACCTTGGCTCACTGCAACCTCTGCCTCTGGGTTCAAGCTATTCTCCTGCCTCAGCCTCCCGAGTAGCTGGGACTACAGGCAAATGCCACCACACCTGGCTAATTTTTGTAGTTTTAGTAAAGACGGGGTTTCATCATGTTGGCCAGGCTGGTCTCAAACTCCTGGCCTCAAGTGATCTGCCCATCTCTGCCTCCCAAAGTGCTGGGATTACATGTGTGAGTCACCATGCCCGGCTGCATTTTGATAAAAATCTTTAAAATTCATATGGAAATTCATTTGGTATAAGAAGGAACATGGGTATTTACCTTTTTTCCCCAAAAATGTTAGCCAGTTGTCCCTCAAACTTAATAAATAATTCCCATTTACTTGAAATGCTACCTTTATCTTATGCTAAATTATTATGTACACTCAGGTATATCTGCTGTTAGCTATATTCCCTTGACTAAGTTACTGTATGTTTGCATTTTTCTTTCCTCATCTGTCAAATGGATATAATAAACTCATAATTTATTATAAGTACTATGTATGAGTCATTAAAATGTAAATATGAATAAAACACATATATCAACATTTAGCACAATGATTAGCCTAGGGTATATGCTCAGTAAATGAGAGTTATTACTGTTATTTATTTTTATTATTAACATTGATGAGTCTATTATATTAGAACCATACTTTTTATAATTATTGCTATGTAATAAATTTTAATATCTCATAGGGCAAAATTTTCATCTTTATGTTTCTGTGAAGACTAGGAGATTATATTCATCTTCATCTATTAAAATTTTATGTATCTTTATTTAGTATTCTCCACAAGGTATGTAGCTATCTGATGAGATTCTAAATCTTGTTCTTAATTATCCTATCTGTTTTTTTTCCTCCTGAGCATTATTGCTAGGCATAGTCTCTTCTTTGTTTTTTTGTTTCCAATGTTATAGTTTCTTAAACTTAGAAATGTTTATTTTTGTATTTTTGGAGGATTAATATGAGAATTAAGAAGTTTGGCATAATTACAAATGAATTCAGAAAACCTCCATGAACTTCTTGGTAATTTCTGCTTTTTTAATTTAAAAGACGTTTTAAATGCATCATTTTGGAATATTTTCTAAGCTGCATAATTAGAAATTTCTCAGAGAGCTTTTCCTTTCTTATTTTTTCCTTAAAGCTTTGGATTCAGTATGTCAACTGGTATGTGGTATCAGTATTAAAAGTATTACATGAGTGCTAATATGCTGTTAAAGTAAACATGTATAGGATATAAATACCATCTATATTAGGTCTCAGAAATTATTCCTTTTTAGTCAAGCCATATTTAGAACTATATGTAAAAACTGTATACTTCGCTTTTCAAATAGGTGCTCTTTTTTTTCATGATTCATTTTTTTTTGCTTGAATTTAGCCAATAGGAAAGAGTAGAAATAAGGAAGGTTATCGGTTTCACTGTACAGCTCGGTGGCATATATTTTCCTCCCCTTTCACTGTTAAAGTGCATTAAATAAAGTAAGTCTTTATTAATAATCTCTTAAAGAGATGATGAGATAAACTACAGAGGAAAAAAAAACTGACTAGCCAGTGGGAGATGTAGAATGAGGGAAATAATTTGGATTAACAGGATAGATATTAGAGGATATCTTAAAATAGTTTTTTAAGTGTCTTCCCTATAGGAAAAATTTGAATTGAAAGCCATCGAGAAATTATTTATAAATGGAAAATCAGAGAGTAAAAGATGGGCAAGATAGCTATATACCTTATATAACTACACATTTTTCTGAATAATTTTTCTTGAGAGGTATGAAAACTTTAAATGCTGAATATGTTATTAGGTTAATTTTAATTATAGTAGCAAATTACTGGTTGAAAAACCAAAATAATATAAATAATATGAAAAATAATGATTGCCATGTATTTAACTTATATTAAACCTAATCTGTAAATTTCTAACCACTAAGCTTAGATAACAATTATTTTTAAAATACTGCACAGTAATTTATATTCATAATGATGATTCTTAGAACAAGGCAAGGTCTTGAGGATTAAATTTTTTTCATTGTAGTTTAAGTATACCTTAATTATTATATTTAGTTTTTGTAGAATCAATAATGAACATTGTTATCACCATTAGATTCAGTAAATATTTGAATGCCATTCATATGTAAACATTAAGTGAATTCAAACTGTTAGAGCATTCCATTTTGGAAAAATGGGATGATACATTGCCTGTAAAGATGTACTTTATTTAAATTTTGACTTTTATTTTAGATACAGGGGGTATATGTGCATGTTTGTTACATGGCACTATTATATGATGCTGAGGTTTGGGGTATGGATAACATCACCCAGGTAGGCAATATAGTACCCAATAAGTAGTTTTCCAACCCATGTTCCCCCACTACTTCCCCTGATCTAGTAGTCCACAGTGTCTACTGTTCCCAAATTTATGTCCATGTGTGCTCAATGTTTAGCTCCCACTTATAAGTGAGAACATGTGGTATGTGGTTTTCTATTCCTGCCCTAATTCATTTAGGATGATGGCCTCCAACTGCATCTATGTTACTGCTGATTATGTGTATAACTTGTAGAAAGTAAACTTAGCATTTTATAGTCATTTTTGTGTGGAAAAATTTGAATTTGCAAGTTTTAAATGAGAGTGTTTAAAAGATTATTCAAAATTTACTTTCTTTGATTTATGTACAACTTTTAATAACATTTGTATAGCTTGAAATAAGTTTAGTTACATATGATGAGTAGTAGTATCTACATCAAGAAATAGAATGAGCAAATCAATAATTACATTGCCTTATATTTATGTAGTGCTTGATGCCTTAGAAATTGCCATCATATACATTTTTATATAATCCTCGCAGCAATACTGTAGGTCAATACTCTGTTTTGCAGATGAAACACAAAGTGCGTAAGTGACCAACCCAAGGTTAGGCCCTTGTAAAATCCCTTTACTCTTGGTTTAGTAGTTTTCCCACCATGCCAGCATTATACACAGGTTCTTACAGAATTATGGTGCCAATTATACTTTGTCATACAGGCAAATTATATGTTTCTTGTTTATCTCTAAATATATTTAAGCTGTTAACACAGAATGGGAAAAGGGTACGTTACTGGATTCCTTAATGTGAAATGCAAAAACAATTTTCTAGGGAGTCATCATCATTATCGTTTTGAGGACAAAAATCTGTTTTTTAAAGTCACTTTTGTGGTAAGATATTTGAAAAGCAATTGTTTTCCAAATTTTTATGCAGTTATTGATGTTAATGAACATCAGTCTTTAATCCTTATGTTTACACAGCCTATCTTGAGAGAAAATATGGCACAAAAGAGATAATTTTATGTATTACAAAAAATACTGGCTCTAGAGTGAAAGAACTATGTTCAAACTCTGCCCTTGGCACTTAGTGACCTCAAGAAAGTCATTGATCTCCTTTGAACTTTAGTTTCTCACTTAAGAAATGAAGGCAAAAATACCAGTTATCATCTGACAAGAATATTCGGAATGAAACAAGATTATATATGTCAAAGTTCTATATAGTTATTTTCATTTATTACCACTAAGAGAATGTATATTTATGTATCTCTTCACTTTTCTATCCAACAGAGAAACATGGGGTTAAATAGGCCCTTTGATTCTAAAATTCTATATTCAATAAGTAAGATTTACAAATAAATGTATTACTCAAGTTTTTACCTAAAAGAAAACTTGTTAAAGTCTTTGATAAAGGTAAGACATGTGTAATACAATTATTTCATAATTTATTTTTTCTAAAATATTTGGATTTTTTAGTCTTTTGAACATAGAGACAGCTACAGTTGTATTTCCTAAGAAGCTGACGCTTTAGTTGCAAACATATAATGTCCTATGTTTCCATTTGTATGAAGCTACTTAGAGAAATATTTTGAGCTTTATTATTTTATTGTAAAGATATGAAAATGAGGAAGTTTACCTCATATTCAACAGCTGACTGAATAAAGGATGTAACAAGAAGTATGTAGTTGGGACAAGTTTGATATTCATAATTTCCCTACCTGCCACACACATTGAAGTCTGAATCTCATAGTCACGGGAAAAGTCTGTAGCAGATAAGGTAGTTTTAGATTCTTATAGTGAAAGGAAATTTTATCCTTTTGTCTTCAAGGTCTGCAGTCTATAGATTACCTTGAATTCATTACCAGTATTGAAATTTTATTTAGTATGTTAAAAAATGCTTCCTCCCCAATCTATAGTCAGTTTTTAGTTACCTGTTTGAGGCAGTACTGCATATGAATTTCCAAGCTCTCATTAGCAGTACGAAGCTTTCATATTTTCCTATTTGGGCAAAAGAAAGCTTGGGAATTTCTCTCTAGAGTTTACACTCAGTTTTAGGAAGATAATTTTTACAGTGCAATTTGAAATTTTCTTTCCATGTTAGGGAAGTCTTTAGGCAAGAAGATACCCCAAGGCCGGAAGGTAGCAATTTGGTTTGCCTTTTACATTAATTTTAGAATGGTACATTTTCCTCTAATTTGAATTGGATTGCAGACAAGAGTGAACAGGGTGAAAGAGTGAATGGCACAGTTTTCATATCCTTTTGAATTGGGTATTCATGGTAGACTTTGCATTTTACCTAAAATATGAATTTAGACTGTCACATTTTCACATTCGTTTAAACAGATTTACCAAGCATTTAATATGTCAGGAACTATGCTGAGTAGCCTCCTACTTCTAATCTTAAGTCATTATGTGAGGACAATTATCCTTCTTTTAGAAGGGAGGAAATTGATATTTAATAGAGAAATTAGGCTAAGAAAGAGCTGGTTAGCAACATGTCAGGCATTTGAACCTATATCTCAATTCTGCAAGTTCCTTAACTTTTACAAATACAAAATTATTTTTAAATTATAACATTAATTCCAGTTCACTGTAGAACATTTGAAGAATACAGAATATAAAAGGAGAAAATGAAAATAGCTATAATCTCACCCCCTGGAAATAGTATTTTTAGATATTTTCGTCTAGTCTTTTTGACATATTTTACATAACTGGGAACAGTTATGTTCTTTCTTCCAGAAAGTAGGAAGTTTTCAGATTTACCTGTTAGGACAAAAGAAAGCTTGAGAATTTCTCTCTAGAATTTACACTCAGTTTACACTCTAGAATTTACACTCTCTAGAATTTACACTCAAAAAGAACAAGACTGTGTGTACAGTGTGTATTCCATTGTATAAGCATTACCCCATGTTTTAAAAATAATTTTGTGTTATTTTAACTAGCTGCATAGTATTCCAACATATAGATATACAACTATTTATTTAAATATTCCCTTATTTTTGAACATTTCAGTTGTTATAATATGTCTAACTTTTTGGTTTAAAGTTTCTATGTATCATGCAACACTTAAATAAATTTACAAGCATAAAAAAAACCAAGAAAAGTATTTGCCTGATACATAATTGCTACCTCTTATGAGAATTTTAAATTACATGAGAAATTTCAATTTCATGTGAAGATAGCAGGGTACTAAGCTGTACATATTTTAAAATCCCAATTATGTTAATTATACACATGCTCAAATGCACAGGCAAAAAGACTGGAGGGAATTACATAAAAGTCTTAAGAGTTGCCCTCATCTCTCACCTAGGTTATTAAAATAGCTTCCTAATTGACCCCTTAATTCCACTTTTGCTTCCTTCTATTCCATTCTTCACACAGCAGCCAGACCAATCCTTGAACTACAGAAATCATTTTAAGTCATTTCTCTGTGTAGACCTTCCAGTGACTTTGTCACAGTGAAATCCATAGTCCTTGCCATGGCCTACAAAGTCTTACATATATATGGGTCCCACTCCCCAACTTTTATTTTCTCTCTGATTTTAATCCTCTACCTCCGATCCCATGTTTCATTTCTCTAGCCACACTGGCTCCTTGGCTGTTCCTTCAAGGTGTCAAGCATGCTCTTTTCTTTTCCAGTTGCTATTCCTTCTGGAATGCTCTTCCTCAGGATACCTGCAGTATTTGTTGACTCACTTACTTGAAGTTTCTGCTTGAATATCATCTTATCAGAAAAATCTATAAATGCTATAAAATCTATCATTCTGTAAAAAAATGCATCATTCTATACTATATAATCTACGTTATTTTATTTTTAGCACACACCTACAGTACGTTTAATGGTTTGTCTCTACTCACTAGAAACTAAACTTCATGATGATAATTTTTTTTAGTTATTGCTGAATCCCCAGAAACCTCAACAGAGCAGGGCATGTAGTAGGCACTCAATAAATATTTGTTGAACAATAGTGATTTTGTCTGAGTAGTAGAATTATAGATAGTTTTAATTTAAAATTTTCATTATATTAAGCAAATATTATCATATATATATAAAACCTAAAACTTTAATACATTACAGTTATTCTCTGGGAATTTACCCATTACCTCTGGGTTATCCAACTTATTGGCATACAATTGTTCATAGTATTCTCTTAGAATCCTTTGTGTTTCTGTGGCATCAGCTGTAATTTCTCATCTTTAATTTCTGATTTTATCTGAGTTTTTCTTTTTTCTGAGTCTAGCTAAAGGTTTGCCAATTTTGCTTATTTTGTCAAAAAAATCGTTCTTAGTTTTGATGATCTTTTCCATTGTCTTTCTAGCCTCCATTTCATTTACTTCTGCTCTAATCTTTATCATTTCCTTCCTTCTGCTAACTTTAGGCTTAGTTTGTCTTTCCTCTTCTAGTACCTTAAGGTGTAAAGTTAGGTTGTTTATTTCAGATCTTTCTATTTTCTTCATGTAGATGTTTATTACTATATACTTTTTTTTTTTTTTGACAGAGTTTCACTCTGTTGCTTAGGCTGGAGTGCAGTGGCATGATCTCGGCTCACTGCAACCTCTGCCTCCCAGTTTCAAGTGATTCTCCTGCCTCAGCCTCCCAAGTAGCTAGGATTACAGGCACGTGCCACCACACCTGGCTAATTCTTTTTGTACTTTTAGTAGAGATGGGGTTTCATCACGTTGGCCAGGCTGGTCTTGAACTCCTGGCCTCAAGTGATCTGCCCACCTTGGCCTCCCACAGTGCTGGGATAACAGGTGTGAGCCACTGTGCCCAGCCCTATATACTTACTTCTTAAGACTACTTTTGCTGCATCGAATAAGTTTTGACATGGTGTGTTTTCATTTTTGTTTATCTTAAGATACTTTCTGATTTCCTTTTGATTTCTTTGACTCATTGGTTGTTCAGGAGCATGTAATTTAATGTCCACGTATTTGGGGATTTAAAAATGTTTGTCCAGTTATTGATTTCTAGTTTCATACAATTGTGGTTGGTAAATATATTTGATATGATTTTCAATTTCCTTCAATTTGATAAAACTTTTGTTGTGGCCTAACATATGCTCTGTCCTTAAGAATATTCCATGTGTACTTTGGAAGAATGTGTATTGTGTTACTATTAGATGGAATGTTCTATGTGTGTCCCTTAGGTCCACTTGGTCTACAGTGTAGTCCAAGTCCAGTGTTTCCTTATTCATTTTCTGTCTGGATGACCTATCCATTCTTAAAAGTGAGATATTGAAGTCTCTCACCATTATTGTATTGCTGTCCATCTCTCCCTTCAGATCTATTAATAGTTGCTTTATATATTTACATGCTCCAATGTTGGGTGCATGTATATTTACAGTTGTTGTAGTCTCTTGATGACTTGACCCCTTTATCATTATATAATTATCTTCTTTGTCTCTTTTTACAATTTTTTAATTTCAAGTCTATTTTGTCTGATAGTAGAATAGTCACACTACGTTCTTTTGGTTGCCATTTGCATATAATATATATATATTTTTTCTTTGCTTTTAGTCTGTGTGTTCTCAAAGCTAGAGCAAGTCTCTTGTAGGCAGCTTATGGTTGGGTCTTGTTTTAATAAAAATTTCAGTCACTGTATCTTTTGATTGGATAATCTAATTTATTTACATTCAAGATAATTATTGATAAAGACTTATTGTTTATCATGTTAATTGTTTTCTGGCTGTTTTGTAGATGCTTTGTTTCTTTCTGTCTCTCTTGCTATCTTCCTTGGTGATTTGTTAATTTTCTCTAGTGGTTTGCTTTGATTTGTTTTTTCTTTATCTTTTTGGTATCTATTGTAGGTTTTTGCTTTGTGGTTACAATGAGGCTTACATGAAACGTGTTATATTTATAATAGTCTATTTTAAGCTGATAACTTTCATTGCATACAAAAACACTATGCTTTTACTTCTTCACCTCTACATTTTATGTTTTTGATGTCATAGTTTACACTTTTTATATCATGAATCCATTTACAAGTTATTGTAATTATAGTTACTTTCAATATTTTTGTCTTTTAAGATTTCTTAATTTTATTAGGCAAAGAAGTCAACGCTGATATGGTAAGGTGTAATATTTACTGTACAAAACATTTGAATAGTTATTTTATTAATGGTCATTTGTATGTTTCTTGTATGTATCATCCACTTTGATGATGAATAACTACTAGTTTCGATAGTGATAATTATGTATCAAGGTGTTTTTTTTCAAGTATAAAACTGATTTCTTTAACACAGGTCACATGTCTATAATGAAGAAATATGCTTTGCTTTAATTTGTGCTTGGATAGGCTTCCTATGTATAAGGTCTTGTGTTATTGGATATATTCTGAATTTAGCTTGATTTCATTCAGTAATTTATCATTTGAAATTGATGGGGCAGACATTTACCTTTGTATTATGAAATTACTAAATAAACAAATGTGCAACTACAAGTGAAAGAGTTATTTAAATTACTTTAGAGCAAACATTAAAAGCCATATTTGCATAAAAGTCATGATAATTTATAACACCTACTTTTTATAAAGGAAATCTTGTAGAACAGGATACGTGGTTTTAGGAACTAGTTTGATAGGCATTAAGGATAACAGTTGCAGCCTTATATCAGCATTGGGTACAGTGTATTACTTTATTGTGGTTTGTTGTTTTGGCTTCACAGTATCACAAAAATCTTGATTCACAGATAGCAGTATTGTTGCTCTTACCCGAATACTTTCCTGAGAGTGAATATGGTCAGGCCAAACTACTATAAACCAAGAGCTTCATGCAAAACTATACTTTCCTAATCAATTGTAGTATCATAAGAATTTGGAATGTGTTCAAAGATAGAAAAAAAAAAGATTTTAAGATATATTCTCTTTTTCTCTTCTTTCTTTTTCTCTCTCTCCCCCCACCACCATCTCTAATTGTAAGAGACAAAGCGTAACCATATTTTTTTGCTGATAATCAGTATTTAAAACTAGAATCAAATTAAATTGCTAATATGGTGCAATATAAGTCACTTACTTAAATTCTCAATGAACGCAACGACACAGCTCTTAGGATATAAAACAAGGTGATATGTAGCATATGTAAACTTTTAAAAGGGTGTTTATAAGGACTATTTTGTAACTTATTACTTATACTAGAGATTGGATGTTATTTGACTTAAGCCAAACCTCAGTATCTATTTTCTTTTTAAGCACTGTTCACATTTAAAGGAGAGGCATAGTTTATTCCATGGATTTAAGTTAAGCTTTTAACATACTTCTCTAAAGGAAATTCCCTATATGTTATTTCTTTCTATGGATTTACATATTGATAAAAAGTTTATTTGAATTGTTGGAAACTAGAAAATGTACATGAGGAAGAATTTTACTCCATCTGAGGAAAGAAAGGTGGAAGGAAAGAAGACTACTTAGGCTTACTACTTAGTGTCTTTAGAATTTACCATATGGATAACCACATCTTGGTTGTAAGAATTACGAGTAACACTTTGGGATTTTTGAAGTTTTATGGGACACAAAAAGCTGAGATGTGTTACTCTTCGTACCATTTTATTAGGACCCATTTGAACATATGGTTATAATTATGTATTTGTTACTAATTTTGGAGGATGTATGTCAGTTTTTGAAATTGAAGTGGAGGTACATGCATTAAGATTACTGAATTTTGAAGGGGATTTCTAGATTTTACTGATCTCTTACTTTCCTAAAATTTTTCAAGCCACAGCTGTAATTTATTATTTGATAAGTGGTTTGTAGTAGCTATTCAAGTACTCTGTAATGTCAAACACTATGCCAGTATTTATCTCATGATTCTGATCATATTTATGTGTGGTAGAAAAATAGTCAAATGTTTAACATAGAAATTTGACCAAATTTATAGTTTACTCTGGAAATTTGACTAAATTTATTGTATACAATATGAATTAGAAAAATTCAGGAAAGGAAAGCTTTTGGTTATTAGAAACATCTATCCTGTAGTTTCTTTAAAGGCTGATTTTTTTAAAAGCATTAAGCAGTCATTCTTACTGTCTTTAATGACAATTCATTTTATCCCTTGGTTACCATTTTGCTTTATTTTCTCTGACTTATTTGGATTAATTGCTTTAGCAAACATTGTTTAAAAATTTTAATTTTCTAATATTTCTTAAAAAGCTCTATTTGTTTTTTTCTACTCCTAGTTTTTTTTTCTATAGTTACCTCAATTGTTTCTTTTAATAATACAAACTGGTTGATTTACCCTTCCTTATGAACATCAGAATAGAAAATAAATATGTAATTACTTTAATATATATGTATATCCAGTTATGGCAACAATTGAACAATTTAATATAATTTTGCATGTTAAGGGAGCTTAGAATGTACATTGTACTTTTTGTAAGTTGGTATACCACACAGCATGTACATAATTACATATAATAAGCCTTATTATTTGTTTTTTTCAGTTGTTTTTGTTTGTTTTTCATAGAACCAATTCAGTTTTTTCTTGATAAACATTCTAACTTATGCTGTTATAATTAAATATGATAAATATTAATATAGCCTGGATATGGCTGGGTGCGATGGCTCACACCTATAATCCCAGCACTTTGGGAGGCCGAGGTGGGTGGATCACTTGAGGCCAGGAGTTCGAGACCAGCCTGGCCAACATGACGAAACCCTTTCTCTACTAAAAATACAAAAATTAGCTGGGCATAGTGGCTCAGACCTATAATCCCAGCTACTGGGGTGGCTGAGGCTGGAGAATTGCTTGAACCTGAGAGGCAGAGGCTGCAGGGAGCCAAGATCGCAACACTGCACTCCAGCCCGGGCAACAGAGCGAAACTCTTGTCTCAACAACAACAATAACAACAAAAAGATAGTTTGGACAAATGGTCACATATAGTAATTTATGAAGGCCAAGGACTTTTGTTTATATAAACAACTCAAATTGATGTATCATGTGATTTATTATTGTCTCTATGCTTTTGATTAATTTATGAATCAGTCAGTCACATAGTTCATGGTAACATGTCATGGTTAACATGTCAACATTTTACTGCATGTTAGGCAGAATTAAGCTTTATTAAATTTTGCAGTAAAATTAGTGTTTTTCTTGATTCTTTTGACGTGAAAAGTTACTTCCTATGTTTCTTTTCAAAACCTAAGCAGCAAACTAAGAATTTTCATTTGTCATAGTTGATTTCCAAAAGGACCAGAAAAACTGTTGTAACATAATAGCTTGGCTGAGGACACTGTACCGCAAAGCTGTAGAGTATTTTATTTTAATTTAAAATCATCTATACCTGAGCTAAAGAGAAAAAGGATCTACTGGGAGAAGATCTGATGCTTTGTTCATCTTGAATAAGCAAATGTATATATTACACTTTACATGTTTTTCCTCATGTATATATTAAAATATAGATATAGTCTCAATGATGCTTTAAATGTACATGTTAATGAACTTCTTTTTCTAAACCTAATTTGACAAATGTCTTTAATAAAAGAAAAGAAAGCAACTGGAACACCTTTGACTCCTTTGATATTCTCCCTTACCTTTTCCTTTCCAAGTTCTGTAATTAAAAGTAAATATAATGGCCAAATTAAAATATTTCACACTGTTCTTTCTCATCAATTCTTTAATGTTTTCATCAATATTGGTTTTGTAATTATTTTTCACTGTCACTTCTGTAATTTATAGATTAAAAATTATCCAGATTTATTAAATTACTAGAATAGTTCTTTTGCCCAAAACACTTTAATATATTTTTTAAAAAAGTAAACAAAAGCCCTCCTAAAACTATATGTTACATTTATTGTATTTGCCAATTTTGATTACTTTGTCATGCTGTAGGGAAGTGATTACTGATCATTTATTATTAAAATATTGGCTTTCCTCTTGGTTCTCTTGGATTAAATACATATGGCTATAGGTTAGCTGGAGCACTGATGAAAATAAATTGTAAGCTCAAACTTCATTATCATTTGTAGCTTAAACATAGTGAATTTGATACAGTGTTACCTCATAATTTTGATGCTCTTTGCAGTAAATTTGATATAGAACAGTTGCTAAAGAAACCCTGTTCAAATGTGTGACCATTTTTATGGAAAACATCTGGGGTAATTATAATTAGTTCAGGATGTGTACTGTTTAAAAATAATCTTGAATTCATG